>NC_000001.11:67129592-67432622 GCF_000001405.40 Homo sapiens | reverse complement strand
ATTCATAACATTTTTATGTAATCTTAATAGGTAAATTCTCTGAAGAGCATAAATGAACCTCATAAATTCATAGCCAGAAAATTCCTCTATGTGTAGCTTATTTTCAAATATTCTTATTGTAATAATGCTTGGTGGTTACGAAGCTCTGTTTGAGCAAACCAGAAATCTGTAATGGAGGAGAAAAATGAATAACAACAGGCCTGCCCCACCCCCCAGATTGTGGCAGGAGTAGTTAACTTACTTAAGCTCTTTGTTTTCATTTTCCTAATCTTAAAACAGGAGCAATAACTTTTTTTTTGCGGGGGGGAGGTATGGAGTAATAACTTTCTTATAGAGTTGATGTAAGGTTTAAAGGAGATCACGTATGTAAAGTGCACCAAGCACACACTAAAACATCACGTTTTAGTATGAATATTGTTACTGTGGCCGTGGCCAGAAAGAGTTAAGAAGAGGAGCTTTCACAGATGTCTCAAAGATGCAGGCAGTCTCAGAGACGCAACAGCCCGTGAAGAGAGAAAATCTGTCAAAATGTGGAGATCTTCTACATTGCACTTGAGCTATTTCAAAAAGGTGGGAAGAGTATGGTCAAAAGCTCCTTGTCTTGGTAGGTGCCACAGAACCAGAGCCTGTGGAAGGGGGGATGAGATAGGGGGTGTGTTTGAGGTTGGGCGTTGTGGGCAGGGTGCAGGACTGAGGCAGCAGGGAAATAAGTGAGGAATAGGGGAGGATTGAGAAACAAGAAAACCAGGAGGCTTGCTGCCCCATGTATGTAATATGACTCGTGTCTTCTATTTTCCCTGCTAAGGAATTGATTTAAAATCTGCTCGGAAATTGATGATTACATTCCGCCATGTTACATATCCTGACACGCAACAATGTTTAAATTATATCGGAAATTTAAAAATTGGACTGCTTTCTATCAGGGCAGTCTGAATTAAAGAGCTGATGTCCAGTCTCCTAGTGGAGATAGAATACTGGGCTAATGCCTGTCACTAGCACTTACAGAGGTGTGAATTTGGTAAATCATTTCATCTCTGAAGTGGTTTCAACATTTGTGAAAAGAGGCAAACTATTTGCCTAACAAAATGTTGAGTTCAAGGTTATTCATAGCTCCTACCAAATAAGCGATGCATTTGCTACTTTGTGTTAATGGAAAAGGACTTAAAAATTATGATATACTTAAACCCGGTGCTACCAAATGTGCTTAAATACGCATTCAAATTGTATTCTTTTAATGAATTTTAATATTCTCAACTAGTATCAATGCTTTGTCATTATTAAGTGTTGACTTCAATATTTCCCTCCCCTCACCGCAACTCCTAGCACACATGCACTCGAAATGTTCTCAAATGATATGTATTGAGCGCATGTGACTAACAACACAGCCACCTAAGCCCTGACTTGCCGGACACGAACGGACGATTAATTGGAATAATTGTAACAGGGTTTCTATAAACAGTGCTTCCTGGAGGCTTGCCCCGCGTCTAGCGCTGCACCGTCAGGAGTTAACCACTCCTACGACACCCGCCGCCACACGGTGAGAAGCCCGGGAAAGACGCGCCACGCTCCCATGTGATAGTTTCACTTGTCTTTTTGGTTAGTTCTGCTACCCTAGTTCATGTCCCCGCGAGAGGAAACGTATTCCCCCTCACATTAGACAGAAGAGCCTCGATTCACCGTGGAGGCTGACGGAGGGCCACTCCAGCAACTGAGCAGCTCGGACTTGGCACAGGCAGGGTCCAGCCTACCCGCGGCCGGCGCGGCGCCTCAGCAACACCCCCTCCCCCGGAAGTTTGTGCGTCTCAGATGTAAGGTCTGGGAGTCACCTTGACCCCCCTGGAGCGGTGGGGAAAGTTAGCCCTGAGCCCGAGGGGGCGTGAGTGAAACCAAAGAGCACTTTCGCGAGTCAGTTACGCCGTCACGGTTTTTTGGTTTCAAGGTAGCTGAAGACCTAGAGAGTTTAAGGGTGGCCAGAGCAGGTGGCAGGACTCCGCCCACCACCACGCTTCCCTTCCTTCAGCCCGCACGCTTCACTCCCCTCATGGGGTCTCGCCTCTCAGGCGCGCGCGAAGAGTTGTCGCGCGGTGCGTCCTGGGAATTGTAGTCCCGACGCGGAGAGTCGCCTCAGGAGAAATGACTCTGGCCTACATACCCCACAGTGCCTTGCGGCGCAGGCCGCTCCCGGATGTGTGCCTGGCGCCGGAAGAGAAGACGGCCCCCCTCTCTCGGCCCGGCCATCTTGTGGGAAGAGCTGAAGCAGGCGCTCTTGGCTCGGCGCGGCCCGCTGCAATCCGTGGAGGAACGCGCCGCCGAGCCACCATCATGCCTGGGCACTTACAGGAAGGCTTCGGCTGCGTGGTCACCAACCGATTCGACCAGTTATTTGACGACGAATCGGACCCCTTCGAGGTGCTGAAGGCAGCAGAGAACAAGAAAAAAGAAGCCGGCGGGGGCGGCGTTGGGGGCCCTGGGGCCAAGAGCGCAGCTCAGGCCGCGGCCCAGACCAACTCCAACGCGGCAGGCAAACAGCTGCGCAAGGAGTCCCAGAAAGACCGCAAGAACCCGCTGCCCCCCAGCGTTGGCGTGGTTGACAAGAAAGAGGAGACGCAGCCGCCCGTGGCGCTTAAGAAAGAAGGTAAAGCAGGGGCAGAATGTGGGGGAGACTGGGATGGAGGGAAGGAGCGAGGGGGCTGCCGGCTGCCACTTGTTTCTGGAGCTCCGAGGGTCCGCGGGAGACTTTGCCGCCTATATCCTCACGTTTCTTCACGCGACAAAAGTCCGGTCCTGCGAAGGTGCCAGGAGCGTGGTAGCCCCAAGTTCAAGCCACCGCCGGCGAGGTTCTCGGAGCCATCCCCTTCCCGCCTCAGGTTGTGAGCAGAGGAGCGTGGTCGGAGATGAGCTGCTCCTCGAGCGCGCTCGAGGTCCTGGGAGGCTGTTGCCTTCCCGCCGGATTCCTTGGCGGGTGAGCGCATGGACTGAGGTGCGGGGAAGCCGGCCCCTCACCGAAGCTTTCCGTAGTTACGGAGGAGCTTGGGGGTCCATCGCTGCTTACTGCGCAGAGCTGCTCCTTTGAGGTGCTGTTGTTTCAGGCTCCTGTCCTGCCGTCTTGTCCCACGACGGCGCGGAGTATCCCCGCTGAAAAGCAGGGGGTCGTTCCAGGCCATCAGACGTGTGGAGTAAGCTGCAGGTTGGGGTGCCGCATGTCCTTTATTTGTTTCTCTTCCACCTCTCAACTGTTAGGACTTTCTCATAACTTGCTGGGGTGAGTTGAGCCGTTGGGAAATGGAGGAGTTTGGCCACACTCGATTAACCAGGAGCGGGAATTATGAATGAAGACTGGTGATTGCAGGACATCCCGAGGAACGTCCTCGAGTCACGATCCTCTCTCTCGACTCCCCAAACTGAATCTTTCACGTGGTGGGGTCTGGGCCTCGTGGGTGAAGTGAGTGCAGAGGCTGTCACAGCGTTAGTCGCAGCAGAGCTCTTTAGAGTTCGCAGTTTTTTTTTTCCACCACATGTGCGTGAAGCATGGTCAGAGTTTCACTGGCGGTTAATAGTTGTTTCTAGGGCACTGTGAGTTTCACAGGATTGTCTTGATTTTTGCATTCGCTTTACCAGTTTGTTGCGGATGAAAAAAAAGAGCAAGCAGTTTGGAGATAAGAACGTGCATGATCAATAGCAAGCAGGTGTTGGACCTAAGGTCTGAATCTTTAAAGCTGCATTTATATGTTGAAAGTTGAAATTACCCCTTCCTGCCACGTGCTTCTCTGAAAGGAGTTGTTTCTCTTTAGCTTTAGTTGAATTCTGTAACAGTGAACTAATTTTAAAAATCAAAACAATTTTCTCGTGGTAGGATTTGTTTTAGGAGGGTTTTTTTTTTTTTTTTTGAGGACTTTTGTGAGGCTCGGAATGAAGAACCTCGGTCCTAGGTGGTGAATAAAAGAAAATAATTAATTCTTGTGGTAAAATTATAGGTTGAGGAAAAATACAGTTGGAGTATTAGAAAGCATGTATATCACTTAGGCCAAGTATCTCTTCAGCCAGTTAAGCTTTATGGCAATCTAGCACAATTAAATAAATCATTTAATTCGTGTGTTAAGTAACGCTGACTTGTGTAATTATTTAAACTATGCTTAAGCTTAAGAAAGTACACGAAAAAGTTGAATCTGACGAATAATGTGTACCAGGTAGATGTGTTCACTCATTTTGAATGTTCAAAACATGAAGCATGGTTTAAATGCCTGAGTTATTTTGATCATGAAGCCCATCTATGAAATAAGCTCTTACCTGAAAAGTAGTATTTTAAGTTAACAAATGTGGGGAATGATTTCATGAAGTTAGAACCAAGACTTAGGTTCACCGTTCAATGAGTCTTTCCATGGGAAAACTATTCCATGTTAGCAATCAGCATTTTCCTTAGGTCAGTATTTCAGAGCACTACTGTTAAGTTGCATAAAATACAAGCATGTAAAATACAGGAAAAGTGTTGAATGGACAATACCCGTTTTGAGATTCTACTGTCCTGATTACTGGGAATAAATCTGTAAACAAAGTCGCTGCATGTAGTAGGAAGGTTAACCTGATTGTGTTCTGTGATTTTGATAACACATTGTGACATAATACTTGACATACTTTAGACAGATATTTAATGTTTATGTTTTATGAATTAATTTTGTACATTCTCTTGCCCATTTGAAGAACTTGAGAATTGACAGCAGAATGTCATTGAGAGTGTAGACCAGGGATTTTCTAAAAAAGAATGAATGCCTTGAAACTAGTGCAGTTAGTGAGCTTGCAAGTTATAGATAAGTATATCAAAAGAAGCTTGCATTTTTAAATGTCAGTCTTTTTCATTAGGTAGGTTTAATACGTTTTTAAGATTCTGTAAACTTGATATTGGGTGGGGACGCCAACTATTGTTCACTTGGGTGTGTTTGGCTTGGATATTATTGCAAGGACTGGTTCCATAACTCCACCCCAGTGCACTTTATTACTGATGACATTTATTTAAATACCTTGGTGTAAGGTCTAATATTTGTAGTCTATCTTGAGTATTTACAGGGAATGAACTTCAAAATTCTATTGAAGAGATTGATAGTTACTGTTTGGCTCCAGTTAACAGGCAGCAGAACAACTGGGTGTGTCTTGATGGTGTTCTACTTTCTTAGAAAGAACCAAAGTGAAGCAGCTTAAAATCTTGTAAAACCAATTCCTCAGCTGCTTTATGACTTTGTCAGAAATTGGGAATTAGAGCATACCAACAATCTTAAAGTCATTAATTTAACCATCAATCTGTTGATCCTTATGGGCACCAATAATTTAAATTGGTTGCCTTTGTGGGGTTTCAGACATTACAGGAAAAAAGTAGTAAAGGGGGAAATTAGTAAATGCTTCAGCTATCACTTAGTGTCACAAGTTTTCTTATTTCTTACATGTTGCTTAAAAGCGGTCTTAACGTGTGTGTATTTGGTTTTTAAAGATTCTTTGAAAATAAAGATAGTTGTTAGGGCAAATTTTTTAGAGGACTCTCTCCATGCATAATAAGTAACTGTTTCCTAACTTGGAAGTACTTAGGGATGTGGGAGTGTGTACAAACATATATACACTTACATGCTATAAAATTTTAAACTTTAATAGGGGAAGATGGCCCTTTTTGTGTGCCTGTAGCTAAGAAGACCAAAAGATGACACTTTTTCTGGTTAAATGGCTGTTTTAAACTGAAGTGATGTTCTCTAATAATCCTAAATGCCATATTTTCCTTTCAGATTTGTAATTTTATAGAATTATGAGTCTTAATTGCATTTTTTTTTCAGATTAGATAGAATAACATAGTGCGGCCCTCACTTTTGTGAGGGGCCATATCTAGTGAGTGTGTTGATTTGCTTGGTTATTTATGAATGGCTGCTGGTATTTTCTTTGGTATTTTAAAAGCCAAAATGTATTGCTTGCCTAAAATTTTTTAAATTTAAAAGTTTTTATTAAGAGACTATCTTGGAAAGTGACGGGAATAATGGTTGCCCAAATGATTTCCAAGTCAGTTATAGAAAATGCTTTTGAGGGGGAGAACTTGGCAAACTTAAATAGAAGTTTAAAATAAGTTTATTGTTTTTATTTTATTTATTTATGTATTTAGTCGGTGGTATGGATTGGAAGGTTTATTGTCTTTAAATGGCAGTTTTCCTAAGGTACTTTGTTACACATTAGAGTTGCCCAGTGTTTGCTTTTTTCCAACAGGAAATGGTAGTGGATTGGAAGAGAAGCAGCTTTTGACAGTCCAGGCCTAAAGTTTTTGGATTGCAAAAATAATTTGCTTATGCAGGTTATCTTATCGTTTTAGGAATAAGACGAGTTGGAAGAAGACCTGATCAACAACTTCAGGGTGAAGGGAAAATAATTGATAGAAGACCAGAAAGGCGACCACCTCGTGAACGAAGATTCGAAAAGCCACTTGAAGAAAAGGGTGAAGGAGGCGAATTTTCAGTTGATAGGTAAGTTGTTTCTTGTTTTTGAGCCAGGGTCTTGGTCTAACATGTAGGCTGGAGTGCAGTGGTACAAGCTTGGCTCACTGCAGCCTCTGCTTCCTGGGCTCAAATGATCCTCTCATCTCAGTCTCCTCTTGAGTAGCTCGGACTACAAGGTCACGCCACCACACTGCTAATTTTTTTTGTAGAGCTGAGGTCTCACTATATATATTGCATTGGCTGGTCTTGAGCTCCTGTGCTCAAGCTGTCCTCCTGCAATATTGGGATTACAGGCGTAAACCAAAGAAGTCTTCATATTTTGTTACTTTATAGAGTCACATTTTAATGTTAAGCTATAAATTGGGCATAATTGCCAGGTAGCAGTCTGGCTAATTGTTTCTATTAATTTTTCACAGAAACATCTGTATGTGTGCATTGTTAAGCTTTAGATCTTTGGGTAACAGTTCAAACTTAGGTCTCTTGTAATGGAAACACTTTGTTGAATTGATAACCAATTTCTTTTTCTTTCTCTCTCCAGATACAGAGTTAAAAGGAAAATACTGTTAGTTGAAGGAAAATACTGTTGGTTTATTGTTTATAGCAAATAAATTACTTATGCAAGTTAGATGTGTTTAATTTTTAAGTGTATTGGTAAATAGTGATGGACTGGATTATATGTGCAATGAATAGCAGTGGAAAAGTATATGCACTGGTAGTAATGCTTTAGAGTGCTAAAATAGTTTTCTTGTTTTGGGAGGCTGTCTTGTTCTGGTTTCCTTTGTGTTTAGAAACAGACTATTTTGAATTTTCTGAAGTGTATGTATTTAACTATTGGTTTTTGAGCCAGTAAACATGTTCTGTATTTTTGATCTTTTGGATGAATTTTCCTCATTTCTTCTGGAAACCATGGAAGTATAATTTATTTGTTTATATTATAGACCGATTATTGACCGACCTATTCGAGGTCGTGGTGGTCTTGGAAGAGGTCGAGGGGGCCGTGGACGTGGAATGGGCCGAGGAGATGGATTTGATTCTCGTGGCAAACGTGAATTTGATAGGCATAGTGGAAGTGATAGATCGTAAGTCTTACTGGTTTTTATTTTACTTTAATATTTTAATCTATTTAATAAACAAACTTTGAATTTCTAGAACTAAAGAGTATTATGTTAACTCAGTTTTGTTAGTTCTTTTTCACATTACAGTGGCCTGAAGCACGAGGACAAACGTGGAGGTAGCGGATCTCACAACTGGGGAACTGTCAAAGACGAATTAACGTTGGTATTCTGATTTTCTTAAAAATTCTATACCTAACTAGAGGTTAATCCATACCTCTGTCAAATTTTACTTGTCTCTGAGATAAGAATGAATGCTCTCTTCTGAGAGTTACTATATTACAAGATAATGTCTTATGGGATGGGTTTGGGTTATAGTATATTGAATGACCGGTTTTTTAATATTTCGATATATTTGTTACTCATTTTTTCCCCCCCATATGTATTTGTAGCTTTTCCTGAAACCCCACAATAAGGTTATTTGGGTATTCTGATTATCTTAGTGTCCTTAATAGTTCCTATTCTAGCTTTTGACTTTGTTGTCATTACAAAATTTGATAAGCTAGTAAAGCTTCATTTTATAATTAACTGCCTTGTTCTGTTACTTTTTAAGTATGAAGTATATGAACTAACTAGTTTATATTGTTTACTTTTCGACGTCTTCTGGGGAGTATATTTAGTAAGAAAGGAGTTAGAGAATGTGAGAGCTTATGGTATTTTTGTATGAAGAACTTTTCAGCTACATGTAAATGGACCTAGATGCCTTTCTTTTTCTTTCTTTCCTTAGAGAGTCCCCCAAATACATTCAGAAACAAATATCTTATAATTACAGTGACTTGGATCAATCAAATGTGACTGAGGAAACACCTGAAGGTGAAGAACATCATCCAGTGGCAGACACTGAAAATAAGTAAGTGGTATTGCGTGTAATAGTAATGACCCAGAATTGAAAGCACTGGAGTTTTACCAATAAGATAACCCATAGATTTAATGCTGTTACTTGATGGCTTTTTGTTTTTGACAAGGGAGACTTACTGTACCCTCATCCCTCAAAGAGTATTTGAAAGAATGCTTTTTTTTTCTTTTTTTAATAGAGACAGGGTCTCACTATATTGCCTAGGCAGGTCTCCAATTCCTGGGCTCAAGCGTTCCTCCTGCCTTGGCCTCCCAAAGTGCTGGGATTACAGGCATGAGCCACTGCACCCAGCCCTTAAAAGAGTGGTTTATGTGTATATATTTGACTCTAACGCTTTGAAAAATAGAATATTTTAATGTGGTTATTTCTGTTTGATTAGTCATTTTACCATTGTCATACAACTGTACAAATTTTACTTTGAGATAGTTAAAACTAGAAAATGTGGCCATTTTAACATTAGTTCTATCTTGAAGTTATTTCCAATGTAGAATTTGGAACATAGCATTACTGGCCTGTTTTTAAATGTATGAAGAGAGCAAAGATCAGAGTATGTTATTCACTATCTTTTTTTTTTTTTTTCTTTTTTTGAGACAAGATTTCATTCTGTTGCCGAGGCTGGAGTGCAGTGGAGTGATCTTGGCTCACTGCACCCTCCGCCTCCTGGGCTCAAATGATCCTTCCACGTCAGCCTCCTAAGTAGCTGGGACTATAGGTGCCTGCCACCAGGCCCGGCTAATTTTTGTATTTTTAGTAGAGACAGGGTTTCACCATTTTGCCCAGGCTGGTCTTCAACTCCTGAGCTCAGGCAAGCCACCCACCTTGGCCTCCCAAAGTGCTGGGATTACAGGCGTGAGCCACCTTGCCCAGCCCTTCACTAACTTTTTTTTTTGTGTGTGTGAGATGGAGTTCACTCTTGTTGCTTAGGCTGGAGTGTAGTGGCACTGTCGGCTCACTGCAACCTCCGCCTCCCGGGTTCACGCGATTCTCCTGCCTCAGCCTCTGGAGTAGCTGGGATTACAGGCACCCGCCACCATGCCTGGCTAATTTTTTATATTTTTTAGACCAGCTGGCCAGGCTGGTCTCGAACTCCTGACCTCGGTGATCCACCCTCCTTGGCCTCCCAAAGTGCTGGGATTACAGGTGTGAGCCACCACACCCAGCCCTTCACTAGCTTTTAAAATTACATGGTGTTTTGTTTTGTTTTGTTTTGTTTTGTTTTGTTTTGTTTTGTTTGGAGACATTCTCGCTCTGTTGCCCAGGCTGAAGTAACAGTGGCGCTATCTTGGCTCACTGCAACCTCCGCCCCCTGGGTTCAAACGATTCTCCTGCCTCACCCTCCCGAGTAACTGGGATTACAGGCATGCATCACCACGCCCAGCTAATTTTTTGTATTTTTAGTAGAGACAGGATTTCACCATGTTGGCCAGGCTGGTCTCGAACTCCTGACCTCAGGTGATGCATCCGCCTTGGCCTTCCAAAGTGCTGGGATTACGGGCATGAGCCACCACGCCTGACCTAAAATCATGTTTACTTTGCCAGTTATTTGTTACAGTATTGTGGTTTAAAGTCTTGGATTACAGGTTATTTAGGACAGTGATTCCTAACCAGAAGCATATTCAAGTTAGTTGGGGGGTGGGAGGGGCAGATGTTTTCTAAACTTTTTCTTTTTTCTTTTTTTTTTTTGAGATGGAGTTTTGCTCTTGTTGCCTGTGCTGGAGTGCAATGGCGTGATCTCGGCTCACTGCAACCTCTGCCTCCAGGGTTCAAGCAATTCTCCTGCCTCAGCTCCTGAGTAGCTGGGATTACAGGCATGTGCCACCACGCCCGGCTAATTTTGTATTTTTAGTAGAGATGGGTTTCTCCATGTTGGTCAGGCTGATCTCGAACTCTGACCTCAGGTGATCTGCCCTCCTTGGCCTCCCAAAGTGCTGGGATTACAGGCGTGAGCTGCCGCACCTTAAACTTTTTCTTTTCTTCAGAAAGAATTTGCTCTTATGGTGAGCACTGTTAATGATGGGAATATCATATTCCGTGGATTTGTTGGGATAAGGAAAAATGATATACTATTGGAGGGAGTAGATAAAAATACATGGTATTGGGTGATGTTTTGAACTTGGTAATAAAAATTTATGCAAAACTATAATGGAATCATAATTTTGCATGATAAACAATGAAGTTGTGATTGGTGCCTTAACAAATGAACCCTATGCAACGTTAAGTTTCTCATAGTGGTCAACACAACTTTTTTTTGTTTCTTTGAGACACAGTCTCCTGTCTCCCATGCTAGAGTGCAGTGGCGCGATTTTGGCCATTCTGAAGTTCAAGCGATTCTCCTGCCTCAGCCTCCCGAGTACTGGGACTACAGGCATGCTCCACCATGCCTGGCTAATTTTTGTATTTTCAGTAGAGACATGGTTACACCATGTTGGCCAGGCTGGTCTTGAACTCCTGGCCTCAAGTGATCCTCCCGCCTTGGCCTCCCAAAATGCTGGGATTACAGGTGTGAGCCACCGTGTCCAACCACAACTGTTTAATAGAGCCCATGTTCAATCACTCAGTGATATGCAAAGATTATAACTGTTTACCAAAAGGTACTAATGTATTGATAGGCTATTGGTAGCAAATCCTTAGCTCAGTGCCCAGGAGCGAAACTGAGGGTGTTTGGTTTAAAGAAAATAATTATCCATCACATTAGAACTGTCTGTAATCTTATTCCAGACTAGGGGAGAATCTGGGCATAGCATATGGAAGTATAAATTTAAGAAACACAACATTGGCTGACTTTGATGAACTAACTTATATATAGCTTCCAGAGCTTCTGTTTGGTTTTTATTTAATCCTTGCAGTAATTCCTGAAAGGTAGGTGTCATGCCTCCATGATATGATAAAAGGTATGCTAAGTTCTATTCCTGGCTGTGTCATAACATATGGGTAAGCAGGACTTTTTTTATATTCTTAGATTTCTCATCTGTAAAATGACTAGGTGGACTCAGTACCCAAGATCCCAAGATCCTGTCAATTCAATATAAACTTGCTCTAGGAAGTTTTTTGTTTTTTTTTTGCAGCATAGATGTAACTGGAGGAACTTTTAAGATAGCATTTGTCAAACAGTAAAGGGCAGCATCCAGGGAGATATTTGAGCTCTAAGGCTAACTGAATCACCTGCTATCTTTGGAAAGAAGCAGGGCTCCCCAAATAGCAAATGACTTGTTTGGTGACAATTGCAGATTGAGATTATACTAAAATAATGGATCCTTAGGCCTGTGCTTTGTTTCTGTAAAAAGAGGAAAGGATCATATTCTATAGTTAAGACCTGAGAATTATATTTGGAAATAAATGGTTTAGTATTAAATAATGAAACCAGTGTGTGTTTGTGGATAGTTCTATTAGTAGTGAATCCATGGCCTCCTTTCCATATACAGGTTGGTTTGAAAATTGGAGTATAAGGATTTTAGGATTTGTAGAAACACGGCTATTGTTTTGATTTGCTCTAAGTGCTAGTTGCTGAAACAAAGCATAGAGGAACAGTTCTTTTATATTCCAAAATTTGAACCCTGGTTGCTGACAGACATCCTAGAGGATTACCTTCTTGTATGTTATTAAGAGTTACATATTGTGGGAATTATGGAAATTAAAAATGTGGTTTAGGAGAAGATAGGCTGAGGATTTTACATAAGAGGGTAGTTTTTAAACAAGGTAGTGTTTTTAAGAAATGTGTATTTTAGTATTCGTAAAGCCAGTTCTAGATTGTATTACTGATAAATGATCATTTAAGAGTTCATAAGTATGAATTCCATATTCCTTACTTGTCTCTAATTAGCAAACACTGAATTCCTGGTCTCTACCAAGTTGCTTAGTTACATAGGAAACTAGGGTACCCTCATCCTTGAATAATCTTTCTCTAAAAGATTACAAGGTTAATTTTCTCAATTAAAATCATAAATTTAAAATACTTTTATGTAATATCAGCTCTCTACCAGGTATAAAACTTGAAAACCTTTTCACAGGGAGAATGAAGTTGAAGAGGTAAAAGAGGAGGGTCCAAAAGAGATGACTTTGGATGAGTGGAAGGCTATTCAAAATAAGGACCGGGCAAAAGTAGAATTTAATATCCGAAAACCAAATGAAGGTGCTGATGGGCAGTGGAAGAAGGGATTTGTTCTTCATAAATCAAAGAGTGAAGAGGTAAAATTAAGTTTTGTCGTGTTTGAAAATGTTCAGATGTGACTTGAATTGTATTTATAATTTTTGTTTTAAAATTTCACATGGGTTATTTGTCTGTTAAAGCTTTACATAGGATCATTTGGGGCAGATAATTTGCTTTATAAGGAAAATAAACTGTATTATCACATATTCTAAGAAATTTAGTCCTTTGATCAATTTGTAATTATGTTTTATGTGGTAGAGTTACTTTTTCCTAAAAAGCTGTTAGTGGAGTATCTTGTAGTTATTGGTGTTCAGAAATATGATAGTTCTTTTCAAAGTTGTGGTTGTATTTTTGAAATCTTGCCAAACTGGGGATCATTAAAGGGCTGTGGTATTATGGTGTTAGGTTGAAATCTTGACATTTTCATATGGTTTAACCTAAAATGTAAGTGACTTCATTTAGAATTCAACTTTTGAAACTGTCTGCCTATACCATATATAATGGCCAGGACACTCAGTAAATGGCAATGTGCATTTTGTCTAAGGAATGACGACTTTAAAAACCAAAGTATATGTGGGTTTTACTTAAGAAACATGGAAACTAGTGAAAATACAGTTGACTTGTTGAACAACATGAGGATGCTAGGGGCACTGACCCCGCAGATCAATGCACATGTAACCTTTGACTCTCCCAAAACTTAACTACTAATAACCTGTTGACTGAAAGTCTTAGTGATAACATAACCAGTTAACACATTTTGTATGTTGCGTATTATATACTGTGTTTTTACAGTAAAGTAAGCTAAAGAAAATGTTGAGAAAATATATTTACTGTTCATTAAGTGGAACTGGATCATCACAAAGGTCTTTATTTTGGATAGGAAGAAAAGGGATTGGGCTTGCTTGTCTCAAGACTGACAGAGGCAGAATGTTCAAAGCCACGTTGTTCAAGGGTCAACTGTATTGGAGAAAGTCACATTGATGGCTTTTGATTTGGTAGCTTCCGTTTAAGCTTTGGGGTGTGTTCTTAGAGGAATGTTTCAGTGCGGCTTCCTGTTTGGCTTTAAAAACTCATACAAGCCCTAACTATATTATTTCTTCTCCTAAATTCATTTTCTCTATCAGCTTCCTTTAACCTTTTGACATTTGTGTTTGATTTATTCATATCATAAATTGGGCTGTGCCAGAAATCCAGACTGAGTTTTATCATCCTAAGGTAAAGTTAAATTAAAATATTGTGAGGGCAAACCCTTTCAATAAGGTATTAGTTATTTTTATTTTTTTTTTTTGAGACAGAATCTGGCTCTGTCGCCCAGGCTGGAATGCAGTGGCACCATCTCTGCTTACCGCAACCTCCACCTCCCGGATTCAAACAGTTCTTGTGTCTCAACCTCCTCAGTAGCTGGGATTACGGACACTCGCCACCATGCCCGGATAATGTTTGTGTTTTTAGTAGAGATGAGGTTTCATCATGTTGGCCAGGCTGGTCTCAAACTCCTGGCCTCAGTGATCCCCGCCTGCCTCAGCCTCCCAAAGTGCTGGGATTATAGGCGTGTGCCACCATGCCCAGCCAATAAGCATAATTTTTTAAACTGCAAAATGGCTATAAGACAAACTTGGAAACATTTTAAAATAAAATGGAGGTTAAAAAGATTAAAAGTTTTTTTAGGTTTAGAGATGATTTTTAACATTTACTTCATATGAGTAGTAAATGAGGACATTGTCTTTTTTAAGTCCTGTAGAAAAAAAACTGCATTAGAACACGTGGTTTCAGCCAGGCGCAGTGGCTCACACCTGTAATCCCAGCACTTTTGGGAGACTGAGGCGGGCGGATCACCTGAGGTCGGGAGTTCAAGACCAGTCTGACCAACATGGAGAAACCCCGTCTCTACTAAAGATACAAAATTAGCCTGGTGTGGTGGTGCATGCCTGTAATCCCAGCTACTCAGGAGGCTGAGGCAGGAGAATCACTTTAACACAGGAGGCAGAGGTTGCAGTGAGCTGAGATCACACCACTGCACTCCAGCCTGGGCAACAGAGCAAGACTGTCTCAAAAAAAAAAAAAAAAAAAAAAAACAACACTTTAACTTTCACATGTCTTCATTCTCGTGACAAATGTGAGGTAGTTAAGGGGAAGGAAGAAACTATTTACAAATGGAGAACTGTGTTACCGTGTTATTGACAGAGCTCAGAGTTTCTGTTTTCTGCTCCTCATTGTCTGAGTGCTCTAGAAAAAAGGTCGGACACAGTGGCTTACACCTGTAATCCCAGCACTTCGGGAGGCTGAGGTGGGCAGATTGTTGAGTTAAAAGTTTGAGACCAGCCTGGGTAACATGGCAAAACCCTGTTTCTACAAAAAATATAAAAATTATCTGGATGTGGTTGCGTGCACCTGTGGTCTCAGTTACCTGGGAGGCTGAGGCGGGAGAGGATCACTTGAGCCCAGGAGGCAGAGGTTGCAGTGAGCCAAGATAGCATCACTGCATTCCAACCTAGTTGACAGAGCAAGACTGTTTCAAAAAAAGGAAAAAAGAAAAAAAAAAAGGATCCCCCTGCCCTGACTTTATCCCAGTACAGTTTCTTGGTATCTGCAGGGGATTCGTTCCAGGACCCAGAGATATTAAAATTTTCAGATGCTCATGTCCATTATATAAAATGGCATAGTATCTGCATATAGCCTAAACACGTTTTCCCTATACTTTATTTTTTATTGTTTCTATTTTTTAATTTAAAATATAGAACAATTTACAGTTTTGCGTGTCATCCTTGTGGGGATCATGCTAATAATCTTTGTATTGTTCCACTTTTAGTATATATGCTGCCAAAGTGAGCACTCCCTCATACACTTTATTTTGAGACAAGGTCTTGCTCTGTCATGTAGGCTGGAATGCAGTAGCATGGTCACAGCTTACTGCAGCCTCAACCTCCCCGTGCTCAAGCGATCCTTCTAGCTCAGCCTCCTGAGTAGCTGGAACTACACACCTGTGCCAACTCCTGGACTCAAGCAGCCCTTCTGCCTATGCCTCCCAGAGTGCTGGGATTACAAGTGTCAGCCACCACACCTGGCCTACTTTTTATTGTTATATGGTTGGTTGGTTTTATTTTTTTCTGAATATTTTCGATCTGTGGTTTGCAATAAATTGAAAGCATTGGTTTGAAATAGCAAACATTTAAAAATCACACAATTAGTATATATAATTGATTCTAATTTGCTGGTGTTTTGTGAATTTGTTTTTATGTTTCTAGCCTCCTTTAAAATTTGTATTAGAACATTCTATTGCCTTACAGTGTGTTGGTTTGGTACAAAGGAGTGACATTTAATACTAGTATGAGTTGATGTAAGGGGTGAAAACATGGATAAAAACACAAAAATTTATTTGTACTTTAAAGGCTAGTTATTAACAGCTGTAATATTTTAAGTTGAGTCTAATGGAATTGTAATAGTACAAGTTCTAATGAAAGAACAAAATGTTCTTTATCCCTTTAGAAAAGAAGATTCCTTAGATGTATTTAGGAAAAGAGGAAAAGAAAGCTGTACTTTCAAGTCCTATAAGTACAGTTTTCAACTAGAAGATTAAAACCCATCCCAAGCGTACAAGAAGACATCAGGCATGAAGCAGTATAGAATTGTCTGGCTTTTTGCTTTTTTCCCCCAGACTGGGTCATGTATCTTAAACGCAAATAGAAAAGAGGATCTGGATTTCACAAACATGACTTCATTTTTAAGAAGTTTCTAGCTGGGCATGGTGGCTCATGCCTGTAGTCCCAGCACTTTGGAAGGCCAAGGCCAGCGGATCGCTTGAGCCTAGGAGTTTGAGACCAGCCTGAGCAACACTGTGAAAACCTGTCTATAAAAAATACAAAAAAATTAGCCAGGTGTCATGGCATGTGCCTATAGACCCAGCTACTTGGGAGGCTGAGGTGGGAGGATCGCTTGAGCCTGGGAGGTGGAGGTTGCAATGAACCCAGATCGTGCCACTGCACTCCAGCCTGGGTGACAGAGTGAGACCCTGTCTCAAAAAAAAAAAAAAAAAAAGGTTCCTGTGACACATTTAAGGTGTGGTTTTATTTGTGCATAGCTTTACAAGATTCCCCTCTTTATGTAAAGTGTGTAGTGTTTCACTTGAATTTGTAGCTCTCCAATTTGTGTAGAAAAACGTAGTGGTTGTGTATTAACAGAAAATGCTTCTGAGAAGTTTATATCTAGTAAGGTCTTTACCCTAGTTGTAGTTGGAAGAGTGTAGAACAGAGTTTTTCTTTCTGAGTGTTCTTTTTAACTTCAGTGTTAGTGCTAGTAGTAACCTTATATGTCATCTCTCCAGAGGTCTTCATCAAGGATTCACATGGCAGTCCTGATCTGAAGGGCATATTTAAAATGTACTTGTCCAGATTTCACTGCTAAAGATTATGATTCAGTAGGTCTAGGATGGGCTTCAGCCGTTTGGGTTGATTGTGATAGCATACATGTCTTTAGTTGAGGACTGCTGGTATTACCTGCAATTTTGAGATAGAGAAAAGTGCAGGAAAATCTTCCTCCAGGATCACTAAAGCTGAGCCCTAGCTTGTTACCTGTGGAGGCATTGAGACATTTGTTCACAGAAAGTACAGTTTGGATTTTTGGTTTTTTTTAGAAGAAAGCTCATTATTTAGAAATTTTGCAATGTTACTTTTCTACTAATAACACAATCATCTTCACTTATATTTTTAGGCTCATGCTGAAGATTCGGTTATGGACCATCATTTCCGGAAGCCAGCAAATGATATAACGTCTCAGCTGGAGATCAATTTTGGAGACCTTGGCCGCCCAGGACGTGGCGGCAGGGGAGGACGAGGTGGACGTGGGCGTGGTGGGCGCCCAAACCGTGGCAGCAGGACCGACAAGGTAATTTAAGACTTTCTTTTCCTTTTACATAATTTAAGGACCTCTTATAAGTCACTGGCTGGGTCAGACTTATGTCACTTTTGGGAACATAAGTAGAAGTAGTAGCAGTGTCTTTAAGAAACCGCATGTTAGGTTATATTTATGTTTAAAGCACTTAAATGCCTTTTTGTGTAGTGCTGTTAGTAGTGTTAAGTTACCACCCTTTTGAGTTCTTTCTAGGTGCCGGTCATGGTGCTGGGCTAGGCATTTTATGTACTTAATGTCATTTAATTCTTGTTACTGTGATGACATTCTCATTTTCCAGATGAGAAAATTCTGGTATAGTGAATCAGGTTAACTCTTGGCCTTTGCTAAGGCTTACCTGAAAACCAGTCTGTTCACTTTGATAATTCCTAACTGCTTTTTAGGTCTCCACTTAATAACCATTGTGTTCCTTGTATAATTCCTCTTACGACACTTAGGATTGTTGACACTTTTTTCTTTTACTAGACTCTTCTGTGAGAGCTGGGATTCATTTTTGGCTTACTTTCTATAATCTCTCCAATGCCTTGAACAGTATGTGGCACAAAACAAGTTCTTAGAGAAATATTTTGGTGAATTCCCAAGTAATTGATAGATTTGAACTCAGATCTGATGCTTGGAAACAACCATAATGTCCTCCTAAATTCTCAACACCTTACACACAAATTTGGGGACCCACCTACTTGATTGAGTCTGTTTTTGATGATTACAGGGGTAACTTACCATTGCCAGTGTAATGATACTTTGTTCCTCCCTCTAAGACCAACCTTTTTTTTTTAAGGTGGTGGTTGTGTTGATGGGCTTTTCCCATACTTTCTTTTTTAGTTCTGTTATTTATACTTTAGGCTATAAAGAGCAGTTTGGATTCCTTTTTTCAGACTTTCAACCTTGATGATTATTGCTACTTAGATATTAGTTCCTTAGCATGCTTTCACATTGGTGCCATTCTTATTTAGCAAGTGGAAAAAGTATAAGAATACTGAACAATGCGAATTCACATACATAATTGCTTATGAATCTACTTGTATGGTTTATTGGAAAAAGTAAAACAACTGGGCTGGGCGCACTGCCTCACGCCTGTAATCCCAGTACTTTGGGAGGTCTGGGTGAACAGATCACCTGAGGTTGGGAATTTGAGACCAGCCTGGCCAACGTTGTGAAACCCTGTCTCATTAGCCAGGTGTGGTGGCACATCCCTGTAACCTAGCTACTTGGGAGGCTGAGGCACAAGAATCACCTGAACCCAGGAGGTGGAGGTTGCAGTGAACTGAGATTATGTTACTGCACTCCATCCTGAGCAACAGAGTAAGACTGTCTCCAAAAAAAAAGAGAAAAAGAAAACAACCCATATTATTACTCTGGAATGAAAATAGGCCTTGGTAGAAATTTAGGACAGGGCTCATTGCAAATACTTGTAGTTTTTTTGTGATCCATAATTTTGTCTTGATACATTTTACCTAGAATTTTAACAGTAGGATTTTTTTTTTTTTTTTTTTGAGATGGAGTCTCACTCTGTTTCCCAGGCTGGAGTGCAGTGGCACAGTCTCGGCTCACTGCAACCCTTGCCTCCCAGGTTCAAGCGATTCTCCTGCCTCAGCCTCTTGAGTAGTGGGATCACAGGTGCCTGCCACCACACCCAGCTAATTGTTTATATTTTTAGTACAGACAGGATTTCACCATGTTGGCCAGGCTGGTCTCAAACTCCTGACCTCAGGTGATCCACCCACCTTGGCCTCCCAAAGCGCTGGGATTACAGGTGTGAGCCACTGTGCCTGGCCAACAGTAAGATTTTTTTAGAGTTCTGTCTTAATGTAGACACTAGCTAACAATGTAATTTTGAAGAACTGAGAACTGTGGTTAATTTTGGTTTTTCTTTTTCAGTCAAGTGCTTCTGCTCCTGATGTGGATGACCCAGAGGCATTCCCAGCTCTGGCTTAACTGGATGCCATAAGACAACCCTGGTTCCTTTGTGAACCCTTCTGTTCAAAGCTTTTGCATGCTTAAGGATTCCAAACGACTAAGAAATTAAAAAAAAAAAGACTGTCATTCATACCATTCACACCTAAAGACTGAATTTTATCTGTTTTAAAAATGAACTTCTCCCGCTACACAGAAGTAACAAATATGGTAGTCAGTTTTGTATTTAGAAATGTATTGGTAGCAGGGATGTTTTCATAATTTTCAGAGATTATGCATTCTTCATGAATACTTTTGTATTGCTGCTTGCAAATATGCATTTCCAAACTTGAAATATAGGTGTGAACAGTGTGTACCAGTTTAAAGCTTTCACTTCATTTGTGTTTTTTAATTAAGGATTTAGAAGTTCCCCCAATTACAAACTGGTTTTAAATATTGGACATACTGGTTTTAATACCTGCTTTGCATATTCACACATGGTCAACTGGGACATGTTAAACTTTGATTTGTCAAATTTTATGCTGTGTGGAATACTAACTATATGTATTTTAACTTAGTTTTAATATTTTCATTTTTGGGGAAAAATCTTTTTTCACTTCTCATGATAGCTGTTATATATATATGCTAAATCTTTATATACAGAAATATCAGTACTTGAACAAATTCAAAGCACATTTGGTTTATTAACCCTTGCTCCTTGCATGGCTCATTAGGTTCAAATTATAACTGATTTACATTTTCAGCTATATTTACTTTTTAAATGCTTGAGTTTCCCATTTTAAAATCTAAACTAGACATCTTAATTGGTGAAAGTTGTTTAAACTACTTATTGTTGGTAGGCACATCGTGTCAAGTGAAGTAGTTTTATAGGTATGGGTTTTTTCTCCCCCTTCACCAGGGTGGGTGGAATAAGTTGATTTGGCCAATGTGTAATATTTAAACTGTTCTGTAAAATAAGTGTCTGGCCATTTGGTATGATTTCTGTGTGTGAAAGGTCCCAAAATCAAAATGGTACATCCATAATCAGCCACCATTTAACCCTTCCTTGTTCTAAAACAAAAACCAAAGGGCGCTGGTTGGTAGGGTGAGGTGGGGGAGTATTTTAATTTTTGGAATTTGGGAAGCAGACAGCTTTACTTTGTAAGGTTGGAACAGCAGCACTATACATGAAATATAAACCAAAAACCTTTACTGTTTCTAAATTTCCTAGATTGCTATTATTTGGTTGTAAGTTGAGTATTCCACAGAAAGTGGTAATTATCTCTTCTCTCTTCCTCCATTAGAAAATTAGGTAAATAATGGATTCCTATAATGGGAGCATCACCACTTATTAAAACACACATAGAATGATGAATTAAAAAAGTTTTCTAGGATTGTCTTTTATTCTGCCACATTTATTGATAAACAGTGAAGGAATTTTTAAAAAATTTTTAAGAATTGTTTGTCACGTCATTTTTAGAAATGTTCTACCTGTATATGGTAATGTCCAGTTTTAAAAATATTGGACATCTTCAATCTTAAACATTTCTATTTAGCTGATTGGTTCTCACATATACTTCTAAAAGAAACTTTTATGTTATAAGAGTTACTTTTTGGATAAGATTTATTAATCTCAGTTACCTACTATTCTGACATTTTAGGAAGGAGGTAATTGTTTTTAATGATGGATAAACTTGTGCTGGTGTTTTGGATCTTATGATGCTGAGCATGTTCTGCACTGGTGCTAATGTCTAATATAATTTTATATTTACACACATACGTGCTACCCAGAGATTAATTTAGTCCATATGAACTATTGACCCATTGTTCATTGAGACAGCAACATACGCACTCCTAAATCAGTGTGTTTAGACTTTTCAAGTATCTAACTCATTTCCAAACATGTACCATGTTTTATAAACCTCTTGATTTCCAGCAACATACTATAGAAAACACCTGCTACTCAAAACACAACTTCTCAGTGTCATCCATTGCTGTCGTGAGAGACAACATAGCAATATCTGGTATGTTGCAAGCTTTCAAGATAGCCTGAACTTAAAAAGTTGGTGCATTAGTTGTATCTGATGGATATAAATTTGCCTCCTAGTTCACTTTGTGTCAAGAGCTAAAACTGTGAACCTAACTTTCTCTTATTGGTGGGTAATAACTGAAAATAAAGATTTATTTTCATGCTCACTTCTTAAAAGTCATAAAAACAATCAAATAGGATCATGTTTATTGTCATGTGTTTCCTGGTTTCTGACCTGTGTGCACACCCCTGTGTGTTTATAATTTTTAAATTGAATTTTATATGGGGTTTTTATTTGCTAAAAACCAGGCTGTTGAATCACATTTGGGAAGGGTACTTATCTTAATGACTAATGACTTAATTGGGAAAGTTGAATTCTTGTAAAATACAAAATCCAAGGACTTCTTGGATTTAATCTGATTGTCACTTCTTAGCAGATCACTTTTTTGATAATGAAAGTTAAGCATACTGAATGCTACTTTTGATTGACAAACTGGCTATAATAGTCTAGGGGAAAAATCCCTAAACAGATAAAGATTCCTAAAGTAATGGTGGCAGCTGATGTTTCAGTGAACTTTTATCTTGATGCGTTTAAATGGAAGTAATGCCAGACCTGAGATTTTTAAGGCATTTTTACAGCTTGTATTGAAATGATTGGAGACATGGTTTCTTTATTAGCTATTTTGAGACCTGTGGAGTTAAGCAAGACTTTTAAAAATTGGCACCATATACATCTAGTTAGTTCCTTTACTCTTATTTTTTTAAATAAAAGTAGTACACATCATTTCCAGGGTTGTAAATATATTTGGGGCTTGTTTTTGGTATGGATTTAAAAGGAGGATATTAAGTATTCATTCTAATTTTGTTATTTTTCTAGTTGCCAGAGATGGTTGCACTGAAATAGAACAGGGAGTTGCATACAAAGCCTAAATGTGTATTGGATTTCGAAAATACTAGGTTGGTGCAATTGGTTTTGTACCAACCTAACATGTCTTTAGGAAAGTACCATCATGTGGAAGGAAACAACAGGTGTTAAAAGGTTCAAAGGAATGAGAAATAGGAAGTTACTAGAACCTAACTGATGTTGACCTTAGAGGTAAGATTATTCAGGTATATTAGTGGACCTCCAGTCCAATGGTATAGCAAATTCCAGGGATCTCAGGTGCATGCAATTTTACTTTCTAAAGTAAACACTTAGAAAATAGATTATAACCCAGACGTTTTGGATTATACTGAGACAAATATGTAAATAAGTTTTAGCAAGTCTGAACATGTACCAGCGAGATCTTCAGGTTAACTAAGAAAAGCCCAGAAACTTCATTATTTACTGTGCTTTGTATGGCATAACTGGTAACAAGGCAGTAAAATGATACATATTTGAACTGGACCATAGTAATTAAATGATTTATCAATATCATTTGCAAGATAATTGTCAGGTTGAGTTAATAGTAAGTGGCAGCTTCCCAGAAATTTGGGTTATTTGGCCTAAGCTGTGCCCTGGGATTACCTCTTCATCTTCCTTGACTTTTAAGTTCAAATTTGGAGGTTATGTGAAGTGATTGAAATAAATCTTTCAGGCTGAGGAAGTCGGTAATTTCAAGAATATAGTGAAAACAAGGTTGTAATCTAAACATGAGAAGCTTAAGTTTAGGAAATGGTTAGAATATAAATTGCTAAAGCCATCATGATTTTGGCCACAGATGAAAATATGAACACTGGAAATGAGCGCCATTTAAATGAGATGCTGTATGTAAGCCAGGGGTCAGCAAAGTTCAGCCTGTGACCTGGTGTGTGTGGGGGTGTGTGTGTGTGTGTGTGTGTGTGTGTGTGTGTCCGTGTCCCTGAGTTAAGAATGGTTTTTAGGCTTGTATAGGATTAAAAAAAAAAAAAACCCACAGAAAAATGTAGGCAGCCCAGCATAAGATACCGCCTTTCACAGAAATGTTTGCTGACCCCGGAACTGTCACTCTCGGGTTACAAGAGTTTGTTTCTTTGAAACAGTCTGGCTCTGTCACCCAGGCTGGAGTGCAGTGGCATGATCTCAGGTCACTGCAGCCTCCACCTCCCGGGTTCAAGCAATTCTGCCTCAGCCTCCTGAGTAGCTGGGATTACAGGTGTGCACCACCACAGACAGCTAATTTTACAGGTGTACACCACCACACCCAAGAATCACTTGAACCCGGGAGGTGGGGGTTGCAGTGAGCCAAGATCATAGCACTGTACTCCAGTCTGGGTGACACACTGTCTGAAAAATAAAAGTTTAGTTCTAGGTACAAATTAAGTGGTCTACCCAACAGGAAGCTGTGAAATTAGAAGTAATTTTAAAGCATACTTTACACCTCTATATAATCAAAGTAAGGGCAAGATAAAACTTGTTAGTAAAACATGTTTTATTATTTTTTAGATAGGTAGCCTGCAACATAAAATATATTTTGAAAGCTGTTAAGGGGTGTATAATCTGTTAAAAAATACCATGATTAGTATTTCACATTTAGTGACTCAGATCCCTTTGTGTAAGTCCTTTGCGTTGTGCAAAGAGGTTTTTCTATGAGATGAGAATTATGAACACTTCATATAGGTAAATTCCATAGGTTGAGCTGGGGCAGAAATTAATGGCTCCTGGAGATTGCATCTTTTTTTTTTTTTTTTTGAGCTTAGAATTCCCATTTGGACAGAATTTAGCTTTTGTGCTGTTGATTACTTCTGTACTAAACTGGTAGCCAATTGTTCACTTCTAAATGGAAGGGAAAAAGTTACCCACACAAGTTAGAAAATGATTTACCGAATTATTTTTTTGAGTTAGTATGTATATACTGTTTTAAATCAGTAATGTTTGTTCCTTTTGCTGCCCATTTGGGAGTATGTGGCAATTCCTAGTGCTCTTGTATGACATTACTCTTCTTGAGACTTGTATATGCAAGAAAGTATATATAAAAGATGCCTGGTGGTAACTTTGTATCTGAGTTCTGATTCATTATGGACTTTTAGAAATCTATTTAGATAATTGGTTCATACTAGGTGCTCAATTACTCTGACCTTGTGTGGCTTAATCCTTAAATAGTTGCTTTAGGTGTTACTGGGTGGAAGCATGGAAAGTGAAGGGCTAATATTAAGGATTTTTATGTATTACTGAGTAGGGAAAGTGGGAAGTAGCTTATCTTTGGACAGTTGTATTACTTTGCACTAATCACCTTGTTTGCAGTTGTAGCTGATTCAGTTCTAGATTTTAGGACCAAAAAGATCTCTAATTTAAAGAAACAGTTTTTATATACCTAGAATGAAGATTCTGTTTAAAGCGGTTTTGGTTAACTTGGTTCTTGACATTTGCCTAAAATTTTGTTGGATTGGGACTAAAATGTTCTATTAGCCAATGAATAACGTCCAAGTAAATTTTTGTTTTATTTTGGGAACTTTGTATATTGAATTCTTTGTTTTACACGTAACCCACAAAGAAATGTTGCTTCATATGGCAGCTGCACTCAGAGTACTAAGATAAGCATGTGTTTAGACATTTTCTAGACATTTTCAGAGTGCTCCGACAGCTGGGGTTCTTTTGGAAAGAAATGGACTGAAAGTGGGTGGGTTTTGTATTTTTCCCATTACATGACGACATGTTTAGGCCTTCATGATTGGTGTGAACTAAACACATATCTTTGTTTAGAGATAAGACAATTGGTTTGTGTACTTACCCTGAAAATTCATAATTTCGTGTTTTTTGTTTGTTTGTTTTTGAGATGAGTCTCACTCTGTTGCCCAGGCTGGAGTGCAGTGGCGCGATCTCGGTTTACTGCAACCTCTGCCTCCCGGGTTCAAGTAATTCTCCTGACTCAACCTCCTGAGTAGCTAGAATTATAGGCGCCCGCCACCACGCCCGGCTAATTTTTTGTATTTTTAGTAGAGACGGGGATTCACTATGTTGGCTAGGCTGGTCTCGAACTCCTGACCTCAGATGATCCACCGCCTTGACCTCCCAAATTGCTGGGATTACAGGCATGAGCCACCACGCCTGGCTGTTTTGTTTTTTGAGACAGGGTCTTGCTCTGTTGCCCAGGCTAGATTGCAGTGGCATGATCTTGGCTCACTGCAACCTCTGCCTCCTGGGTTCAAGCAGTTCTCATCCTTCAGCCTCGCAAGTAGCTGGGACTACAGGTGTGCACTACCATGCCCAGATAATTTTTGTATTTTTGGTAGAGGCGGGGTTTCGGCATGTTGACCAGACTGGTCTGGAATTCGTGGCCTTAGGTGATCCACCCGTTTCAGCCTCCCAAAGTGCTGGGATTACAGGCATGAGCCACTAAACCTGATCAAAATTCAGAATTTCTAGTTAAACTTCCACTTTTTTTTTTTTAATAAAAAGAACTTTTCATTAACAACTACAGATAATTTGGTTTTAATTTGATTTTGTGTTCTAAGCTTTGTAGTATATTTCTTGCATATTTGCCAAGCCTTTAACTTAGGTGCTAAAACCTAAATCAGGATCTTCTGAAGAATGTATTGGAAGCCTGGATTGGATAAAGCTTTTCTTAAGGCAGATGTTCATTGGTCACTAGTCACAGGCAAATCAATACACATGGCAGGTATATTGTGTGTGCTTCAGACCTCTGTATTTTGTTCATAACAGTATACGTTGAAGATGGAGTGGCACTTAGTCACAGTATATCAACGAAATTCAGTAGATTTTGTTGATACACAATCCAGTATTAACAATTGGACTGACCTCTTGCATCTTTAGTCAAATGCTAGACCTGGAAGTCATGTTGAATTAAGAAATGCTTTGTATGCTGAGTACTTCTAAGTGAAAATACAAACAACGTGAGAGGTTCTCTTCAGGAGAAAATTGACAGTTTATTAAGAGAAAATTTCCAATAAACTTGATTAAAGAATTTAACCAGCACTTCTCAGTTACAGGAGAGCATGGATGTTTCCTTTTTTCAAGATCATCAATCTCTTGCTGCTTAGGGTTATTAAACCTTAAAAATAACTGCAGATTTTTAGATGAAAAATTTTGAATTGAAGATTGCAGCTGTAGCTGATGAAATGACTTACTGATTATCCTTGCAAATTATTTTAATCTCACAAGCAGGTTAAAAGTGGGTGTAATTCTTTTTAAGCCATCTCTACAGCTACTCTGCCAAAGACAGATTAGAGTCGGTAAAGAGACTCTGAAGTGTTTACAGGAAGGCAAAGGAATCCAGTCAATTTAAGTATGAGAGTTGGAAAAAAAAAACTTTGGAAACAAGTGTTGTGAAAAGAAGGAAATGCTCTTTGTTACTAATTTTCATCCAATTTTGTAAGTGTTTTTACAGTTTTTCTAACTAGTGAAAATGCCCTGAGGGTGAGTGGGTGTTGTGCCCTTCCTTGAAGTGTTTCCTTGGGTCCTATTACTTATAGGTGGTAAAATGCCTGAAATTGGAAGGTATCTTGAACCTCACCTGTCACGGTCTTGCATAGGCAATGCCAAGGTCTCTTGATGGAAGAATTCCTTAAAGTTGTGGAATTGAAAAGAGGCCTGAATTGACCTACAGGGACCCTTTGGCAGCGTATGAGAGGTTTGTATCTTAGTGATGTGATTGAAGTCTCAGAGGAGCCAACTTTAGAATAGTGTTGACACTTGTAAATAAGAAAAGAAGTGACCACTAGCAAAGTATGGAGCCACTTATCACAGAATGAAGGAAAGGCACTTATTTGTTTCAACAGCTCAGCAACAAAATTGAGTTAAATACAGCCCTAATTCCTTTTTGTTTAAGAAATAGCCTTTATTTTTAGAAAAAGTCAAGTAAATTGGGTGGAATTCTAGATATTTCAATTAAAGAGGGAAGAGCATATTTTCTGGTTCCTGTTTAAAAGAATGTTTTTATTAATGACTTAAAATACTCCATTTATCAGTTTACTTCAAATAGTTCTTTTCAAGGAGTGGTGCTTCCGTTTTCGTGGCCTACCTGTACCTTGTATTATAGGATTTAGATTAGCTGGGTAGATAAGTTAGCAAATTCAAGAGTGCCAGATTTGTCCTAGTGTCAATTTGTTTTTAAATTTATCTGTTTTTTTAGGTTGATTTCTCAAGAGCCAAGAATGAACTAGAACTTCAGAAGTATGGAAACACCAGTTTTTGGTTGCCTCATAAAAATAACTTTTTTTGGTCTGAGTTTATTTCAAAGGTTTTTTGGAGACTTCAAAGATTTGTACAGAATCACAGTTACAGTCAACTACAGTGAGAATGCCAATTGATGTAAACTTGTACAACATTTGCACAGAATGGAATTCGAGAGTATTTAAAAGTTACGCTTTGAAACTAGACTGTCTGGTATAAGGTATTAGTTGTGTGAATTCCATTATTATTTAACCTTTGTATTTGTTCCTCACCTGTGTGGTGGTAAGAACTGATTTACAGTCCTTAAAAACTCTATGCACTAAGTACTGTTAGTGTTACTGACTGTAATTAACAATTCCTATTAGAATAGGAATTGGCAAAAATTGGCTTATTATGTTTTTATTTATTTTGAGATAGTTTCATTCTGTTGTCCAGGCTGGAGTGCAGTCGCACGATCTCACTGCAACCTCTGCCTCCTGGGTTCAAGTGATTCTCCTGCCTCAGACTCCTGAGTAGTTGGGATTACAGGCATCTGCCACCACGCCCAGCTAATTTTTTTTTTTTTCATTTTTAATAGAGACAGGGTTTCACTGTGTTGGCCAGTCTAGTCTCGAACTCCTGACCTCAAGTGACTCACCCGCCTCGGCCTCCTAAAGTGCTGGGATTACAGGCATGAGCCACCACGCCTGGCCTATACATAAATTGGATTTCAAAGACTGATGACCTCAAATACTACCTTAACACTCCCATCCCCACATCACTTGATTGTGTCATGTGCTTTGCCTTTTCTTGGTCTGACAGAAGCACTAAGGGTCAATGCAAGTGCCAAACACAGAAGGCAGGGCAAAAGAAACATGGGACAGGGCCACAAAGAAAGTAGTCAGCAGTATCTGTTTCTAGACCCCCTGTCCCAGGTCTTTGAAAAGAAATTGGTAATATTTTATTGAGTATCCAATTATAAGAGTAGTGAGTAGGTGTGATTAAAAGAACGCAAAAATTTAGTTAAAAACTATGGCTAGAGGTAACCATGGTTAGCATTTTAATGTGTATTCTTTACAATTTTTTGCATTGATTTATGAAAGTGAAATGATTCTATTCAGCCTTTTTTTCCTTTTTCTTATTTTTTCCAGACGTCATTACAAATATTCAGCCTTTTGTAAATGACCGTTTCCATGTCAAATATATATATATATATATATATTTTTTTTTTTTTTTTTTTTAAAGAGACAGGGTCTGCCAGGCATGGTGGCTCACTCCTTTAATCCCAGCAGTTTGGGAGGCCTAGGCGGGTGAATCACAAGGTCAGGAGTTCGAGGCCAGCCTGGCCAACATGGTGAAACCCCATCTCTACTAAAAATACAAAAATTAGCCGGGCATGGTGGCGGGCATCTGTAATCCCTGCTACTCGGGAGGCTGAGGCAGGAGAATCACTTGAACCCGGGAGGTGGAGTTTGCAGTGAGCCAAGATTATGCCACTGCACTCCAGCCTGGGTGACAGAGCAAGACTCCGTCTCAAAAAAAAAAAAAAAAAGAGGTCTCACTCTTGCCCAGGTGATCCTCCTGCCTCCACCTCCCAGGTAGCTGGGACTACAGGTATAAGCCACCATACCCAGCTAATTAAAAAAAAAAAAAAACTTGGTAGAGATGGGGTCTTGCTATGTTATTGCCCAGGCTGGTCTCGAACTGGCTTTAAGTGATCCTCTGGCCCTGGCCACCCAAAGAGCTGGGAATATAGGCATGAGCCACTGCACCTGGCCTTGCTTATACTAAAAACAAAACAAAACTGCATAGAATGCTTTTTATCAATTCTAAGATCCCAAATTTCAGGCGTATTAACATGTTAAATTGTGCATCATAGATATCAATGGCATATTATCGTTTTATTGGCATTTTTTTCTACTTAGAACATAAACTAATGAGATGTCTTAAAACTGCTGGAGTCTTAGATTCCTTGAAATTCAGTGTTTCATTGTACAGATATATCATGATTTAACCAGGTCTCTACTGAAGGGCATTTAAGGCTTTTCCCTCTCACTCCCTGCCCCTCACCATTTTATAAAATCAAATGCTGTTGAGGAATCCTGTATTCAATTTAATATAATTATACTGTTCCTTGGGCTATATGTAGGAGTGGAGTTGCTTATTCAGATTTTATCGAATATTGCCCGTCTGCCCTCCACAAAGGGGCCAACTTACACTCCTGATTTTTATTTTTATTTTTATTTTTTGAGATGGAGTCTTACTCTATTGCCCAGGATGGAGTGCAGTGGCGCAATCTTAGCTCACTGCAACCTCCACCTCCCAGGTTCAAGCAATTCTCATGCCTCAGCCTCCTGAGTAGCTGGGATTACAGGCGCCCACCATCATGCCCAGCTAATTTTTTTTTTTTTTTTTTTAAAGTAGAGACAGGGTTTCTCCATGTTGGCCAGGCTGGTCTTGAACTCCTGATCTCAAGTGATCTGCCCACCTCGGCCTCCCAAAGTCCTGGGATTACAGGCATGAGCCACCATGCCTGACCTGTTGCAAATATTTGTGTGTGTGTGTGTGTGTGTGTGTGTGTGTGTGTGTGTGTGTGAGAGAGAGAGAGAGAGAGTTTTGCAAGGCTTTAATTTTAATCTATTTTGGAAATTCATTCTAATCAGGCTGTGATGTAATGATCCAGTTTGTTTCCATCAGCCAGCAGATTGATTGAATTGCTTATCTTTTTCTAGGGTGGGAAGAAGACCCTCTGATCTCTTGAGAGGTGCTTTACTCATGAGGGTCCACCTGTAAGCCTTTCATAGAGGTGGATAATGTGAACTTCCATGAGTCCTGCAAGTTAGGAAGAGGAAAACATGCCTCCTTTGGAGGGCTTGAGTGGTGCTATTGGGACAGGTGACAACTGCATTAGATGCAAAATTTTTAATTTAGATTAAAAAGAGTAGAACCTGGTGGAGATAAACCAAGAATCGTACATGGGGAGCTGACTATAATAGAATGTGCCTAGTTTGGCATTGCTTTCACAGGTCTCAGGGGATTGGTGACTTAATGCTGAAGCTGAAAAGCTATTAATGGAAGCTGAAAAATTGGGATAATGTGAAGAGAAGGAAGAGAAAAAAACTAACACTAGTTTAATTTTCCTATTGCCTATAAGGTAGGCAGAAACCCAGAAAATAAAATCTCTGGCTTCAGGGAAAGAGAGGTCCTTCAAAGATACTCATGGTGAGGATCTCACAGTTGATGGTGAGGATTTCCATGAATTCATTAAGAATGAACTCAAGGGCTGAGTGCGGTGGCTCACACCTGTAGTCCCAGCACTTGAGGAGGCCGAGGCAGGCGAATCACTTGAGTTTAGGAGTTTGAGACCAGCCTGAGCAACACTGCAAAACCCTGTCTCTACAAAAAATACAAAAATTAGCTGGGCTTTACTCTCAGACCACAACTAAATACAGAAGCAACTTCTGTGACCAGATGGTGGACATCAGGGGGTGTTTCCCCACACCAAGCAGCAGACGTCATCTGGGTGTCCTCTAATTCAGTGCCAACACTATTCTGGGTATTGGGAACCCAGAGATAGTGTCAGATCCCACAAGTTGCGGGCTCAGTCCCCAAGACTGTCCCACTCCCACCGGTTGTAAGTCCAGCCCCCTGGAACTTCTGACCGATCAGCTTCAAGTTGTTCCCACAGCCCCTTCTTTGGGTTTGATTAATTTACTGGAGCAGCTCACAGAACTCCGAGACACAACTTTGATTGGTTTATTCCAAAGGATACAGATAAAGAGATATGTAGTGCAAGGAATGGGGGAAGGGGCATGGAGCTCCCATGCGCCACCTTTTAGGAATCTCCACATGTTCAGCTATCATCTGGACGCTCTCACGCTCTCTGAATCCAGTCCTCTTGGGTTTTGCTTTTTGTTGTTGTCTTTTAAGACAGTCTTGCCCTGTCGCCCAGGCTGGAGTGCAGTGGCATGATCTTGGCTCACCCCAACCTCCACCTCCCTAGTTCAAGCGATTCTCATGCCCCAGCCTTCCAAGTAGTCAAGATTATGGGCATGTGCCACCATGCTTGGTTAATTTTTGTATTTTTAGTGGAAATGGGGTTTTTGCCATATTAGCCAGGCTGGTCTCGAACTCCTGGCCTAGAGTCATCCACCCACCTCGGCCTCCAAAAGTGCTGGGATTACAGGTGTGAGCCAACCGTGCCTGGCCCTCTTGGGTTTTTATGGAAGCTTCATGACATCAGCCTTCCTTCTCCCAGGGTATGGGTGGGACCCTCTCATGGGAGGGTCTTAAGACTCACAATTGGAAAGGCAGGGGAATGTTAGAGTGAAAGGAGGATAGGAGAAGGTCAGAGGCTGGTCCCTGAGGCCTGACACACCCAACATAGCAAAAGACTGAGGAGGGCTACGGGAGTTATTGTTATGGGACATCCATAACAATGGAGTCCCCATCCAGACCCCAAGAGGGGATTCTTGGATCTTGAACAAGAAAGAATTTGAGGTGAATCCACAGAGTAAAGCGAAAGTAAGTTTATTAAGAAAGTAAAGGAATGAAAGAATGGCTACTCCATAGAGCAACAGCGTGGGCTGCTCAATTGAGTATACTTACAGTTTTGTTGTTGTTGTTGTTTGTTTGTTTGTTTGTTTGTGACAGTCTCGCTGTGTTGCCCAGGCTGGAGTGCAATGGTGCAATCTCGGCTCACTGCAACCTCCACCTCCCGGGTTCAAAGCGATTCTCGTCTCAGCCACCTGAGTAGCTGGGATTATAGGCGCATGCCACTATGCCTGACTAATTTTGTATTTTTAGTACAGATGGGGTTTCACCATGTTGGCCAGTCTGGTCTGGAACTCCTGACACCTCAGGTGATCCACCCACCTCAGCCTCCCAAAGTGCTCGGATTACAGGCGTGAGTCACCATGCCTGGCCTGAGTTATTTCTTGATTATATGCTAAACAAGAGGTGAATTATTCATGAGTTTTCCAGGAAAGGAGTAGGCAATTCCCAGAGCTGTGAGTTTCTCCCCCTTTTAAACCCTATAGGGTAACTTTCTGACGTTGCCTTGGCATTTGTAAACTGTCATGGAGGGAGTGTCTGTTAGCATGTTAACATATGCATATTATATGCTAATTATATGCATTATAATTAGCATATAATAAGCGTGAGGATGACCAGAGGTCACTTTCGTCACCATCTTGGTTTTGGTGGGTTTTGTTTGGCTTCTTTACCACAACCTCTTTTATCAGCAGGGTCTTTGTGACATCTTGTGCCAACCTATCTCATCCTGTGACTAAGAATGCCTAACCTCCTGAGAATGCAGCCCAGTAGGTCTCAGCCTTATGTTACCCAGCCTCTATTCAAGATGGAGTTGCTTTGGTTCAAACACCTCTGACATCAGGAGCCCGCAACCATGGATGGAAACCAATATATATCATTATAAGACCACAAAATTGCAATTTTCCTGAGGAATGAAAGCCTAGCTGTATGTTGGTGAGTATCACCTAGATCTGGTGAACCTAGCAACTTGGTTTGGGGTTTTTACTAGTGGTGGGGGGCAGAGGGGAGAAGGGCAGATTGTGAAAACCGCTTGGGGCAATGGCAGAACAGAGTTACCCATCTTCTGTCATTCATGGAAAGAGGACACCTTATCTGGCAGAGTGAGCTGCCAAAGACATGCTCAAATACGTCTTTAAAATGAGAAACACCCCTCCATGCATCACAATGGTGCTGTCAACAAATGGGAGAGAATGGGGTTTGGGGAGGAAAATGAACGAATGCAAACAATTGTTCCAATAAGGAGGAAATGGGCACAGATGGGCTGGCTTCTGGAATAGAAAGAATAAGACAAAGCAGTGGCAAGTGATACTGCTGCGAAAAGACAATCAGTCTAAGGCAAAGGGAAAAGTCAAGCTGGGAACTGCATCAGGCAAAGCTGCCTCCCATTTTATTCCCCTTCTCCCCCGAAAAACTGCATACTTTCCTCACAATTTGCCTACGAGGGCTTCAAGATCTTTACTCTAAAACAGTTCTGTTGAATTTCACCATAGCTGATCTTCACAAGTGTGGGACAAAGGATACACAGAACTCAAAGTCATCCCTCTGTTCACCTGAGCTACCTCCTTCTCACATGTAAATTGTGTATTTAGTAAAAGGCTGATCAAAACCCCAAAAGAATGCAATCTTTTGTCTCTTATTTACCTATGACCTGGAAGCCCCCACTTTGAGTTATCCTGCCTTTCCAGACCCAACCAATGTACATCTTACATATGTTGATTGATGTCTTATATCTCCCTAAAATGTATAAAACCAAGCTGTGCCTTAACCACTTTGGGCACATGTCCTCCGGACCTTCTGAGGGTGGGTCATGTGTGTCCTTAACCTTAGCAAAATAAAAACTTTTTAAATTAATTGAGACCTTTCTCAGATACTTTTGGGTTCATGATGCTTACTTTTTTATTGGTAGCTACTATGGACCAGGCATGATGCTGGTGCTGGGGAAACACTGCCAAAGTTCCTGCTTTCAAGTTGTCTGCAGTCCAACAGAGAAAGTAAGTATATGGAAATCATGCTGAGGAGGCCTCAGCATCCTTAGGAGTCTTTAGGAGTCAAGGAAGGATTCCTTAAAAAAAAAAAAATTCTTTTTTTTTTTTGGGAAGACAAATGAGGACTGCAGTATCATATGAGACTTTAAGGGAAAGAAAAGGATGGGGAGGTTAAATGGGAGACTTGGTAAAATGGGGTGTTGTAGACACAAGGGAGGGGAGGAGAATAGTGGCTGAGATGGATGAGAGATAATCAAAAGGAAACCAAAGATAGGAAAAACCAGGTATTGTAAGAAAACAGTGAAGTTAGCTCCCATTGCCAAAAGATAATAGGTTGTTCCGCTTCTGAGGAGGTGGCCTTGTCTGTCATGGTTTGTGCCAGTCAAGGGCATGTCTGTCACGGTTTGTGCCAGTCAAGGGCATGTCCTGGGTACAGGCAAGCTACAGCGATGCTGAGAGGAAAGGAACCATTGGGGGTGCCGCACAATAATAGCTAAATAGAGTGGAATAGAAATAGAAACGAAGGAACTTTTCAAAAAAAGCCTGAGAGAACTATAGGTGTTAAGTTTGGAATTTCAGGAAACAAGGATGTATCAAGAGTTCCAACCTGAAGAAGCAGAGCAACTGTCCATCGCTCAGTTTCTAGAGCTCTGAGGGAAATCTGGAAAACCTAAAGCCCGAGAACAGTTATTTCTACAGGACTGGGGTATGCATGGACAAGTTTTTAGTTCCTCACGTTAGGCAAGAAGTACACATTTACAACAAGTACTTTGTTAAATGAAAATCCAGACGATGATGGGGAAGCCATCTCAGTTCCAGCGTTCATGTGGGAAGGGGTACGGGGTGGACCCCAGGCTTGACAGGAATTTAAGAAAAAGTATTTTGGATCTTTTATCCTGTTCTTTAGGGAAGAGCATTATTAGCAGTTTAGACCAAGACTTCTCCACTAGTTTGGCAGAAGTGCCTATGGTGAAGAGACAGAGGCAGCAATGGGCTAGGGAGGGTGGCAAGCCAGGGGCCACAGCTTTAAAGAGCAAAACATGGATCATGTTCCAAGTCCATGTTGTGGAAAAGAGAGTTATCTTCCAGGCTCAACTTGAGCTGGCAGAGGACCAGCTCAATATCTTCTCCGGGAATGAAAGCTGTGCCTTTGGGAACAGGGGACAGACCACTTCTGAGGACAACCTCAGAGGTTGGGGTCTTAGACCCTGAGACAGCCCTGGTCCTGAAGGCAGGGCCTGCTGCAGCAAAAAGGAGAGGAAACAAGGGGTCAGGGAGCCTTTGGTCCAGCCCTTTACAAGACACCCGAGATTCAGAGTGGGAGGCTGGGTTGCCCAAGGTACTATGGTACTATGGTGAGTTTACAATATAGGTCTTCACCATCCAGCTGCCCTTGATTTGCTGAAAGAGGATGAAGCCAAAATAAAACAATAAACCAGCAAATCTAGGAAAAAGGTACATTCTTTTTTTTTTTTTTCTTTTTTGAGACAGAGTCTTGCTCTGTTGCCCAGGCTGGAGTGCAGTGGCTCACTGCAAGCCCCACCTCCCAGGTTCATGTCATTCTCCTCCCTCAGCCTCCCGAGTAGCTGGGACTACAGGCGCCCGCCATCACGCCCAGTTAATTTTTTTTAAAAATATTTTTAGTAGAGATGGGGTTTCACCATGTTAGCCAGAATGGTCTCGATCTCCTGACCTCATGATCCGCCTGCCTCAGCCTCCCAAAGTGCTGGGATTACAGGCATGAGCTACCACGCCCGGCCAGAAAAAGGTACATTCTTAGACTTCTGCAAATGAGACCAGTCATGACCACCTTGGGGGCCCTTTTACCTTGGTGTTTACCAGTGTCTTTTATGTCTTCATCTATAGAACTAGGTTGATTTGTTTTGAAGGCTCTCAATAATCTAGGAGCCATCTAGAGCTGTGCACTCCAATACAGTAGCCACTAGCCATGTGTGGCGATTTAAATTTACAATCAAAATTTAATTCCTCAGTCAAGCTAAACACATTCCAAGTGATTAACAGCCAATGTGCCTAGTGTCTAATGTACTGGACAGTGAGTGCAGAGGTAGAACATTTCCATCATCTCAGGAAGTTCTGTTGAACAGTACTGATCTGCTGTGTACAGCCTGCTGTGTAGCAGGTGCTTTAGAAATAGTCATTGCATGAATGGTCCTCTAGACTGTATGCCATTACTACTAAGAGCTGTGGTTTCTACTCTCCTCCTCATTTCCCTTTCTGGCCAGCATACCAAGAAAGTTACTAGGAATTCAAGTTGGAGTCTCTAGGTCCACACAGTGAAGGATGTAATTTTAAGGCCCTGGGAAAGGCAAGATGAGGCATCTGAGTGAAGACCAACTCCCAGTTCCTAAGACTCCCCCAGAGCTGGCTTGCCTGTCCTCTAGCTGCAGCCAGACCGATGGTGGCACCCAGAGATGACAGCTGCTGGAGCAGGGGCTGGGGGAATTGGGGCAGGCTGTGCTGGTTGAGGGCACACTGACTTTAAGGCTTGAAGCCTCACCACTCAGAGCATGAGGGAGTCACACCTCATCTTTAACTGATCCAGAGTCAGCTTATCACCACAGGAGAAGGTGAGTGGGTGAAGAGAACTTGAGGGGAAAACAGAAAGGGAGATGTGCTGAGGCTCCAGTTCTTCCAGAGAGTCAGCGAGAGGTGCCTCATGTGAGGGGAGGTCATCTATGTTGGAGGGTAAGTAGCCATCATGGGTGGGAAGGTCACCTGCTGGGAGCACCGTCCAGGGACAGGCTGGGTTTTCGGGCTTTGGGTCGGAGCCCCTGCTCTCCAGCACCTTGTACAGATCCACCAGTTGTCTGCTCTCAGCTTGGAGAGCTCTTGGAGGTGGTGGGCTTGAGGCACTGTGCATCATGTCTTTCTCAGAGGCCTGATGACCTTGGATTCCTTTTTCCCTTTGTGGCCAGTTGGAGCAGGGGGGATGTCTGAAAACTGGGGTCACTTGATGAAGGACTTCACTGATGACCAGCGGTTCAGGATCTTCAGGCGTGGGCCAGTCTATCAGGAGCCTGTCCAAGGGCAGCTGTGTCTTCTCCTGAGAGAAAGGAGGAGGAAGAGGCTCACACTGCTGTAGAAGTGACCTTCACAACCTATTTCTCCAGGGTTCCCAAAGGCCTCACAACCTGCACTGTCTCCTCAGCCCTGGCTGGAACATGTTGGGCACTGGAGTTTGCGAGGTAAGAGAAACAGTTAACATTGTTGGGGAGGCAGAGGGGCAGGAGCCAGAGACTCCTCTCAACCCCCAGCCAGTGAGTGATTCACAGCCCTGCTCAACCTTCAACCTGTTTCTTTCTTTCTTTTTTTTTTTTTTCTTGAGACGAAGTCGCCTTCTGTCACCCAGGCTCAAGTGCAGTGGCATGATCTTGGCTCCCTGTAACCTCCGCCTCCCAGGTTCAAGCAATTCTCGTGCCTCAGCCTCCCGAGTGGCTGGGATTATAGGCATGTGCCACCATGCCTGGCTAATTTTTATATTTTTAGTAGAGACAGGGTTTCACCATGTTGGCCAGGCTGGTCTCGAACTCCTGACCTCAAGTGATCTACCCACCTTGGCCTCCCAAAGTGCTGGGATTACAGGCATGAGCCACCATGCCCAGCCCCGTTTCTAATGTGAACCAAGCTATACTACCTGCTTTTCCTTGAGGACAGAGGGCACTGGAGATGCAAAGGAAAGGCTGAGACTGCTTCTGTCTTGGGGAGGAGGCAGTGAAGCCTTTAGGATCACACTAAACAGGTGATGAAGGGACACGAGAGCTGAGCTGAGTCCTGAGAGATGTGTGGTGTTTTCCAGGTAGGGAGGTGCTGGCAAGGAGGACTGGTGTATTTTGGAACCTGCTAGTTATTTCTTATGACTGGTAACCCGAGGCTTCAGAAATAGGAGGCGGTCACATCACACAGGGCCTTTTAAGTGATGCAAGGGTGTTTGTGCCTTGAGAGAACTACCGAAAGGTTTCAGGCAAGGTAATATTCCTTGTCAGATCTGCTTTTAAGAAAGACTACTTTGGAATAACATTTTTAGAAGAAATTTTCATCTTTTTTTGCCTTTAGCTAATTTTGTTTGTAACAGACAAAATTAGCTTATACTTTTGTTACTTAATTAATTCTCTCACTTATTTTCTCTTAGCATTCTGCCGGTGACCAGCTCTTCAATGTCCTATCTCTTTCCTTTCCGAACTTGCTGCCAATTCCTGAGTCCAAGTCCTTGGCACTTTATTAACATTTTTAAAAAACTGGGCTTTAATTGGGGTCTCTTTGCATCCTAGAAACAATCCTACACACTGGCTGCCTGATCTTTCCCAAGCAGAGGGTCCAGAGCCTCTGCTGACTTGGCTTACATGCACAGTCAAGATTCCAGCATTGGCCTGGCAATTGGTTCCTGCCCTTCCTCCACCTCTCTGTCTTTCTCTTCAGAAGCTGCTCTTTCAACCACTGTCCCGGTCTTACTAATCATGCCCTTCTCTCAGTGCCCCACACACTTTTGCTTCCACTGCCGGCCTTCACCCTGCTTGTGTGTGCCTCCCACTGTCCCCTGCTTCGTGCCTTCTCCTTCCATGAGGCCCCTGGTGACTGTTCCTTTCCCTGGATGCCTGTTCAGTGAAGAAACCACTGTTAGGTTCTTGGCATGTGATACTTTGTGCTGTCACTTTTTTTATATGTCTGTAAGCCATGTGTGCACAGGGACCATGTCTTACAGGAGGAGTAGGATGACAAAAAATAGCCGTGGGACAAGGCACACCCTGGGGACTAGTCCCAACTCCAACACTGTAGCCTGGGAAAAACCAACCAACCTCTCTGGGATCTCAGTTCTCTCATTTGTCCAATGACAAGTTGTGCAAGAGGGGTTTGGTCTGGATCTTCTTCTTACATCCCCTCCCTTGCCTTGGACATGGCAAGTGTCAGGAAAGTGAACAATGGCACTGTCTCAGAACAGATTTCCACAAAGGGCCCCGCCAAGCTAGAGGATGTGTGTTTGCGTTTCACTTCGGGGAGACTGCTCTTTTCTGATCACTACCCAAACTGGCCCTGGCACGTGGGTCTGGCTCGGAACACAGCTGGCAGCTCTGGGAAGCTGAGCCGCCAAAGTGCTGCTACCACAGATGTGGGAAAGATTACACCCTGTGCGGAAATGGCTTGTCGTTTTCACAAGGTGAGGTGTTTGCTCTGCCGTCAGGAGAGCAACTCTCACGGCTTTTACAAAGCGGGCCCTCTGGCTGCCAAGTCCTCGGGGGCAGGCCTCTTAAACCACTATCAGTTCAGGAACCTCATGGACACTATTTTAAGCTTTTACAAGCTAGATAACACTCCAGCAATCCCCTTTATGATTTGGCCTTTTCCTTCAGAGCTTTAGGGCACATGGTGGTGTAGCCACATCTTAAGAAACAGTAGGGGAGGGAAGGCCTGATAGCTCAAAGCACATTTGCTAGGAGGGGAGGACACACTATTGTGTTTCTGTTGTCTGCCTCTGCCTAGCACCTGGAGAGCAGTTTCCTTTCTAAAAACAGTCCACCTTCTTCAAGGGTCAAGCCACATGGGGTTCTAAGGCCGTCTCAAGGCTTTCATCCTCGAGGCCATATTTAAGCTGCTTAATTTTTAAAATTTTCTAATTCACTGGTTATTTTTGCAAAAAAATTATATGCACACAGTTTTCTTAAGATATTCTAGGCCAGGTGTGGTGGCTCATGCCTGTACTCCCAACACTTTGGGAGGCTGAGGCGGGTGGATCACTTGGGGTCACCAGCCTGGCCAACATGGTGAAACCCCATCTCTACTAAAAAAATACAAAAAAATTAGCCAGGCGTGGCAGCGTGCCCCTGCAGTCCCAGCTACTCAGGAGACTGAGGCAGGAGAATGGTGTGAACCCAGGAGGCGGAGCTTGCGGTGAGCCGAGATAGTGCCACTGCACTCCAGCCTGGCAACAAAGCGAGACTCCGTCTCAAAAAAAAAAAAAAAAAAAAAAAAAAGATATCTAAAAGTTCAAAGGGACTATGTAATGAAAATTAAGTGGCCTTCATACTCTCAACCCTCTCCCTGGAGGCAACCACCAGTATCCATTTCATATGTATCATAGTGGGCTTCCAGAAATATCCTGTGCCCATGCTGCAGATGTATGAGTGTGTGTAAAATCGCCCTCATTTTTATATAAATAAACCCACTTTGGACAATTGTGATAAATATTGCTCTTTTTACTTTTAAGTATCTTGTAGATCTTTAGGCACATATAGATCTATGTCATTTTTTTAGTTTTTGCCTAATACCCTATTGTATGGATGTACCCAAAAAGTTTAATTTGCATCCTGGTGCACCTTTACATTATGCCCGAGTTTTTGCTTCTATTGATAATGCTGCAATGAATACACTTATACTACACAACTTTGGGCATATGTATACCAATTTCTATCACCTTCCTCCTGTCTTACTTTTAATAAGTCTCTTCAGCTCAGAGGTGTAGACTGCTAGAAACTCTCTCCTCACCCCGTGTTTAAAGATCCTTTAAAATGTGTAGTGCAATGATAGGCAGCATATCCTGCTTGGATATGAGTCCAGGATCCACCATGTACTCGCTGACTAACATTGGGCAAGTTACGTAGTCCTCTGTGCCTCAATTTCCTCATGCGGAAAATGAAGATAATCATACAACCTCATGCCGGGCATGGTGGCTCACGCCTATAATCCCAGCACTTTGGGAGGCCGAGGCGGGTGGATCACGAGGTCAGGAGATTGAGACCATCCTGGCTAACACAGTGAAACCTCATCTCTACTAAAAATAAAAATAAAAAAAAATTAGCCGGGCATGGCGGCGGGCGCCTGTAGTCCTAGCTACTAGGGAGGCTGAGGCAGGAGAACGGCGTGAACCTGGAAGGTGAAGCTTGCAGTGAGCCGAGATTGCGCCACTGCACTCCAGCCTGGGCAACAGAACAAGACTCTGTCTCAAAAAAAAAAAAATCATACGACCTCATAGAGATGTTTATGGGTTAAATGTTAACGTATGAAAATGTTTTCAAAAGTGCCTGGTACATAGAAGATAATATATCTAAATTATAATAATGAATGTATAATATTATTATATAATTATATATTATATGACAGAATATAGAAAATATATAATTATATAACCTGTATATTATATATATAAAATAGTAATAACAGCAGTTTGTATACATATATATAAAACAGCAGTTTGTGTGTGTGTGTGTGTATAGACACACACACACACACACACACACACACTGCTGTTATTATCACTGTTTTTGCTGTTGTAACTTAATAGGGATGAAATCCCTCAGAGGAGACTTAAATTATGGGTCTTCTTGGGAAGAAAGTGAATGATCTTTGTCTTATATGACCCATGTGCTTTACATGGCATCTTATTTAATCCTCACAGTGGTAAGTAAGAATGATACTGTCAACTCCTGTTTTATTGAGGCTGAAACTTGGGCTCAGATAGTTGGGCAAGTTGCCCAAGAGTCACACACATAGTAAGTGGCAGAGGCAGGGGTGGCCTCTGGGCTTGATTTCAAAGGCACTAAACTATAGAGACTTAAATGCCTAAAGAATCTGTGGCTGGGATCCACTCTTTTTTTTTGAGTGGAGGTTGGGACTATGGACCACTGGCTTCTGGCCTGAGGAAGGGTGTGGATGACAGAACATACTCGGTAGTTGGAGAGAAGCATCTTGAGCAAGGAGTGTTATAAGGTCTTGGAAAGGGAGCCTGGAGTTGTCAAAGCCCCAGGTGATGGGAGGAATATTGACTTGCCACTTCTCTCTCCTATTTCTCCCCTTAAATGTAGTCTTCATATTCAGATACTTTCAACTTCCAGACCCTCCACCAGGGATGGCCCATCTTGCCCACTGTGAGCTTTCTCACCTTCTTTCCTGGGCTGCAGCAGTTCCCTTCACTTCCTTTACTCTCCCCTCTCTCATCTGCCAGCTGATCAACCTCTCCTTTAAAACCTTTTCTTTGCACAATGGAATGATGTACTGGCTTCTTGCCCAAACCAAAATAGTATGGGTTCTATTTATCTTTTCTATGCTTAGACAGGAAAATCAAAATCTTCAATTCTCTTGAATTTTGGATGACTCAATGCTCAGGCTAGTACTCAACAAATGGCAAAAAAAAAAAAAAAAAAAAGGAAAGTTTGCTTTCTTCTTTTGAAATAAGTTAGGTGAGGAGAACAGGAGAGCAGTTTGGTGAGAAGGGGAAAGTGAGGCATACTGAGGTATAAAAAGCTAGGGGGTTTTAGTCTTATGATCATAAACTTCAGAAGATTCCTGTGCCTGGTTTCTCTTAAGTTCAGGAATTAAAATGAGAATGATGACTCAGTGGTAGCCAAGCGTGAATAACTTAAGCTCAACCATAGGATCTCAGCACCCAGGCTTCCTCGTAACTACAATGGAAAACTTAGATGTGGTGATCACTAGAACTCCACTGACTGACCACAGAGGAATTGTACCTTACCTCTGCAATGGGATATTTCTTAGCGCAAGTGCTATTTGCTGGATCTGGAATTTCTCTGCTACACCACTGAGGTCTGAGGGCTGCTAGGAGAACAAACACCCTATAGATAAAGAAAACAGTGACATTTCCTTAGGTGTGCACACAGTGGCATGGAAGCACAGGTTCTCAGTGCAGTAACTTCAGTGTAAGGGCTGCTTTTGTATGCAAATAAAAGATAAACACTGAAAGACAAAGATGATTTATCATCCAAGACTACGGTAGTTTTCTGTAAAATTACAACACAGCCACTTGAGGTTTGCTAAATAAACCATGGAACTTTTGATCAACCTAATATTTAGCAATCTATCACTAGCCAGCTATGCATTCATTCAACAAATATTGATTGAACCCCTAATATGTGACCAGCACAATGCTACCTGCCAAGCATTGAAGATGACATGTTCCCTACCCTTACTATTTAGCTAATTAGAATATTTACAAAGAGTTTGTAATGACAGGTAAATTATGTGAACAGTTGAAAAAAAGACGGGATTCAAAATGGTATAAATAGCTTGAACACAACCATGTTAAAAATGCCAAGAAAAAAGTATTATAGGGAAATATCTGAAATATCTATTAACAGTGATTGTATTTGGCAATAAGAGGAAATACAGGTCTTTTATGATGTAGAAGGAAAAATCCTAAAAACATTTCTTATAAATGCATGTGACTTATTTTTTTTAAAGTTCATGAACAATATGAAACATTTTTAAAGACTTGGCTTTCATAAGCTTTGATTTTTTTTTTTTTTTAAAAGTATGCTTTACAATTTGTCTAACCTTTTGAAGTAAGAGATGTGGCCATGTGACTAGGTTTTCTCCAAAGAAATATGAGCAGAAGTGTCTGTGATCTCATAGAGATCATGCAGATGAGGACAATACCTAAGGGATGGTATGCCAAAAAGATGGAAGAAAACTGAGTCCACAAATAACTATGGAGCACAGCTGCCCACCAGTCTGGATACCTTACCTCAGGGCTGTTATATGGAAGATAAATAAAGTATTATTTAAGCCACTGTGCTTTGGGTCCTCTTTTTTTTTTTAAGGCAGTTTAGCCTGCACTGTAACTGATCTTCACAATTTCCATGAAGAGGATGCATGTGATCCTAGTTGACTCCTTTTGAATTAAACTTTTTCAAAGTCTACCCAAAGAGAGCTTCACGTTGAAGTATCTATCACACATTAGATCTTCAATAAATGTACAGCCTGTTAGACAAGTTCAATGGCTGGTAGAATGACTTTGAGTTAGAGGTCAAAAGACCTCTTCTCTTACTTTACACAGCATTTGAAGAAAACTTTGTATTGAATAACCAACTCATTAAAAATCTTTTCTTTGAAAAATAATACATGTTTACTAAGGAAATTCTAAAAATATAATTAAACAAGAAAAACTAAAATCACCTACAATTATATCCCCAGATATAAACACCATTAATATTGTGGTTTAGGCTGGGTGCGGTGGCTCACGCCTGTAATCCCAGCACTTTGGGAGACTGAGGTGGGTGGATCATGAGGTCAGGAGTTTGAGACCAGCCTGGCCAACATGGTGAAACCCCATCTCTACCAAAAATACAAAAAGTAGCTGGGCGTGGTGGCGGGCACCTGTAGTCCCAGCTACTCAGGAGGCTGAGGCAGGAGAATCGATTGAACCCAGGAAGCAGAGGCTGCAGTGAGCCAAGATCATGCCACTGCACTCCAGCCTGGGCGACAGAGTGAGACTCTGTCTCAAAACAAAACAAAACAAAAATATTGTGGTTTATATCCTTGGGGCACAGAGTAATTGCCACCCAATATTCATTTTCCCCTCCTTCTTAGGAAGAGGACCCAGATTTACTAGGACGACAATGCACTTGGCTGAAGTACCACAGTTTTGTTTTCTTTTCTTGCAGCTCTACCTCAAAGGAAAGACCACAGTGTTTTTTTTGTTCTTATTGCCGTTTTAGGCTGGAGTGCAGTGGCGCAATCTCAACTTACTACAACCTCTGCCTCCTGTTCAGGTGATTCTCATGCCTCAGCCTCCTGAATACCGGGACTACAGGTGTGCACCACCATGGCTGACTAATTTTTGTATTTTCAGTAGAGACAGAGTTTCACCATGCTGTCCAGGCTGGTCTTGAACTCTTGACCTGAGGTGATCTGCCTGCCTCAGCCTCCCAAAGTGCTGAGATTACAGGCATGAGCCCCGGCGCCCAGCCTCAGTCATGTTATTTTGACTTTTATATTATATATAACCAAATTTAATGCTAACTGATATATCTTACATTTGCATCTGTGTGTATGCACTATTTTTAAGAAATGAAAGTACGTATTGTTTGGCAGGCTGCCTTTTAAATGGAACATGGTAAATATTGTTCATACCATTTAATTTCTTTCTTTTTTTTTTTTTTTTTGAGACAGTCTTGCTGTGTTGCCAGGGTGGAGTGCAGTGGTGCAATCTCGATTCACTGCAATCTCCACCTCCCAGGTTCAAGTGATTCTCCTGCCTTAGCCTCCTGAGTCTCAGCTGGGACTACAGGCTCGTGCCACCACACCCAGCTAATTTTTGTATTTTTAGTAGAGATGGGGTTTCAACATGTTGGCCAGGATGGTCTCCATCTCCTGACCTGGTGATCCGCCCGCCTCAGCCTCCCAAAGTGCTGGGATTACAGGTGTGAGCCATTGTGCCCGGCCTGCCATACTATTTAATTTCTACATCATCTTTCATGGACACATAATATGTTATAGTACAAGATATATCAGGATTTAGTTAACCAATCCCTTATCATTGGGCGTTTAGGTTGTCTCAAATATTTTTCTTTTCTGAAAATTATTACAGTGAACATATTTTCCACTAAATATCTGCAGACATCTATAATAGAATAGGCTTGGTGCAGTGGCTCATACCTGTAATCCCAGCACTTTGGGAGGCTGAGGCAGGTGGATCACTTGAGGTCAGGAGTTCGGGACCAGTCTGGCCAACATGATGAAACCCTGTCTCTAATAAAAAATACAAAAATTATCTGGGCATGGTGGTGGGCACCTGTAATCCCAGCTACTCAGGAGGCTGAGGCAGGACAATTGCTTGAACCCAGGAGGCGGAGGTTGCAGTGAGCCAAAATCACACCATTGCACTTCAGCCTGGGCGACAAGAGTGAAACTCTGTCTCAAAAAAATTTTTTTGGGGGAAAAAAAGAATATATATATATATATATATATATATATATATATATATATATATAAAATACATTTCTAGTTAGAGATTGTTAGATCAAAAGATATATTTTTAAGGATTTGACACATACTGTCACCCAAAGTGGTTAAATAAGTTTAGTCTCTCACCAGGAATGTGTGAGAGTGTCCATTTCCCTGACCCATGGCAGCAACAGCTATTATCATTTTTTAAAAGCCTCATTTACCCACTTGGTAGGTGTAACCAACTCACTTTTGCTGGAAGTAATGCGTTGAGAAAATGCCCACCATGATGATAGCAATGCAAATGCTTGGTGCCACAAACGCCATCCAATTGGCTTTACCTGAAAAGTTAGGAAATCCTGTGACTGAGTGAGTTATCACCAATGAACATTTCAAAATCCTGATTGGTGTATGCGCCCTCTGGGCCTTACCCACAGTTCCTGGGCAGCTGTGCTCAAGAATAAGGTAAATTCACTTTTGTCTATGCAGTGCGGGAAATGGGACCCTAAGGGGACCAATTCTATGGTTCCAAGAGGAGCTCTGGCCCTACAGGGCTCCTCCGACTCACAGGGTCAGAAAGAAAGGAGGTACGGAATGCAAAGTACAGTTGTGAATTGGGAGCCTTGTCTTAGTCCTGGCTGTGCCGCTAGCAGATGTGTAATCTGTGGACTTCAGTTTATTTCCTTCTTTTTTTTTTTTTTTTTTTTTTTTGAGATGGAGTCTCACTGTGTCTCCCAGGCTGGAGTGCAATGGCGCAATCTCAGCTCACTGCAATCTCCGCCTCCCGGGTTCAAGCGATTCTCCTGCCTCAGCCTCCCGAGCAGCTGGGACTACAGGCGTGTGCCACCACGCCCGGCTAATTTTTGTATTTTTAGTAGAGACAGGGTTTCACCATATTGGCCAGGGTGGTCTTGAACTCCTGACCTCATGATCTGCCTGCCTCGGCCTCCCAAAGTGCTGGGATTACAGGCGTGAGCCACCGTGCCCGGCCTGGACTTCAGTTTCTTGATCTATAAAATGCGAATGGTGACATGTACCTTGCTGGTTGTCATGAAGATCAGAGATGGTATATTTAAAGCACATGGCAGTGTGTCTGAATATAGGAGGTCCTCAAGAAACAGTAGCTATTAATTTTAGCAAAGTATAGCATAAGCCTTTATCTAGCTAGGGTGATTGTGAAATGTTTGAAATGTTTGAAATTGTGCCTATTCTTTCCTATGAAAAGAACTACAGCATTTTACTACTTATTGGAATTGGCCATTAATTCATCCAGCACTCGCTGAGTAGTAACCAGGTAACAGGCTCTGTTAGGTGCTGGGATACAAAGATAAATAGGACATGGCTCTGCTGTCTAAAGAAGTCATGAATGTAGTATAGGATACAGATGTGTGAACATGTAAACAATAAGCCATAATGCCATGGTGATATGGTTTGGCTGTGTGCCCACCCAAATCTCATCTTGAATTGTAATTCCCATAATCCCCACATGTGGTGGGAGGGACCCACTGGGAGGTAATTGAATCATGGGGGCAGTTACCCCATGCTACTCTTCTCATGCTATGAGGGAGTTCTCACAAGAATCTGATGGTTTCATAAGGGGCTTTACCCCTGCTTTGCTCTCATTCTTCTCTCTCCTGCTGCCTTGTGAAGAAGGATGTGTTTGCTTTCCCTTCAGCCATGATTGTAAGTTTCCTGAGCCCTCCCTAGCCATGCTGAATTATGAGTCAATTAAACCTCTTTCCTTTATAAATTACCCAGTCTCAGATATGTCCTTATAGCAGCATGAGAACAGACTAATATAGTAAGTAAATTGGTACCATAGAGAGTGGGGTGCTGCTGTAAAGATACCTGAGAATGTGGAAGCAACTTTGGAAATGGATGAAGGCAGAGGTTGGAACAGTTTGGAAGGCTCAGAAGAAGACAGGAAAATGTGGGAAAGTTTGGAATTTCCTAGAGACTTGGAGGGCTGAGAAGATAGGAAGATGTGGGAAAGTTAGGAACTTCCTAGAGACTTGTCGAGTGACTTTGACCAAAATGCTGGTAGTGATGTGGACAATGAAGTTGAGAATGAGGTGGTCTCAGATGGAGACAAGGAACTTGTTGGGAACTGGAGTAAAGGTTACTCTTGCTATGCAAACAGACTGGTGGCATTTTGTACCTGCCCCAGAGATCTTTGGAACTTTGAACTTGAGAGAGATGATTTAGGATATCTGGCAGAAGAAATTTCTAAGCAGCAAAACATTCAAGAGGAAGCAGAACATAGAAGTTTGGAAAATTTGCAGCCTGATGATTCAATAGAAAAGAAAACCCTATTTTCTGGGGAGAAAGTCAAGCTGGCTGCAGAAATTTGCATAGGTAATGAGGAGCCAAATGTTAATTACCAAGACAATGGGGAAAATATCTCCTGAGCATGTTAGGAACCTTCATGACAGCCCCTCCCATCACAGGCCTGGAGGCCTAGGAGGGAAAAATGGTTTTCAGGGCTGGGTCCAGGGCCCCCACTTCTGTATGCAGCCTTGGGACTTGGTGCTCTGCATCCTAGCCACTCCAGCTGTGGCTAAAAGGGACCAACATACAGCTCAGGCCGTTGCTTCATAGGGTGCAAGCCCCAGGCCTTGGCAGCTTCCATGTGGTTTTGGGCCTGTGGGTGTGCAGAGGTCAAGAGTTCAGGTTTGGAGAACTTTGCCTAGATTTCACAGGATGTATGGAAGTGCCTGGATGCCCAGGCAGAAGTTTGCTGCAGGGGCGGAGCCCTTATGGAGAACCTCTGCTAGAGCAGTGTGGAAGAGAAATGTGGGGTGCAAGCCCCTACACAGGGTCCCCACTGGGCACTGCCTAGTGGAACTGTGAAAAGAGGGCCACTGTCCTCCAGACCCTAGAATGGTAGATCCACTGACAGCTTGCACCATGCACCTGGAAAAGCTGCAGACACTCAATGCCAGCTGTGAAGGCAGTTGGGAGGGGGCTGTACCCTGCAAAGCCACAGAGGTGGAGCTGCCCAAGGCTGTGGGAGCCCACCTCTTGCATCAGCATGACCTAATGTGAGACATGGAGTTAACCTATTTATGCCTGAGGTTGCAATTTTTTGAATTTTTGCATGAGTGAAAAATCTGACCTTGGCAATGACCTTGAGCAGTAGGATATAAACAACTCCCACATGCTTAGCATTCCAATAATGGAACACTAGGCTTAAGTGGATCTAGGCAGGAGATCATTTTGGAGCTTTAAGATTTAATGATTGCCCTACTGGATTTTGGACTTGCATGGGGCCTATAGCTCCTTTGTTTTGGCCAATTTCTCCCATTTGGAAGGGGTGTATTTTCCCAATGCCTGTACCCCCTTTATATCTAGGAAGTAACTAGCTTGTTTTTGATTTTATAGGCTCATAGGTGGAAAAGACTTGCTTTGTCTCAGATGAGACTTTGGACTTGGACTTTTGGGCTATTACTGGAATGGCCTAAGACTTCAGGGGACTGTTCAAAATGCATGATTGTGTTTTGAAATGTGAGGACATGAGGTTTGGGAGGGGTCAGGAGTGGGATGATATGGTTTGGCTGTGTCCTCACCCAAATCTTATCTTGAATTGTAGTTCCCATGATCCCCACATGTGGTGTGAGGGACTTGCGGGGAGGTAATTCAATCATGGGGGCAGTTATCTTCATGCTGTTCTCATGATAGTGAGTGAGTTCTCACAAGAATTGATGGTTTTCTAAGGGGCCTTTCCCCCACTTGGCTCTCATTCTTCTCTCTCCTGGCACCTTGTGAAGGACATGTTTGCTTTCCCTTCTGCCACGATTATAAGTTTCCTTAGGCTTCCCCAGCCCTGTGGAACTGTGAATCAATTAAACCTCTTCCCTTTATAAATTATCCAGTCTCAGGTATGTCCTTATAGCAGCGTGAGAACAGACTAATTCACATGGGATATGTATGAAAACAGGGGTATATGCAATGTCCACAGCAGTGTAGCAGAGAACAGCATGGAAAACTGGCTCACAAGTAGCAGAGGAAGGTTTTGCAAAAGGCACAATGTCAAAAGTTTAGAGTTGATTAGCTGGGCATGGTGGCAGGAGCCTATAGTCTCAACTACTTGTGAGGCTGAGGCATGAGAATCACTTGGGCCCAGGATTTTGAGGCTGCAGTGAGCTATGATCATGCCACTATACTCCAGCCTGGACAATAGAGTGAGACCCTGTCTCAAAAAAAAAAAAAAATGTAGAGTTGGAGGATGAATAGGAGCCAGCTAAATGGATAAGCTAACAAAGGAAGACCAGACCAGAAAAAAAAAACTATGCAAAGGCATGGAAGGAGGGAACAGCCAGTACTTTCAGGCGACTGCAGAAAGTCTGGTCTTGCTCCATAATGAATGCTGAAGTGTGTGGCAAAGGATCAAACTAGATGGGTAAACAGGACCATGTGTACCTGGCAAGTATGGAGTTTTGAGTTCTAGCTTGAAGGCCCCTGGGGAACCACTGATGAGTTACAACAAGAGAAGTAATGCCAGCATCTGCAGTCTTGCAGAAAGACTCCTCTTCTGATTGAATGAAAAACAGGCTGGGAGGGAGAGTGAGCAGGAGGAGCTAGAGGCCAGAGACCTGTTAGGACCCATGAGAAGTGTCAACAGGGCTGAATAGGGAAGTTAATGGAGGTAACCTTTTTTCTACCCCATACAATCAGGAGGATCTGGCCTTCCTTTCTTTTTTAATTGAGATGGGGTCTTGCTATGTTGCCCAGGCAGGTGTGGAACTCCTGTGTTCAATCAATCCTCCCACCTTGGCCTCCCAAAGTGCTGAGATTATAGGTGGGAGCCACGGCACTTGGCCAAATCTCACGTTTCTTCAGCATCTGCTTTCCTTTCTGGGCAGATGGAACAAGTTTGGAGTAAAACCAGTAGCAAGATGCTGAGTCCTTTTTTGTTTTTATTTTTTTTTATTTTTGAGACAGAGTCTCGCTCTGTCACCCAGGCTGGAGTGCAGTGGTGCGATCTCAGCTCCCTGCAACCTCTGCCTCCTGGGTTCAAGTGATTCTCTTGCCTCAGCCTCCCAAGTAGCTGGGATTACAGGCATGTACCACCGCTCCCACCTAATTTTTGTCTGAGTCCTTAATCCACATTAATCGAGCAAGTTAACTTTCTTTCTTTTTTTTTTTTTTTTTTTTGAAACATAGTCTCACTCTGTCGCCCAGGCTGGAGGGCAGTGGTGCCATCTCGGCTCACTGCAAGCTCCGCCTCCTGGGTTTATGCCATTCTCCTGCCTCAGCCTCCCGAGTAGCCAGGACTACAGGCGCCCGCCACCATGCCCGGCTAATTTTTTTGTATTTTTTTAGTAGAGACGGGGTTTCACTGTGTTAGCCAGGATGGTCTCGATCTCCTGACCTCATGATCCGCCCTCCTCGGCCTCCCAAAGTCCTGGGATTACAGGCACGAGCTACCGTGCCCAGCTGCAAGTTAACTTTCATGGGAGTGCTGGGGAGATAAGAAGAAGTCTTGTCAATTTCCCAGTGGAGAGTTTCCTGGCATAGAACAACAAAGTCTCTTGAATGATCAACTTGATGCTTCATGTCACAAAGCAAGAACAGCTTGTTTTATGCTTAGAGCAGATGCAAATGAGCATTGCTAGAGAGAACAGTGTAACTTAGCTGGTGGAGGGAAGCCCATGCTAGCTGGGTCACTTATTCATCAGACTCAAATTTAATTTAAGCAACTCAAATCTGAGTTTGATTTGTAGTTCTGCCACTTACCACTTCCATGACCTTGGGTAATCTTTCTGTACCTTAGTCCCCTCACTTTAAAAAAGGCATGATAATCCTTCATTTTTAAATTCATTTCATATTGAGTGTCTGGTAGGATGGGGTAGGTATAACCATGTAATTTTGGTAAGGAAATATTAGCAAAAGTATGTGTTGTAGGTTGAACTGGGTGATCCTCAAATTTGTATGTTGAAGTCCTAAACCCCCAGCCTCAGAATGTGACCTCATTTGAAATTAGGATCATTGCATATATAATTAAGATGAAGTTATACTGGAGTAGAGTGGGCCCCTAATCCAATATGACTGGTGTCCTTATAAGAAGGAGACAATTTGGACACATGGAGAATGCCAGATGAAAGCAGAGACCTACAAGCCAAGTAATATCAATGACTGCCTGCAAATTACTGGAAAAGAGGAGAGAGGCCTGGAATAGATTCTCTCTCATAGCCCTCCGAAAGAACCAACCCTGCTGACACCTTGATTTTGGACTTCTAGCCTCTAGAACTGTGAGACAATAGATTTCTGTTGATTAGGCCACTCAGTTTGTGGTGCTTCGTTACAGCAGCCCCAGCAAATTAATGTAGTATACAAAGCGCTTAACAGAATGACTGTTGCATATGCAATAGCTGCTATTATTATTGTTGATGTGATTCTCATCATTTGTGTACAGATACTTAGTAAGCGAGTACTGTGTGCTGGCCGCCATGCTAGGCCTTGAAGACAGAGGTAAACAGATATCAATCCTTGCCTACAGGATTCAGAGTTTTGAGTAGGAGTTAAATGTAAGTGCATTATGTAAGGAGCATTTGGGAAGGCTTCCTGAAGGAGGAAGGATTTCCGATAAATTTTGAAACATGAGTAGACATTGTCTCCAGGAAGATAGTAGAGTGGTAAAGCATTCTATTTAGGAGAAACAGCAAGTGTAAAGTGACAGCAAGAAAGTTTTTAGTGAATTAAAGAAAATCTGATTATCTCTATACCAAATGTAATAGGAGTGCATGCCTGTGCAAGAATCCAGGGTGGACTCATCATCCTTAACACTGCCTCTCACCTTGCAGACAAAATTCCCTCTCATTTCCGTGGGAACTTTCACCAGCAGCTGTCAGAGCTGTCATCCACAGGACATATGTCACTCGGGGCTGCAGGCTGTTTATTGGATGTGAATTTTGGGAGACTCTGTAGGGAATTTCTGAAAGGAAGATAAAGGAAGAAAGGCATGTATTAAAGGATATGGCTTTTAATGTAGGCTTCTACTCATTCTTACTCTTTAATGCTTCATTTAATTTGGAAGGAAAAAGCATTTTGCTATTTTAAAATAGTCCAAATTCCTCAGTACTTAATACCTTAATAGGCCCTAGACATCGTCATTTATGGACATCTCACTCCACAGCATATTAAACAAATTATTTTTTTGTAGTAAAATCTTTTATTTTTACTTTATTTTCTAATTTTCTTTTCTCTTTTTTGTGTTTTGTGGTAAAATCTTTTGAATAAATTTTTGTTATTTTGCTTTTGAAAATATTTAGCTAAAGTTAACTCCCTTTATTTCCAATGATGATAACATTTCTAGTATTTATCAGGCTTATTTGGGAGTTCTGGAGGAGAAATGTTAAATTTACAAATTGTTTTCAAGGCTATGGAACTTTTTTTTTTTTTTTTTTTTTTGAGACAGGTTCTTGCTCTGTCGCCCAGGCTGGAGAGCAGTGATGCGATCTCGGCTCACTGCAACCTCCGCCTCCTGGGTTCAAGCAATTCTCCTGCCTCAGCTTCCCAAGTAGCTGGGACTACAGGTATGTGCCACCATGCCCAGCTAATTTTTGTATTTTTAGTAGTGATGGGGTTTCACCATGTTGGCCAGGCTGGTCTCGAACTCCTGACCTCAAGTAATCTGCCTGCCTTAGCCTCCCAAAATGCTGGATTACAAGTGTGAGTCACTGCGTCCGGCCAGTTATGAAATTTTGTATTTTGTATTTTTTTTGAGATGGAGTCTTGCTCTGTCGCCCAGGCTAGAGTGCAGTGGCACGATCTTGGCTCACTGTAACCTCCGCCTCCTAGGTTCAATCAATTCTCCTGCCTCAGCCTCCCAAGTAGCTGGGACTACAGGTGTGTGCCACCATGCCTGGCTAATTTTTGTATTTTTAGTAGAACGGGGTTTCACCATGTTGGCCAGGCTAATCTTGAAATCCTGGCCTCAAGTGATCTGCCCACCTCAGCCTCCCAAAGTGCTGGGATTATAGGCGTGAGCCCCCACACCCAGCCTATGTAAGTTTAACAATTAATGAAACAGACATTCACTTAACATTTTTTTTTTTTTTTTTTTTTTTTTGAGAAGAGTCTTGCTCTGTCACCCAGGCTAGAGTACAGTAATACGATCTTGGCTCACTGCAACCTCCGCCTCCCGAATTCAAGCAATTCTTCAGCCTCAGCCTCCTGAGTAACTGGGATTATAGGCACACGCCACCATGCTTGGCTAAGTTTTGTATTTTTAATAGAGATGGGGTTTCACCATGTTGGTCAGGCTGGTCTCGAACTCCTGACCTGGTGATCTGCCCGCCTCAGCCTCCCAAAGTGCTGGAATTACAGGCATGAGCCACATCACCTGGCCTCACTTAACATTTTTAAACTTTGATTTTGCACTTTTCCATTTGTAGGCTCTAGGCCCTTAGCTTAATGAGGATCTTATTCAGTCTGACATAAAATCATTAAAAACTAGAGCACCGATACTTAGATTAGATTTGGCAGCTGTAAACCTAGATTACCAGTTCCTTATGTTCTCAACACCCCTGCAGTTTTCTCTGTAGGGAAGATTTTGTGTTTTGAGTAATACACTGATGCTGTTTTTTAATCTAAGAAACATGAGTGTAGGTAGCCTTTAATGAATAGACAATCTTCTCCAGTGGCCTGTTGGGTTTGGATTTTGGAGTGACCTTTCAAAAGCTGGGGAGGATGGCAGAGTCAAGGCCAGCACTCTAGCAGAAGTAGCCTGTGTCAACTAAAAACAAAATAGACAAATTTCAATAGGTTTTTGTTGTTGTTGTTGTTGTTTGTTTTGTTTTTTAAGATGGAGTCTCACTCTGTCACCCAGGCTGGAGTGCAATGGCACAATCTCAGTTCACTGCAACCTGAGTTCAAGCAATTCTCCCACCGTGGCCTCCCGAGTAGTTGGGATTACAGGCATCTGCCATCATGCCTGGTTGATTTTTGTATTTTTGTAGAGATGGGAGTTTCACCATGTTGGCCAGGCTGGTCTTGAACTCCTGACCTCAGGTGATCCGCCTGCCTCAGCCTCCGAAAGTGCTGGGATTACAGGCGTGAGCCACCGCACCCCGCCGAGTTTCAGTGGGTTTTGAGGTTCATTTTGCCAACTTTGAGGTTGAGGTTGAAAAAGAAACACAAATTACAATAGGATCTGTGACCTGTGCTGAGGACCTCAATATTTAAAAAGGAAAGAGAGGGGAAACTGGGAAGGAAAAAAATGGGTGGGGGGTGGGGAAGATAGGCAATGAGGCAAAGTGGTCTTGTGAGGCTTTGATTAGCATTCAGTGAATCTACATTTTACATGTGAAAGGAGGGGTAAAGGGTCAATTATGCATTTTTCTGGAACTCAGTAAATCTATGTTTGACATAAAATAAAGTAAGCATGTGAAGTTACAGCTATCTGTTTGGTAACAAAAGAAAGGCAGTTTTTGCATGACTCAGCTCCCAAGCTTATCTTTTCTTTTGGCATAGTGAGTTTGGGGTCTTGAGAGTTTATTTTCCTTTCACACCTGCTAGCTCATTGAGATGACTTCATCTATGCTGGTGATCACAGGGAAAACTAGAACTCAGCGTCATATACTCAACATATACTGGCTCACAAACTCCAGGGCAAGTCAGAGATGTCTTGCATGCTGAATTTATTTCAACAGTCATAAATATGAGTGCCTACACTGGACAAGGCACTGACAATACAAAAGCAAAGAATCTGCCTCAAAGAGTCCACTATCTAATGGGGAAAAGAGACCCCTTCCATTATCCCATCCCTGCTTACTATGGGTAATCAGCAAGATGAAGTCCTATAATATTACCTCTACTCCACCCAAAGGGGTTGAGGCCCATGCAGATAATTTATTCACCATGACTATCACAGAATTTCTATAGTTTACATCCTGTTGAGAAAAGTCCTTGTGGAAAATTCTCAAGTCTACTCTAGCCTGGTGAGATTGCTTGCATAGACTTAAGCTATATGATTGAGCTCAAAAAGCCCTTTCTCTATTCCTAACACAGGGGATTAAAAAATTAATTTTAGAGAGACCTTCTGTTCCTCCTGCTGCAGCAGAACATCAGCAAGTGTCAGGGAATCAACTGTCCAACTCTGTGAGGGCATCCTTAACTCTGGGAGTGAAATGAGATATTGGAACAGAAGGGAAGGGATTTGTGTGGGTTGCTGGGCCAATAAAGTTTATCCAAACACACATACACACACACACACGCACACATATTAGGAGAACAAAAATAGAAGCTCTATGGGAAGAGGCAGTGAGGAAGATGATGGTGTCAGCAGTTTGGTTGGCAAAATAGGCTGAATAGAAGAAAGAAGTCAAGAAGTCAAGCAGGAAATACTGGTCCTGCTCCCTCTGGGCTGTGATCTCTGGCAGAGATAAAAGAGGCCATTCAATCCTTGGCGGTCTGAAAACTTACACTCAGGGTGATTCAATGATAAAGGCACCAGTGTAGGAAGATGTGATAGTTGCCAGTCGTTGGAAAAGCTGTAGATAGGAAGGTCAAGTGGTACTAGACAAAACAGCTGCACTGCTACTGGAAACAAGTTTTTAACGATCTACATTGGATTTCACAAAGCGTAGAGTGGTATTCAGCTGTTTATTTTTATGAAGCACCTACCATGTGTCTGGCTGTATTCTAGGTATGAGGAGACAATGGTGAGCAAATTGCCATGGCTTCTTCCCTTAAGATGCTTAGAGACTGTTGGCAAACACTACTAGGCAGTAGCAAAGTATAATGTGTTCTCCAGTAGAAAAATGTGCTGGCCAGCCAGGCGCGGTGGCTCACGTCTGTAATCCCAGCACTTTGGGAGGCCGAGATGGGCAGATCACGAGGTCAGGAGATTGAGACCATCCTGGCTAACATGGTGAAACCCCGTGTCTACTAAAAATACAAAAAATTAGCCAGGCTTGGTGGCGGGTGCTTGTAGTCCCAGTTACTCGGGAGGCTGAGGCAGGAGAATGGCGTGAACCCGGGAGGCAGAGCTTGCAGTGAGCCGAGATCGCGCCATTGCACTCCAGCCTGGGCAACAGAGTGAGACTCTGTCTCAAAAAAAAAAAAAAAAAGAAAAAGAAAAATGTGCTGGCCGTGGCTCTACTGGTACACATGGCAACATGGCAATATGGACAAGCTTCCAGAGGAGTGGCTGTGCACAGAACCACCCATATAACTCATTACAATCCAGATACCTGGGTTCCTCCCTGGCTCTACACCTTACCCTCCTCTGCCAAGGCAGGTCCTTCATTTTTTGCCCTTACTGTGCTCCACATATGCCCTTAATACTGCTGCCTGGTTAATGGTGCTGAAACACCAGTAAGAGGGGGCCATCAAGGCAGAACACCTTCCTGCTTTGCCTTTCTCCCTCCTCCTCAACCTACCACCTCCTACCACTCTCTAGAAAGTGCCCTTGTGAATTCACCAATGATTTCTGGTTGCCAAATGCAATAAGTAGTTGTCAGTCCTTGATTATGACAGTTACATCCCTTTTGTGTACTTTTCCTTTTTATTTTTCACTCTTTGAGACAGAGTCCATCTCTGTCGCCCAGGCTGGAGTGCAGTGGTGCGATTTCAGCTTACTGCAATCTCTGCCTCTTGGGCTCAGTGATCCTCACACCTCAGCCTCCTGAGTAGCTGGGATTGCAGGCACACACCACTATGCCTGGCTAATTTTTTGTAATTTTGGTAGAGACAGGGTTTCACCATGTTGCCCAGGCTGGTCTTGACCTATTGGGCTCAAACGATCTGCCCACCTCGGCCTCCCAAAGTGCTGTGATTACAGGCATGAGCCACCATGCCCAGCCTCCTTTTGTGTACTTTTCTATCTCCCTCATAGACTGTGAGCTTGTTGAAGATAGGGAATAGGTCTTATCCATCAACAGATACTTACTGAATTAAATGAAAATTTAACCTAAACTAGTATAAAATAGGACTGTGAATCTGCACTCTCCCTCCCCTTTTAGCTTATTTTTAAATACCCTTATGCAGGCTTTAGAGTCATCAGATTTGTGACAAAATAAGGAAGGCATTTTCTTCAACATCCATAAGAGCAGCTTTAAGAATCAACAGACTCAAGAGGCTTTGACTATTAAAGTAGATGGCTTACTGTTAAAAAAAAAAAAAAAAAAAAAAAAAAAAAGAGGCTGGGCTGGGTGGCTCACGCCTGTAATCTCAGCACTGTGAGAGGCCAAGGCAGACGGATCACCTGAGGTTAGGCGTTCAAGACCAGCCTGGCCAACATGGTGAAACCCCTCCTCTACTAAAAATACAAAAATTAGCAGGGCATGGTGGTACATGTCTGTAATCCCAGCTACTCAGGAGGCTGAGGCAGGAGAATCACTTGAACCCGGGAGGTAGAGGTTGCAGTAAGCTGAGATCGTGCCATTGCACTCCAGCCTAGGCAACAGAGCAAGACTCCGTATGAAAAAAAAAAAAAAAAAGAATAAACAGACCATGTGGTTGCAAACAGGTATCTCAATTTAAACTCTGCCAAAATGAAAGTTATTTGGGGGGCAAATTTCACATGAGGAATTCCAGATGGCTGAAGAAGAGATCAATTGATTCCTTACCTCTTGGGGTGCATTTCAGAACTGACTGACTCTGGGTCAAGTCCAGGGGGAAGCAGTTCTGATCAGTGATATGTTCTGTTTATCAATGGTGTATTTGTTCAACAAATGACCATAAGCCCTTATGATGCCATACTACAGAGATGATAAAAAAGAATGACATAAGTTCACATGGATGGATGTAGAAAGGTCTCTACCACGTATTATTGAGAGGTAAAAGCAAGGTGTAGATCAGAATGTTGAAAAAGATCTCAACTATATTCTTGTACATGCATCAATTGTTTTTTTCTGGAAGACTACACAAGGGACTGTTAACAGCCTAAGTGTGAAGGGAAGACGAATTTTCTTTCTATATCTTTCTGAACTATCTTCATGTTTTAGTATTATTTATATAATAAAAATTAACCAGCTTTTAAAGTCACACTGCGGACCTCTTAAAGTCAAGAGAGAAGACCAACTCATAAAGCTTCCCAGGTGAAAATCACCCCTGCAGGCAGCTCTCTGGCAGCTGCATCTTAGGGTGGCTTTGTTGCATTGTTCTTGGGCCTACTAACTCTCATTAAGAAATACAAATGTTCCTTCTTTATGACAAATGTTCCTGAAAGCTAGCTGCTTACAAAATAAAGAGAAGGTCAAGTCAAGAAAAACAAAAACTCTGAATAAATCAAAGATTGGAACATCAAGTGTGGCAAGTGACTTGGAGCTGTACATGAATGAGTGATCCATGACATCATTTGAGACAACACTCTAGCTAGAGTTTATTTTAATTGCTTTAGTTTTATACTTATAGAATAATTTTGGGCCATAAAGGGTTACTTAAACTGTATCATATTTTATCCATTTTAAGAAGAAAATAATATGCCATAATAGTAATTGCAAATGTGGGGATTTAAAAGTTCTCCAGAGGCATTTCTTGTGAACCTCAAGGCCTATACAGGATTGGCGGGGCGCTGTGGCCCATGCCTGTAATCACAGCACTTTGGGAGGCCGAGGTAGGCAAATCACTTGAGCCCAGGAGTTGGAGACTAGCCTGGACAACACAGGGAGACTCTGTCTTTACAAAAAAATTAAAAAATTAGCTGGACATGGTGGCATGCACCTGTAGTTCCCACTACTTGGGAGGCTGAGGCAGGAGGATTGCTTGAGCCCAGGGAGGTCAAGGCTGCAGTGAGCTGTGATTGCACCACTGCACTCAGCCTGGGCAACAGAGTGAGGCACTGTCTTAAAAAAACAAAGAAGTCTATACAGTACTGAAGTGACTTTATTGTTTGTTGAAATTCTGTCTCTTCATATGAGTAAGCACCTTGAGAACTAGTCCATTTACTTCATTTCTGTATCCTTAGCAATTTGCTTGGCACATAACACATATTCAATAACCTTCTGTTTGTGTGTTTAGATGTCTTTTCTAATTCTTCATTCAGTTAACTTTACAAGTATTTATGGAGTACTTACTATATGCCAGGCATTGCGCTAGCACATGTGTGTAGATGTGCACACACACCTCCTTGTGTTTTCCTGACATCCAAACAAGAAGGCCCCACTCACTGCATTTGGTTCTCACACATACCACAGAGCTGAGGCTGGGAGTTGGAGTCCCGTTCCTTCCAGTATATCCTATAATGGAGGAGGCAGCCCATTTGCTCCTGGACTGGAATGCTGTTCCATGAAATTAAAATGCTCCCCTTTTCCTCTGTGATGGCATTAATGTGGGGGCCACTCAGTGGTGCTGTAAAGTAGGGCACAGGAGGCTTCTGTCACCCTCCAAATCCAAATCATTAAACTAAAGCAAAATTTGGCAAAAGATCCCAAGACTCACCTTTGTGCTTAGAGTTACCCAGGATGGAGCTGCATCCTCCTTGATCCCCTGAGAGTGCATACACACGGATTTCATAACAGATGTAGGATTTTATGTTCTCTGCAAGGAAAAGGGAATTCCCATAACAGCCGTGCCATTACTGGTGAGTCACTAAAGGGAGCCATTTTATTATCTGATACAAATGCTTTCAAGGTGTTTCTTGCCTTTTCCTAGTTTAAAGATGGTTCAAGCACAGTCTGGACTGATGACCTATGTTACAAATTCTCAGCATCTGATTTGCCATGACGTTGGCTTCTGGAAGTTACTGCTCCCAACTTCAAAGGATGAGATCAACCAACCAACCAACCTGAGTTTCTTTCCATATAAACAAACAGGATCACCATGATTAAGAAGGAGACAAAAGCTATTTGAGTTCCAACACGGATTTAAATATAACCACACACACACACACACACAGACACACACACGCACCCAGACTGCTTTTGAAACAAACAAAACAACTTGCCTTCAAGAAAAAAAACCTTTTGATTCCTACAAATAAAGCATTTGCTGTTTACAGGAAAGTGAGGCTGGAATTTTGCAGGCATAGAACCTGAATAGCTTTTCTAATTCTGCGATGCTTATCAAGATCTGACAGGGCAGATGACACACTCAGGCATAACTAACCAGGGTGCTCTGGGTGCAATCCGACCCCTTGTTACCCCATCTCCTCTCCCTGTATGTTCCAGTTAGATTTCAGTTGCTTCCCAGCCTGGAAGATTTAAAAGGTACTTGGGAATGTTAATGCTCCTTCCTGGCTTTTAAAGCGCCGCACTTTCAATTTTCTGTCAGTCATGAAGCTTATTGGCAAGTCTTTCTTCCCCACCAAAATTCCTTATTTCCATGAATCTCAGATTTCTACTACTTGTGAATAAAAGGCCCCTTTCATAGATACCTCTCCTGAAATACTTTTACATTTCAAATGAACATTTAAAGGAAAAAGAGATAAGTCCTACTAGGTAACTATAGTATCAGGGAGTCAAAGTAAGAACCCTACCCAGTATTGATTAATGCCCTGCCGATAGGTAGCCAGGGTCCCCTACACTGACAGTTGATTAGGGTTTAACTTTTTTTTTTTTCAGGAAGAATAATTTTATATCATAGAAAAATTTATTAAATTATTTGTGTTTTATATGAAAATCCATTGCTCATTAAATATTCCAGCAAATAGACAGCACATAAAACTCAGTTGTGCAACCAGTGCTGTCAGAAGAGACCATGACAAGATCAAAACACATGCCATGGGTAAATTCCAATTTGAGTTCATGAACTAAGCGAAGTGGAGAAAAGGACACAGTCAGCTTAGTATGGTAATCCAAAGATTCCTCATGGGTGGCATTGACACCAAGAAGCCCAAAGGGCAACATGGAATATGAAATCATATTTAATGTGGGAGGGGCCAGTGAGTAGCTTTCAGCCCCCAGTGCCTGGCTGTTCTGCCCCTAGTCGTGAAAGGGGCCAACCAACCACCGCCTTATGGAGGCATGGGAGTTCCAGATGAGCTCGTTAGGCAGACAGTTCCATTGTATTTTGCCATTCAAAATGTGAGTTCAGGGCAGAGGCCTTGGGAACTGCTGCATTAGAAGTTGTGGTTTATTTTTGTGAATGGCTTACCTTTAGCGGAGGAGAGAAGACAATGTGGTTCTGTAATTCAGTTGACATTTCCCTTTCCACCAAGAGTAGAGCCCTCCTAGCAAGCTTCTTCCCCAGTTCTGGCCTCAAGAACTCCTGTTTTACTGGCTGATTCTTGTATGAACACTCTCTAACAATATCTGCTCCCCATCTCAAAACCTTCAGTGTATGAAGCCCATACTCCTCAGACTTTTATTTCCTTTCTAGAGTCTGGCCGCAATTTCCGACTCATTTCCCACCACTCCCATACATACATACATACCTAGTACCCTTCAGCAAAGTCCCTGCCCCCATGTTTATAAACCATCACTTAGGTGGTTTTTCTGCAGAAAGCTAATTTCACCTGTTAAGTGTGGGAGAAGGCAAACATTAAATGACCAGTAACGAGGAAGAAGAAGGCATAAGAGGGCCCCCAACAACTCTAGGTGCAGGGAAGGTTTTCTAGACACCATGATGTTATGTATTTGTAAAAGGAGTGGCTCTATACGGTCAGAAGCATTTTCACCCAGACAGGACAGGACAGGACTGGTCTCTAGCCTAGCCTCCACCAACCTATAAATCAGGAGCCGGGCTGTATTCTGGCCCACTCCAAAATGTCCAAATCTGCCCCAGCCAGATGCTGGGAAAAGGCTGGTGAAAATCAATAACAATGAGTGATCTTACTGACTAGAGGGGGCCATTTTGAATTAATAATAACCATGAATTGCTTAATTTTTAAGTGTTTATTTTCAGACTGTAACATCAACATAAGCTAATAGCTAACCAAGTGTTTCCAAGCAGGAGAACAACTTTAATTTAATAAAGTTATTTTATTCATTAGTATATTGTTTTTTTTTTTTTTTCAGATGGAGTCTCACTCTGTCACCCAGGCTGGAGTGCAATGGCATGATCTCGGCTCACTGCAATCTCCGCTTCCCGGGTTCAAGCAATTATCTTGCCTTAGCCTCCCAAGTAGCTGGGATTATAGGCGCCCACCACCACGCCCAGCTAATTTTTGTATTTTTAGTAGGGATGGGGTTTCACCACGTTGGCCAGGCTGGTCTTGAACTCCTGACCTCCGCCTCCCAAAGTGTTGGGATTACAGGCGTGAGCCACCGCGCCCAGCCTAGTATATTGATTTTATTCAAATGAATATTACTTCTAAAGTGCATAAAGACACTTATTTCACTAAGTATGGAAAACATCTCTCTTGCCATGTAGTTCAAACTATCCCACAGGGGTAAGTCCTAATACAGCTTATAATAATGTTTACAATTTCTTAGCAGCTTAAAGTTTGGTAAATGCTTTTTCTATTCACTTTCACCTGATTTGATGGGCATAACAGCCCTGAAAGAAAACTGGTTCTACTGCAAAAACTCTAGGGACAGGGAACACACTGCCTTGAGAGGTAATCGATTGTCCCATTAGAGAACATCAAAGGCAGGAAACTTCTTTTTCAAAATTGAGCTGATAGCTACTTCTTTTATAATTTCCACACAGGGTTTTAGTTTTCCTCTCCAGAGCAACAAAAGAAAACATACTCTTTTATGTGTAATGTCAAAACCAGCAACAGCCGTCAAGCCGTCCCATTCCCATGCCCATCTAGAATTCTCTTTCTAGGCTAAATGGTTTCCAGATTAGAAGTTCCAGGCTCCTAATAACTTGGTCATCTTCCTCTGGATGCTGACTAGGTTATGTAGGCAGCATTCTATTTAAGGGTAGTGATGAAAAATTAACCTGCTAGAACTCTGAGCAGTCAGACTACAAAAGAGGTACACAGTTAAGGATGGACTCATGTATGATTATGCAGTGTGCTATTTATTTCATTTGTATAAATCTTGTCACCTTAAGCAGGGTGTGTATTTCCTCCTAGACAGGTGTAATGATTGTTATAGAAACATTATAGGATTTAGAGCTTGAAAACCTTAAAATATTAGCTCTGTCTCACGTAACAATAATAATGATGAGAGCTAAATTACTGAGCCCTTAAAATATATTAGGCATTGTTCAAAACATTTTCCACGAAGTAATTCAGCTAGTCTTCACAATAACCCAACGAGGTAGGTAATATTATTATCCTCATTTTTCAGATGAGGAAACTGAGGCACAAAGCGGTTAAGTAACTTGCCCTAGATCACACAGACAGAGCCAAGACTCGAACCCAGGTAGTATGGCTGCAGAGCCAGAACTTTAAACCACTGATTCAATTCAGTGCTGAATTTATGCTTAACAATGACATTAACTAAGTTCTGCCCAATCATTTTAATATATTTTCAGATGCGTTCTCTCACTTGATTCTCACCACTGACAGATTAGGAAACTGAGGATTAGAAATACCAATTGTCTTATAGATAATTCTGGATTTAGTATTACACAATTAATAAGTAACAGAATTGTGAATGAAGGATTTCCTGGTTTCCTCATTTATATAATGGCCATACCGACTCTTACTGAACATGATTGCTTTAAGAGTTATTAAATAAATGAACTCCCCACAGGGTTAAGGATGGCCTCATGTATTATCATGCAGTGTGCTATGATAAATAAAGGTGTCTATTACACTGGGCAGTTAACTTAGCTCTCAGCCATACTTGTTTGGTTCAATTATTCATTCATCTTCTTTGGCATTGTGCTAGGGATATGGATTTTCCATAAATAAGAGAGCTTTTAGTCAACCAGTTGGTCATTTATGTCTGCAGTGGAGTAGTCTAAAGTGCTGCTGGGTGGACTCTAGGTCATCAGTCTCTCTCATCATGTAGCCACCTGTAATTGAAGGCAGGGTTCTGGCTCTTGCCTGCAGTTTCCCCAAACAAATGTGAACTTAGTAACCCTCTAGAAGGAAGGTGAACAATTAGGTACCTGAAATCAGAGCAGACACATTGTAGGGTCGACTCCGTAGCCAGTTTAGAGGGACCTGTGTGTCACCCCCTGGATGGAGCTCTCTCCATTCCACCACGTACTCCTGAACAGCAGAGGGATCTTTCCTGGGAGGCTGCCAAGTCACCAGAATGTTGTCCATGCCCTCTGAGTTTGCAGAGACCTGGCGAGGAGCCAGCAACCCTTTATCGGACAGAAAGAGGAGAAACAAAATAAAAAAAGAGGAGGGATAAAGATTTAAACAACAAAAAAAGCCAAACAGCTTATCCCAACGAAAAAGTTTTAGGAAGAATCTGTTTACTTTTAAAGACTTTGGAGTCACAGATTTAAGTTCATTTCATTTCTCAGTTCATGGAGAACTAACAACATCAGCTTGTTCAAACATTACGTAAAATGTCATGTGTACAATTATTTTCCCCTTCTTTTCCTTTCTCTTTCTTTACTTTTCCTTCCTTCCCTTCCTTCCTTCCCTCCCTTCCTCCCTCCCTCCCCCTTCCTTCCTTCTTTCCTTCCTTCTTTGCTTCCTTCCTTCCTTCCTTCCTTCCCTCGTTCCTTTCCTTCCTTCCTTCTTTCTTTTTCTTTTTCTTCTCTCTCTCTTTCTTTTTTTTTCCTTGAGACAGGATCTTACTTTGTCACCCAGGCTGGAGTGCAGTGGCATAAGCACAGATCACTGCAGCCTCAACCTCCCAGATTCAAGTGATCCTCCCACCTTAGCCTCCTGAGTAGCTGAGACCACGGGTGCATGTCACCACACATAGCTAATTTTTTTTTTTATTAGACAGAGACAAGGTCTTGCTACGTTGCCCAGGCTGATCTCAAACTCCTGGGCTCAAGTGACCCTCCTGCCTCGGCCTCTCAAAGGGCTTGGATTACAGGCATGAGCCAACATGCCCAGCCCCATTCCTTTTTCCATTTCTATAGCCTCAAAGGTGCCTAATCTTTGTGAATATATTAGACATCTTTCTAATCCACCTTTCATATATTTGTTTAGACAAATTCCTATCCTTGAAATTTAGTGTTATTTTGTGCGTATGTGTTGAATTTTCATGAAATGTATTGGGAGATAAATCTAATGCTTTTTCTTTTTTTCACTCAACATGTTTCTGGGACATATACATCCAGCTGCTATTATGTAAATCCGACTCATTTTTTCAGATTGCTACCTAAACCCTTTACTTGTCCAATGTTTGAGTGACAAGCAGGAAGTTCTTTTGGAGTGTTTGCAAACACAAACAAGGATGCAATGAATATTCTCTTGCATGTTCTCTTGTGTGCCTGTGCAAGAATGTTTCTGTGTTTCTGGATATATATGCATAGAATTGCTTGATTATAGAGCAAATTCACATATTATTTTACAAAATACTGCCAGATTTATCTCTAAAATAGCCACTTGACACTCCAGCAAGAAAAGCATGAAGGCTCTCATTTCTCCACCAATATTTAGTATTTTCTGATTTTCTAATTTTTATCAATCTGGTATATATAAAGTGGTATTTAATTGTGGTTTTATTTTCATTTTTCTGATTTCTCTTCTTTTTTTTTTTTTTTTTTTTTTGAGATGGAGTCTTGCTCTATCTTGCCCAGGCTGGAGTGCAGTGGCACCATCTCGGCTCACTGCGGCCTCTGCCTCCCAGGTTCAAGCAGTTCTCCTGTCTCAGCCTCCCGAGTAGCTGGGACTACAGGCGTCTGCCACCACACCCAACTAATTTTGTATTTTTGGTAGAGACGAGGTTTCACCATGTTGGCCAGGCTGGTCTCGAACTCCTGACCTCAGGTGATCCACCCGCCTCGGGCTCCCAAAGTGCTGGGATTACAGGTGTGGGCCATTGCACCCGGCCATTTTTCTGATTTCTTATGAAGCTAAGCTTCTTTTCATATATTACTAGTTATTTGACTTTCCCCTTCCATGAACTGCCAATTCATGTACTTCACTCATTTCCATTGGGTTTCCTGCATTCTTTCTGATTTGCAGACAACTTTTTATATTGTAGATTTTAGTCTTAACATAACAGTTTTCAACAGTATCTTACCTAGCCTGTCAACTCTCTGATAACTTAATGACACATATATAGCTACTTTGATGTTGGTAAATTTATCCATGGCTTGTGTACTTTACATCTTATTTATGACCCTTCTATCCTATGGCCCCTTAAGATGACCCTTCTATCCTAGGGTCATGAAGATACTCAACTACATTTTCTCCTATTGGTTTTTAGTTTTACCTTTCACATTTAATGGGTTTTTAAATTCAAATCCAACAAAAGGTTTTTTTTTCAGGGGGAGAATACATTTTACTATTTTTCCACATGGTGAGTCAATTTTTCCCAATGTCATCACATTTGGCATCTCATCCCTGTAATATACCAAGTTTCATATCATCATGGGTCTGTGTCTGGCTTGGCCACTTTACCAGAAAACACTGTTCATGTTACCAGGCTTTGTAATGTCTGACTATTGGTCCATTTCATCTAGATTATCAAATTCGTGGGCACAGAGTTGTTCATAGTATTTGATTATTATCCTTTTCATGTCCATGGGATCAGTGATGATAGCCCCTTTTTATTTATGATATTGGTAATTTTCATCCTCTTTCTCTCTTTTTTTTAGTTAACCTGGCTAGAAATTTTATAAATTTTATTGATCTTTTTAAAGAATCAGCTTTTGGTTTCATTAATTTATCTCTTTATTCCAGTTTTGAATTTCATTGATTTCCTCTCTTATTATTACTATTTGCTTACTTTGGGGTTATTTGATCCATTTTTCCTTTAGTTTCCTAAGGCAAAAGTTTAGATTATTGATTTTAGACCTCTCTTCTTTTCTAATGTATTCATTCAATGTTATAAATTTTCCTCTAAGCACTGATTTTGCTGCATTCCATAAATTTTGATGTTTTATTTTTATTTTCAATTAGTTCAAAATATTTTAAAATTTCTCTTGAGACTTTGACCAATGTGTTATTTAGAAGTGTGTTGTTTAATCTCTATTTTGGGATTTTCCAGCTATCTTTCTGTTACTGATTTCTAGTTTATTTCCCCTGTGGTCTGGGAGCGGACATTGCATGATATCTATTCTTTTAAATTTGTTAAGGTGTATTTTATGACCCAGAATATGGTGTATCTTGGTGAATGTTCCATATGAGCATGAGAAGAATGTGTATTATGCTGTTGTTAGATGATGTTGGCTACAGATGTCAATTATGTTTAGTTGATTGAGGATGCTGTTGAGTTCAACTATGTCTTTAATGATTTTCTGTCTGCAGTCTTTGTCCTGTCTGCAGGATCTGTCCATTTCTGACACAGTGGTCTTGAAGTCTGACTATGATAGTGGATTCATCTATTTCTCTTTGCAGTTCTATTGGTTTTTGGCTCATGCATTTTGATTGTTGTTAAGTCCATACACATTAAAGATTGTTATGTTTTCTTTGAGAATAGATTCCTTTATCATTAAGTAATGCTCCCAGTTACCACTGATAACTTTCTCTGCTTTGAAGTCTGTTCTGTCTGAAATTAATACAGCTACTCCAGCTTCTTTTTCATTAATGTTAACATGGCATATCTTTCTCTATCTCTTTACATTTGCTCTATATGTGTCAATTTTAAAATTTATTTATTTATTTTGAGATAGAGTCTCCCTCTGTCTCACAGGCTGGAGTGCAGTGGTGCAATCTTGGCTTACTGCAGCCTCCACCCCCTGGGTTCAAGTGATTCTCCTGCCTCATCCTCCCAAGTAGCTGAGATGACAGGCATGCACCACCACACCTGGCTAATTTTTGTATTTTTAGGAGAGACAGAGTTTCACTACGTTAGCCAGGCTAGTCTTGAACTCCTGACCTCAAGTGATCCGCCTGCCTCAGCCTTCCAAAGTGCTGGGATTACAGGCGTGAGCCACTGTGCTGGCCTATATGTCTATATATTTAAATTTGATTTCTTATAGACAACTATAGTTGGGTCTTGTTTTTTATCCACTTTGACTATTTGTTTTGTAATTGCTGTTTTTAGTCCAGTGATGTTCAAAATAACTTGATGGAGTTGGAGTAATATGTACTACATGTGTTACTATTTTCTATTTGTTGCCTTTGTCATCTATCCCTCATTTTGTTTGTCATTCTTTTTCTGCCATTTGTGGTTTTAATTGATCAGTTTATATGATTTCATTTTCTGCCCTTTTTAGCATATCAGTTATATTTCTTTTAAAATGGTTTTTAGTGCTTGCTCTTGCTCTACTATTTGCAATATACATTTACAACTAATTCAAGTCCCCTTTCAAATAACAATATACTGCTTCATGGGTAGCAGAAATACCTTAAATAGCAAAATAATCCAAAGTCCTCCTTCTTATCCCTTGCTAGGATTCATTGCTATCTTTCATTTCACTTATATATAAGCATGCATAAGCATTTATAATACACAAACATATGTAATCAAATACATTGTTACTATTATTGTTTTGAATAAACTGCTATCTATTAGGTCAATTAAGAATAAGAATAATTGGCCGGGCACAGTGGCTCATGCCTGTAATCCCAGCACTTTGGGAGGCTGAGGTGGGCGAATCACCTGAGGTTGGGAGTTCGAGACCAGCCTGACCAACATGGAGAAACCCCGTCTCTACTAAAAATACAAAATTAGCTGGGCATGGTGGCACATGCCTGTAATCCCAGCTACTAGGGAGGCTGAGGCAGGAGAATCGCTTGAACCTGGGAGGCGGAGGTTGTGGTGAGCCAAGATCACGCCATTGCACTTCAGCCTGGGCAACAAGAGCAAAGCTCTGTCTCAAAAAAAAAAAAAAAAAAAAAATAAGAATAATTGGCCAGGCACAGTGGCTCATGCCTGTAATCCCAGCACTTTGGGAGTCCGAGGCAGGCAGATCACGAGATCAGGAGATCAAAACCATCCTGGCCAACATAGTGAAACCCCGTCTCTACTAAAAATACAAAAATTAACCGGGTGTGGTGGCGTGTGCCTGTAATCCCAGCTACTTGGGAGGCTGAGGCAGGAGAATCGCTTGAACCAGGGAGTTGGAAGTTGCAGTGAGCCGAGATCATGCCACTGCACTCCAGCATGGTGACAGAGCAAGACTCCGTCACAAAAAAAAAAAACGAGTAATTAAAGTTTGTATTTTGCCTTCACTTATTTTTTCCTTGATGTTCTTCCTTTTTCTATATAGTTCCAAGTTTCTGACCTATCTCATTTTCCTTCTCTCTGAAAAACTTCATTTCACATTTTTTGCTAGGCAGGTCTGCTGGCAACAAATTTCTTCAATCTTTATGTGGGAAGTCCTTATTTCTCCTTCACTTTTAAAGTATAATTTCACAGCGTATAGACTGCTAGGTTGATGGGCTTTTTTTCTCTCAATACTTTAAATATTTTACTCTACTCTTTCCTTGCTTGCATGGTTTCTTTTTTTTTCTTTTTCTTTTTTTTTTTTTTTTTTTTGAGACGGAGTCTCGCTCTGTCGCCCAGGCCGGACTGCGGACTGCAGTGGCGCAATCTCGGCTCACTGCAAGCTCCGCTTCCCGGGTTCACGCCATTCTCCTGCCTCAGCCTCCCGAGTAGCTGGGACTACAGGCGCCCGCCACCGCGCCCGGCTAATTTTTTGTATTTTTAGTAGAGACGGGGTTTCACCTTGTTAGCCAGGATGGTCTCGATCTCCTGACCTCATGATCCACCCGCCTCGGCCTCCCAAAGTGCTGGGATTACAGGCGTGAGCCACCGCGCCCGGCCTCTTTTTCTTTTTTGAGACAGAGTCTAACTTTGTTACCCAGGCTGGAGTACAGTGGCGTGATTTTGGCTCACTGCAACCTCTGCCTCCCAGGTTTGAGCAGTTCTCCTGCAGCAGCCTCCCGAGTAGCTGGGATTATAGGCACATGCCACCATGGCCAGCTAATTTTTGTATTTTTAGTAGAGACAAGGTTTCACCATGTTGGCCAGGCTGGTCTTGAACTCCTGACCTCAGGTGATCCACCCACCTCGGCCTCCCAAAGTGCTGGGATTACACGCGTGAGCCACCGCGCCAGGCCTGCATGGTTTCTTTGAAGAAGTTAGATGTAATTCTTATATTTGGTCTTATAAAGTTTTCTTTTTCCTGTGGCTTCTTTCAAGAGTTTTTTCTTTATCTTTGATTTTCTGCCATTTGAATGATGTATGTAGGTACAGTTTTTTTTGTGGGTGGAGGGTGCCATTTACCCTGTTTGGTGTTCTTTAAGGTTCCTGGGTCTGTGGTTTGGTGTCTGACATTAATTTGATAAATTCTCATTCATTATTGTTTCAAATATTTCTTTTATTCCTTTCTTTTTTTTACCTTCTCATATTTCCATTATGTGTAGGTTACATCTTTTGTAGTTGTTCCACAGATTTTGTATATGTTGTTATGTTTTTTCAGTCTTTGTTCTCTTTGCTTTTCAGTTTTAGCGGTTTCTATTGACATATCTTCAAGCTCAAAAACTCCTCCCCCAGATATGTCTATTTTACGAATCACCCATCAAAGACATTCTTCATTTGTTACACTGTTTTTGATCTCTAGCATTTCTTTTTTGACCCTTTCTTAGAATTCTAATTTCTCTGATTACCCTGTCCATCGGTTTTTGCAGGTTTTCTACTTTATCTGTTAGAGCCTTTAGCATATTAAACATAGTTGTTTTAAATTCCTGGTCTGATAATTCCAACATCCCTGCCATATCCAAGTATGGTTCTGATGCTTGCTGTATCTCAACTAACTGTTGTTTTGTTGTTGTTTGTTTGTTTTTTGCCTTTTAGAATGCCTTATAATTTTTTGTTGAAAGGTGGATATGATTTACTAAGTAAAAGCATATGCAGTAAATGGGCTTTTAGTAATGTGGTAGAAAGGTGTCGGGGGAAAGAAAGCATTCTATAACCCTATGATTACATCCCAGTCTTTTTGTGAGGCTGTGCTCCTGTACTGGGAACTTGCCAGTGCTTATCAGTTTTCCCCTCTTAAGTGGGATAGGATGGCTACAGTGGGCTCGAGTTGGGTATTTTCCTTCTCCCACCTAGAAGAATAGAGGGGATTGGAGTTGGGTATTTCCTTTCCCTCCACATAGAAGGCCAGACTAGGATGGAATTAGATATGTTCCTCCCACCAGGCTGGTTAGGTTCTGATAAAACTCCAATAGTTCAGCCCTATTAAAACAGTTTCCTTGGAGGGCAGGCCTTGTTAAGAACAGAATGCTCTGGTGTATTTTTTTTTTTTTTTGAGACGGAGTTTTCCTCTGTCACCCAGGCTGGAGTGCAGTAGAGTGATCTTGGTTCACTGCAACCTCTGCCTCCTGGATTCAAGTGATTCTCCTGCCTTAGCCTCCCAAGTAGCTGGGATTACAGGCACGTGCCACTACGCCTAGCTAATTTTTGTATTTTTAGTAGAGACAGGGTTTTGCCATGTTGGCCAGGCTGGTCTCAAACTCCTGACCTCAAGTGATCTGCCTGCCTTGGCCTCCCAAAGTGCTGGAATTACAAGGCGTGAACCACTGCACCTGGCCAACTCTGATGTATTTTATAACGGTTCCTTTTTCCCTCCCACTGAGAGAAACATGGGGGATTTTTCTGATATTCACTGTGATAACCTGGTCAATCTCCTTTTTTTTTTTTTCTTTCTGAGACAGTCTTGCTCTGTCACCCGGGCTGGAGTGCAGTGGCGCCATCTTGGCTCACTGCAACCTCTGCCTCCTGGGTTCAAGTGATTATCCTGCCTCAGCTTCCCAAGCAGCTGGGATCACAGGCACGCACTACCACGCTGGCTAATTTGCATTTTTAGTAGAGATGGGGTTTCACCATGTTGGCCAGGCTGGCTTCAAACTCCTGACCTCTAGTGATCCACCTGCCTCAGCCTCCCAAAGTGTTGGGATTACAGGTGTGAGCCACCGCGCCCAGCCCCTGGTCAAGCTCCATAAGATAAAACTCACAAAACTGTGAGGACCTCCTATGACTGATCCCCAGTGGAGATTTTAACTCTCAGATTTGTCCGTTCTGAGCCTCCAGCAATTTGTGAGTTACAGTTAGGTTTTCTTACCTCAGCACTGGTTCCCATGAAGTTTTCTGCTTGGGGATTTTTGCTATGGTAATTTGTGATTCTCTGTATTTACCTGTCTATCTCTTCAATTTTCGGGGCAGTGGCTTGCCATATAACCTCACTTCTCATAGGTCAAAGAAGAAGTGTTGATTTTCCAGTTTGTTGAGTTTTTACTTGTTATTATGACAGAATGATGACTTCCAAAGTGCCTTAGATGCTAGACTGGAAACTGAAAGTATCACCACTGTGTGTTTTTTTGTTTTTTTTTTGAGATGCTCTGTTGCCCAGGCTGGAGTGCAATGGCATGATCTTGGCTCACTGCAACTGCCACCTCCCAGGTTCAAGTGATTCTCCTGTCCCAGCCTCTGGAGTAGCTGAGATTAAGGGCATATGCCACGACTCCCAGCTAATTTTTGTATATTTAGTAGAGACAGGGTTTCACCATGTCGGCCAGGCTGGTCTTGAACTCCTAACCACAAGTGATCCACCCGACTCAGCCCCGCAAAGTGCTGGGATTACAGGTGTAAGCCACTGTGCCCAGCCTCCACTAATTTTTAATACATGTGTTGAATTTACATCTCTCATTCATCAGGTTATGTGTCAAGGTTCATAAGTGATTTAGGCAATAACTTTTCTTGTGCTATCTTTATCTGATTTTAATACCAAAGTTAAATTCGTCTTAGAAAATAGATTGGACAGCTTTCTTTATTTTATATTTTCCATAGCAACTTGAACTAACATTGAATTCAGAGTTCAGTTGTAAAACAATGTGGGGCTGGGGCTTTTTTGGAGTGCATGTTGTATATAAATAAGTTTTTTATTTTTATTTTATTTTATTTTTTCAGACAGAGTCCTGCTCTGTCACCTAGGCTGGAGTTCAGTGGCACAATCTTGGCTCACTGCAATCTCTGCCTCCTGGGCTCAAGCCATTTTCGTGCCTCAGCCTCTTGAGTAGCTGGAACTACAGGCGTGCACCACTATGCCTGGCTAATTTTTGTATTTTTGTAGAGACGGGGTTTCACAATGTTGGCCAGGCTGGTCTCGAACTCCTGGCTTCAAGTGATCTGCCTGCCTTGGCCTCCCAAAGTGCTGAGATTATAGGCATGAGCCACTGCACCTGGGCTAAGTTTTTTATTCTTAACACTTATTTATTTAAAATTTAAAAATATTTTTGTGCCAATTTTTTAGCTTTTACAGTATTTAACCATAAGTTTATTTCAGCTAGGTTTGAAAGTTTACTTTTACTAGGGGAAATATTCTTTCCCTCTTGTTTTGCTTGGTGTTTTATTTGCATCTTCTCTCTCTCTCTCTTTTATCCTTACATCTTGTTCCTCTGAATTTACTCTATTACCTAAGTTCTCTCTCATTTTAATTTTTTTAATTTTAATTTTAATTAATTTTTTTTTGAGATGGAGTTTCACTCTTGTTGCCCAGGCTGGAGTGCAGTGGCACAATCTTGGCTCACTGCAACATGTGTCTCCTGGCTTCAAGCGATTCTCCTGCCTCAGCCTCCAAAGTAGCTGGGATTACAGGCCCACAACACCATCCCCAGCTAATTTTTGTATTTTTAGTAGAGACAGGGTTTCACCAGGTTGGCCAAGCTGGTCTCAAACTCCTGACCTCAGGTGATCTGCCTGCCTTGACCTCCCAAAGTGCTGGGATTACAGGCGTGAGCCACCATGCCCAGCCAGTTCTCTCTCATTTTTAAATGATAGTTTAGCTGGAGAAACATTTCCAGATTTAAAGTTCTTTCCTTTCTTCCATTTGAAGATATTATGTTATTGTATTTTTATATGTTTTGTTATTGACATATCTAGTGTCCTTTTGATTCTTTTTCTTTAGTAGGTGATTTGCTTTTTTCTCCCTAAATATTGTTATACTTTTTTCTTTGGCTTTAAGGTCCTTACACTTTACAATAAAATGAAAAAAAAAATTATGTTGAGTTTAGCACTCTGAGGCCTTTCCACTTGAAATCTTATGTTTTTCTTTCATTCTGTAACATTCTTGATCACTAGTCTTCAAATATTTGCTCCCCTCCATTTTTTTCCTCTACTCTAACTCCTTTTAGATGGTTGATATAACTTCTATTTCTGCTCTTTCAGTGTTTTAATTTTTCTAATCTTTCAATTTCTTACCCATTTTTTTACACCTTATGGAAGAATTTCACCCCTAGTCTTCCTCTCACTAATTTAATCTTCAGATCAGTCCTCTCTGCTATTCATCCCATCGGCTGAGTTAGCTGTTTCAATAACTAAACTTTCCTTGCATTCTCTTAAATATATTGGAGTTTGTATGCTGGAAAAGATAGATGTAATTGACCACTCTCAGACAAAAGTAGAATAGTATTCTAGCAAAATGTTCAAACCACATGAAGCCCTAATATGAAAAGATGTTTGAAGAATGCAATGCAACTGAAGTTTAAGAGATGGAAACAACTAAATGTGTTTGTTTTCTAAATAGACAAAGTATATTAGAAACTTCAAAGGTTAAAAAAAACACTTTTGCTAGCTTCTATTATTTGTTGCTATACAATACTGAAATCATTTTCTTTAATGGCCCTTTGAGGTTATTCTAATAAAACATGCTTTTCTTTTCTTTTCTTTTTGAGACAGAATCTCACTCTGTCACCCAAGCTGGAGTGAAGTGGCATGATCTTGGCTCACTGCAACCTCCACTTCCCAGTTTCAAGTAATTCCTGTGCCTCAGCCTCCTGAGTAGCTGGGATTACAGGTGTGCGCCATCACACCCAGCTAATTTTTCTTTTTTATTTTTATTTATTTATTTTTTTAGTAGAGACAGGGTTTTGCCATGTTGGCCAGGCTGGTCTTAAATTCCTGGCTTCAAGTGATCCACCTGTCTCAGCCTCCCAAAGTGCCAGAATAACAGGCATGAGCTACCATGCTTGGCCTAAAACATGCTATATTTAAGAGTGAATAAGCAATCTGTTTAACATCACATAAAAATCCCCTAAACATTCCATGCTGACTCTGTTTGGGTTTTCTTCATAACTACCTGTTTCTGATTCATGTTTTGGTATTCTCTCTTATCTTTCTAAGGATGCTTTTTACATTTATTCTAATCTTTTGTACTATCTGTTGCATTAGTTCTGTTTCCTATGATACTGATTTGTTGCCTGTCATTCCCAGGGCTTGTGGTCTTCACATTTGTCTTGATGTTTTCTTTTGGGATCATGTTTTATTTTCTTTGATTGGTCAACAACCTTGGCTTTTCTTTTTTTATAGGGAGAGGAGTCAAAGTACAGCTATAGCTCATGGTCCTCCATGTATGTTTAGGGTAGAGAGGAGGGCTTTTCAGCTTGGAAAGCTCCAGGCCAGAGACCCTGCAGTGATACAAGCTGAGCTCTTTGTCCCCAGGCACCCCTTAGGCATACTTGTACCTCCAGAATCAAACTAGTACCTCTGTGGTAGGCACTGCTTTTCGTGAGGGAATTGAGCTATTATTCTTGTTTGAAACTGCCAGGCCCATGGGATGGGTGGCAGGAAAAAAATGCTGAAGGGTCAGCCAGCTCACAGGCACTCTTTGCTCCCAGCTCTCCTCCCCAGTGAGGTTCCAGGGCTGCCTTGACAGTGACTCTGCACTGCTCCCCAGAATTTCCTACCCCATCATAGAGATTCCTGGGCAGCGATCACAACAGGATAACAAGAGGAAAAAACAAAGAGAACAAGTAGAAAGCTCCCTTGGTCCTCCCCGCTTCATCACTATTCCCCAGAGGGGGAACTCAGCCATCCATATCTTATCTCTCTGCAGCAGCTTCAGGGCCAGGTTTAGTGGTAGAGCCTGTAGACAGTGTACTGGACATCTTGTCAGGAACTGGAATTCCCAGCAATGGTTCCTTGTCTTCACTTGCCTTGGTATTTGATGTCCCAGTTATACTGTGGGCTTTTTATTTTGTTTTGTTTTTTGAGAATAAAATTTACTCATTCAGCAAGTATTTATTGAACACTATGGTTTGCGAGATCCTTTGCCAAGTATTGAGGTAAAAAAGCCAAAGAGCCTTTCTAACCACTACTTTCTCTGGAATTAGCTAAGTAAATCAACTTGGCATTGCCTAGGGTTCTTCTGTCTCTGAGTCACCACACTTGCCAGGAACCAACCTAGAATTTCCTCTCTCATGATGTTTGCTGGGGCATGTTCTTTCCTTCAAAAGTCTGCTAACAACTCACCTTCTCCCTGTCACCTTTCAAAATTATTCCTTTAGCCTCAATCATTCAACTTCCCATCTCCATTTTCACTGAGAGCTTCTGTATGAAGTTATAACGTTCAGAAGGCATTTGGAAAAAGTGCTCACCCAAGGGTGGTCTGGTTTTCCATGTAGCTCTGCCACTATTGGATGTATGATCTTGGCTCAGTTACTTCACCTCCTTGGGCCCCAGTCTCTGCCATCTCTGTGAGCCTGTGTTTATGACCATACTGGCTTCTGACTCTTCCTGTAGTTTCAAGAGGTCTTGAGTAGAAGGGCTGGATCTTTGAAATATTTAATACATTTTACTAGTTGACTGGTAGGTTTAGCACACATTCCTTTTTTTTTTTTTTTTTTTTCTTTTTGAGACAGGGTCTCTCACTCTGTTGCCCAGGCTGGAGTACAAGTGGCATGATCTTGGCTCACTGCAATCTTCACCTCCCGGGTTCAAGCGATTCTCCTGCCTCAGCCTCCCGAGTAGCTGGGACTACAGGCGCACACTACCACACCTGGCTAATTTTGTATTTTTTGGTAGAGACAGGGTTTCACTGTATTGGCCAGGCTGGTTTTGAACTCCTGGCCTCAAGTGATCTACCTGCCTCGGCCTCCCAAAGTCCTGGGATTACAGGCGTGAGCCACGGCGCCTGGCCCTGGCCTTCTTTTTTTTAGATAATGTCTTGTTCTGTTGCCCAGGGTGAAGTACAGTGGCACGATCATGGCTCACGGCAGCCTCCAACTCCTGGGCTCAAGCAATCCCCCTGCCTCAGCCTCCCAAGTAGCTCAGAAAACAGTCATGTGCCACCATGCCTGGCTAGCATGTAACTTTTATCATAAGCTAACAAAATCATTCTTGTGCCTCTTGATATACAATGCTATGGCAGGTGCTTTTTACAATAAATTTGTCTCTGGTCTCTCAAAATCAGCATAAATCAGCCTAAATAATGTTGGGGCATTATTGTATCCTTTTCTTGAAGAAAAGATACATATGTAAATAGTATGACTGTATACTGAAAAAGGAGAAGGCACAAAGTCATGTTCTACCCCTACAGATCATTCAAGGTATGTGTGAGACAAAGTCCTCAAAGACAGGACCATGCAGTTCGCCAATTTGTTCTCCAGGTCCTTCTGGGACACACAACTACTTGTGTTGAATGGCTCAGGTGTGATCTTAGGAGAGGCAAGAGGCCCTTGAGATTCCAGCACTTCTAAGACCCTCTTAACGACAGCTCGGCTCTGAAGAATTGCCTCATGTCCTTCTTTCCCTCCTGACGTGATCTCTGCATCAACCTCATTCTTAGCATTCTATGATCAATGGTCCTCTGTCCACTCTCAGAGGATGAAGTGTTCCTCTTCCCTCTTTTGGTCACTGGCTCCTCATCATCTCCCATCTCCCCAGGGACTTTATTCTATTATTCCTCCCTCTCCTTTGTCTTCAACTTCTTCCTTATCTCTGGTTCTTCCTTTCAAGTCCTATGCCTGCTCAGCTCTCACTTTAAAACAAACCCTCACGCCTGCACACCTGCTCTCCCTCACCTGGCTAGCACCACTTTGTCTCTCTATACTTGGTACGCATGCCACCAGCTCTCCTGGCCTCCTCTCCAAGCTCATGCTTTGGCTTTTCTCTGTTCCTAGAGCCCCCATGCATACCTCTTACCTCATGCTTATTCTACTGTACTGCACTTTACTTGCTCATATGTCTGACCCTCCCCCTTGGCTAAATATAAGTTGAGGACCTCGACTGTATCTTTTACCTATGCTGGATTCCAACTGCCTTATATAGTGTATGCTCAAAAATGACTGTTGAATGAATAAAGTAGAAATGAACTCTAACATAATGAATGTGACATTTGAGAAGTTGTCACCAAATCTAACTAAGGAACCTGGAATGGGACCATAGAATTCATGAGGTTTAAAACCTCAAGACCCATCTGCAGTGAGGTTTGAAGAAGTAAGTTATTCTGATTTATTTCATTTTAAAAACAGCAGAATAGAACCACAGAATTCACTTTAAAAATTACATACACAGTACTTAGCCACTGAAGAACAAATTTTTAAATATAAAAAGCAAAAGGGAAGAAAAATAACTTGTAATTCCAGATGTACAAATGATCTCTGTTAACATTTTGATCTATATTCAGCTAGATATTTTTTAAATTTTACCCTTCAAAAAATACGTGCTCATGTAAATGTTTATTTATTTTTTATTTACTTTTGAGACAGAGTCTCACTTTTTCACCCAGTCTGGAGTGCAGTGGTGCGATCACAGTTCACTGCAATCTCAACCTCCTAGCCTCAAGAAATCCTTCCACCTCATCCTCCCAAGTAGTGGAACCACAGGCGTGAGCCACCACAGCTGACTAATCTTATTTTTATTTTTTTTTGTATCTTTTTCCTTATGTTGGCCTGGCTGGTCTCAAACTTCTGGGCTCAAGCAATCCTCCCACCTTGCACTCCCAAAGTGCTGGGATTAGAGGTGTGAGACACGCGCTAGTTGTAAATATGTATTTAAGATGGCATCACCTCATATACACTTTTAAAATCTTACCTTTTCACTTATAATGTGTATCTGTCCATGTCAATGAAAAACATAGCTACAACATCCCTTTAATGTTGGTGTAGGATTAAAGCAGTTGAGGGTCATGGTGAGTTTAACCAGTCCATTCTTTACTATTATACACTTAGGTTGTTTATGGTGTTTCACTGTTTCAAACAATTTTTCAACAAACATCTTCGTACTTACATTTTTAAGCACTTATCCTATGATATGCTGAGTATACATTTCTAAGGCTAAAATTACCTGGTCAAAAGATACAAGTTTAATTTAAAGTTTGTTACATATTGCCAAGTTGCTCCCTAGTAAGTTGTACCAATTTACACACTCACTAGCGTGTACAAGAGTATCTTCCCCACACCCTCACCAACATGGGTATGTTCATTCTACTTACTCTTTCTCAGTCTGATTTGGTTTCTCAGGTTTTCTCAAAATTTGTATCTCATTAATTGCTAGTTAGGCTAAACATTTTCATATCTTTGTTGCTCCTTTTATACTTCTTTTTGAGTTGTTTGTTCATATTCCAAAGTTTCATATATTTGAAAAAGTTATATTGATAAATATAGAGAGAGATTACCAGTTGCCTACAAACACCTTCTCCTCATCTTTTTTTAGCAAGGGAACATTGCTGCCTTAATATATTTTTGAGCCTCCTTTGCATCTGGGTGTGACCAGGTGACCAGTGGGCTGATGAATGCAAGTGTTGTTGTGAGACCTGGGGTAAAGCTCCTTAAAAGTAAGGGCTGAGCCCTTCTTTTCCTTTTCTGCTGTCTAGAAGGAAATAGCTAGAGCCTTGGCAGCCATTTTGGACCATTTCCATCATAAGGATGAAAGCCAAACTTGGCAGAGGGAACAGAAAGGAGGACCCTAGAGCCCTGATGGCATCATGAGGCTGTCACACCAGCCCTAGGCTGTCTACCTCTGGACTTCTCTTTTTTTGAGAGGATAAATAAGTTCCTATAGTCAGGCTTTTGGTAAGAACAACCCTAACCCTAAGAGAAATTCCTAACTCATACACCAACCCAAGGTTATATGCATATACTATACATATACTGTTTACTTGTATATATACATTAATACTTACCTGTATTTTCTTCTAAGTATTTTATCTAATACTTTATTTCTTTGTACAGATATATGACTGAAAAGATATATAACCAAGATTTAACAGTGTATATTAAATAATAGTATTTTGGTAGACTTTTTCAAAATGAAGATTGCTAAACCCACTGGTAGATAAAATTATTATACTGAATTTTAAGAAAGGATCTCATTACAGAGTTTTACTCTATTAGGCATTTTTTGAAGTTAGGCCAATGAACTTGACATGGAATTCTTTTATAATACAGATCTTGAGAAATAGGATTAATATCAATTTCCTTGCCTAATTGTGAGCTTTTATCCTGAGAAGTTAATTTTCAGAGGATATGACTATAAAATGTGAGACTCTACATCTAGTTGGGAATTTTCTGATAAAGGTAATTGGATACGTGTCTAAACTTGTGCAATAAAGGGCTATGGTAAAACAAAATTTTACTATAGTTTCATTAGTCAGAATTTCAATATTATTGGTTGTATTTATTTATTTATTTGTTTTTGATGAAAGGGGTCTCACTGTGAGGCCCAGACTGGCGTGGAACTCCTGGGCTTAAGCAATCCTCCCATCTCATATTCCTAAGTAGCTGGGACCATAGGTACACACCACCATCCCCGACTTTGGTTTTAAAAAGACGTTTTGACTTTAGGTGTAAAATGTTTTCTGAAACATAACACGTATTTCTCCTGCTTCTATAAAAGCTAGTCAGATATTGGTGTTCAATTTAATGTAACTAGTATTTCCTTAACTACAATGTATTAAATACCTGCTATGTATTAATATTTAGTTTCAAAATGACCTATGAGACAGGCAATATAATTCCTATTTTAGAGAGGAGGACATTGAAGCTCAGAGGTGTTCATTTACTTGTCCAAGGCTACTCATAGGCTGATTGGAAAAGAAAAAAAAAGCCTCTGAAAGCTGTTGACTCCAAAGCCTGAACTCCTAGCTACTCATTTTAGGTCCTGGGTTGGGCCTGCAGGAGATAAGAGATGAGTAAGACACAGTTTTCCACAGGCAATGTTAAAGAAAAATTAGAACTTACCTGCCTCACACAGGTTCATTATGTTAATACGAGTGGGCAGAGAACTGCCTTTTGAATTTGCTGCAGACACAGCCACAGCCCAATTTCCGGTTCTAGGAATGACTGTGGTCCAGGAGGTGTGTCCTGTGATGTTCTGTGTCATGGCTTTCCCTCCTGTCAGCTCCTGCAAGGTCACCTGATAGTGGAGAATTTTTCCTCTTGCCTCTGAGACACTCAGATTCTGCAACAAGACACATTTATTCACTATTTACTCCCAGACAAGATCACTGATGCTCTGTGCCTGGACCTCATGGGTACAGATGTACTAGGCAGCTACAGCTGAGTGACCTTTTTGTTCATATCATCTCATGTTCCCTGCTACACACTTTTATGCAATACCCACCTTCCCCTCCCTGCCATTTAGGAAATAAAAAATCAGTTAACGTTTTTAAAAGATAATTCTTAAGAACGCATTGATTTTCTTTTTTGCTTTAAAATGAAACTTACTAATAGTAGACAACTTGGTCACATCCAATAGAACAAGTATAGAATCTCAACTCAGAAGATCTGGATTTGAGTTCCAGCTCTACTGTTTACACAGCCCAAGGGCAAGGCACTCAGCCCCTCTGAGTCTCCATTTCTAAATTTGTAAATCACACACACACATATAACCTTTTCTACAGAAGGTGCACTGCTGCTCAAGACATCAAACAGAAGATTTTCAAGAGCTAAACTAGTAAAATCTTCATTTAGTGAATTGAATTAGCCATCTGTGCTAGGAAACTAAGACACTGTTCATAAACGTGTAACTAACAACTTTTGGAACTGCAAAAATTCCAATTGAGATCATTTGGGAGCAATCCCAGAAAGTAAGCAGAGAACTAATTATTTGTATTATAACCCTGTTTTGACAAGGACCATGGGAAACAGAAGCATAGAATATGGAGAGTTGTCAAGTCTAGCATTGGCGGTGCCCATCCATGCCTCATGCAAGGTGAGGAAGGCTTGCTCACCAGATTCAAGTGCTACAGTTTTCTTGGCAAGGCTGTCCCTTCCATGGGTGGGGGGCCTCCGGCTGTGTTTGCTGAAAGACACACTGTAGTCAGCAAATGCCCCTTGCCTGGGTTCCCTGCTCACCAAGCACTCTTCTAATAATTTGGTTTCCTCTGTCGATTATCTGTCAGGAAAGGCTGGGCTAACATGAACATCTGGTTCACTTATAATTTTTATTTTTCACTTTAAGTGAATAAATTGGCCTTCTGATTATAATTTGGCTTCTGAAACAATTAGCATACTGGGAGAGAATGTTCCTATCTGCTGACTCAAGCCTTCTGGTTGGCCCCACAGCTGCATTTCTTGCTGAAATTAATCCATGAGCATCTAGTTTTTATATCTCCATTTCTGGAAGCTTGATTAATGCAGGTCCATTCTGGTGACCCTTCTGGATCCAAAAGGCCCAAAACTAGATCTTAAACCATAGTCAGTGCACGAGGTGGATGTCATGTTGCTGTGGGCCCTTTTGTGTGGACATTCTGCCTTTCCCTAAAGTCAGCATTTCAAATGTCTGTCGCAGCCGATCTCATAGGCCTGTTGTATGGATTAGAATAAGCAAGTGCTTTTTAGAGTAGGATGTTCTAAACTGTTATTATTAAATATGCCCTTTGTCAGAGGAGAAAAACAATAAAGCAGACACTGGCAAGGGAAGACCATCCCCTCAGCTATCTCTCACTCCGTTGTTCCCTATGTGTCTCTTCTGCAAGTCCAGAGATAGGACTGTTACCTCCACTCACACCCCAAGTTTTCCAACCCTAAGGTACTTCCCAAGAGTTAACTGAGCTCACAAAACTCTTATTTCTGGCCAGGGACCCAAGAGGCTTCAGTCCAACGCTAACATTGCAAACCAGTCTTATTATCTCCCTCCCACTGTCCTTCATAGACATCCCAGAAATCTCATTTGATATAATAGTAAAGTGCTAAAGGAAGGGGTGAAATGTTATCTTGGATCCAATGGCTGTGCATAGTGACTGCTGTGAAAATCTAGCTGATCACAGCAGTCTAGTAAATAGGGGTGTGGCTCTGACGGATCATAAAGATTTCCAGAGGGCATGGACCCAGACTCTTACATTTTCCCCTTCGCATCCCATATTTTAGAGTTGAAAATATCAATGAAAAGGTGGGAGTGGGATGGAAGTAGGTGGACAAGTAAATATGGTATCCCATGGGTTAGGCTGATATAAGATGTCAAACTCAATTTTTGGAATAACGATTATCCTTTCTTAGGTAATTGGTCTCCTTAATCAAATTGAAAAACAAGCCTAACTCGTCTGACAGGGTCGATGGAACAAAAACTTCAATGAGCTAATAGGAAAACAGATATTTAGCCACTTAGTCTCCTGAAGCAACTGAAAACAGTATAATCAGTTCAGGGTTTTTTTTTTTTTAATTTTTTAAGGCAACATAAAGTTTGCAAATGGTGTATGTAGTCCATTACTCCTGGATTATGCCTTGTCCTGATGGAAGGGAATATCATCAAGGAACCACCAAACTGGAAGTGAATCTACAGATTAACAGTTAATTCAATGATTCATTTTATAAGTGGGAAAACAGGGGCCCAGGGACATGACGTGACTTGCTTAAGGCCATTCAATGGACAGATGAAGAAGGTAGGCGCAGAGCCCAGAGCTCTCGACTTCTAGGCCAATGTTCCCTCTGTTATGACGTGCTGCTCCCTATATAGACAAGCCTGAGACAATGAACTGGTAGGTGTGGGCAGCCGTGTTTCATAGTTGAAATCCTCAGTCACCCTTCTAGCCCAAAATTGCAAAGCAACTTCTCTAATTGTGAGGTTTGGTACATTCTCACATGCAGCACGAACAGGCAGCATGAGTTCATCAGTTTGGGGAGGGTGGAGACCGAGAATCCCTTTTTTTCCAGAGTTAGCAGGTTCTGAGTCACAGGAGACAAGCTGTGAGCTCAGAAGGACTGCAAACCGGAGGAGCCCGCCGACTCTTCCCAGATCAACCTATTTGTATGCTGGTGCTGCTGGTTTGGGTGAATGATAAAGGAAAGACCAACATTTATTGGGCTATACCATGAGCCAGGAGTTTTATGTCTAATGTCCCATTTAGCCCTTGTAACTCTCCATTCTGATTTTGAGGATGTTGAAGCTTGGGGACATTAAGGAACGGTTTCAAATAGTCCCCACAGAAAAGTAATGTGAGATTTTTGAGTGCCCTCTGGTGGATGTGAGAGCGGTGCGCAGTATCCAGAATGTGTCTTGCATCCCTGGGAGTGTCTCCAAGACCTGCCACCTCTTTTTCCTTCTCTGACAGTGCTAAGAATGGGTCTCAGGCCAGTGTTCCTACTGTCATTGTCACCTTCTCCTATTGGTAAGAATATGCTATAAAGGAACCACAGTCCCATTGCCTCTCTCCTTCCATTTTCTTTCTGCTCTGACCTGTGGGAAATGATTTAAATTTATTATGGAAAGCCTTTCTGACTTGGCTTTGTCTGAGAACTGAAGAGTGAACAGCTCTCTCAGTAAACCTACTGTAAGAGTTCTGCTGCCTGAAAAAGCTTTCAGCATTAAAAATGTGGTAAATGTAATCCATGACAGGACAAAATCTGACACATTTCAGAATGCAATGCATCTGTTTTTATTTTTAATTAAAGATCTATTGGAGGAGGGGTGTCTCCATGAATTGATAAATCATGTCTTCTTAAGATTTAAAAAACTTACTGAACTTCTCATAAAGTAATGCTCTACTTCTGAACTTCCCCTGATGCAAATAATAAAGAAAAAATCTGTTAGCGCTTAGCCTGTATCAAAGAAGAGGGTCTATAATCTAGACCTTAGAAAGCTGGAGGAATCTGAACACTATTAATCACAGCTTTTATTTCTTTTGATTTTGGCTTTGGAATACTGCTGACTTTGATTTTTTTCTTATTAGAGCAGATCCTTTGCTTCCTTGCTCTACCACATAGCAGCTGTATGACCTTGGGCAAATTATTTTCCCTTTTTGAGCCTCAGTGCCCTTATTTATAAAATAAGGATACTGTCATGTACAGTGTAGGCTTATTGGAGCATTCAATGAGTTAAGGGAGGTAAACTGTTTTAAAGAGTGCTTGGCACATGTTAAGACTCTTGGTGACTTCCCTTCTCTCAGTTACTCTAAAGTAATATAAAAATATCATGATTGTCAGTTTTGCTAATACACTTACATGACTCTTCTACCAGTCTATGAAGAGCTAGGTCATCTTGACTCTTGGCTTACTCTTCTGTTCTATATGGAAGTCTCACCAATGCCATTCAGTTGGTTACAAAATACATGTAATTTGTAAGTTTTTGTGAGCATCTTGATTTTAAAACTCATGACTGCCTTTTGCAACCCCAGTCCAAATGAAGTGATTCAAAAGACAACCCTTGGCCGTGCGCGGTGGCTCACACCTGTAATCCCAGCACTTTGGGAGGCTGAGGTGGGCAAATCACTTGAAGTCAAGAGTTTGAGACCAGCTCAGCCAACATGGTGAAACCACTTTCTACTAAAAATACAAAAATTAGCTGGGCATAATGGTGCATGCCTGTAATCACAGCTACTTGAGAGGCTGAGGTGGGAGAATTGCTTGAACCCAGGAGGCAGAGGTTGCAGTGAGCTAATATCGCACCACTGCACTCCAACCTGGGTGACAGAGTGAGAACCTGTCGAAAAAAAAAAAAAAAAAAAAAAAAAAATAGACAACCCTCACCTGGACATTTTAGAAAACACTCCATTGAAACTATCTAAGGATCTATTTTCCCACTAGCACCTTCAATGTCATGCACAATGTTTGCCTCATAACAATAACTTAACACTTTTCACAACGATTTCATTAATCTTCACAACTTCATGTGATCTGCACTTTACTCATGAATAAAATAAGGAACAGAGAGTTTAAGCACTTTGCCCAAGAACATCCAGCCAATAAGTAGTGAAGCTGGAACTCAAACCCAGGTGGCACAGCTCTACCAAGAGGTGAACTCTTAACTGCTGGACCATGCTAGCACTTCCTAGATACTCCCCAGTGTTCTGCTATACTGAACTGACTTAACTGATAGTCAAACCTCTTGGTGGTGACCGTGGCATAATGATTTCTATCTTGTTTGGCAGCTAGAAAAACAGAAAAATAAGAGAAACTTTCATGAAAGCAAAACTTTAAAATGCCCTTTCCATCTCCTCTTTCTATCTTCTGTTAATTCTTGGCTACCTACTCTCTTATTTTTTTGCACTGGCCACATTCTGCTATCCAATCAAAATTCCCTACTTTCAGCTGGCATAACATGTGTGACTAGTAAGCAAGGAAAAGCAGCCCTTTCTTTCCAAAAATATCTTTGGAAATGCTGTGCCTGCCTGTGATGGGCCAGGATTGGGAAGGGGGAGATAGAGTTGAATATTGCAACGAAACAATCTAAATTGTGCCATCTGCTGCTTTTGTATTTAAATATTGATTCTGAGATCGGATAGCTCCTATAATTATATAAATGCCCCAAGGTCCTGGCAGCCAATCCTCACTAGGGATTTACAATAGACCTTTGTCCTACATCAATATAAATCAGGTCCCAAATAATACTTTCTACTTTTAACAAGCTTTTTCATATGAGGAGGCCAAAGAATTCATCACTTCAGTGCAGTGTGATATAGGTTGGAATATTCTGCATATGAGAGAGAGATACAAGGAGAAAGAGACAAAGTGAATGTACTGAATAAGCTGTTCCTTTCACAACAGTCTCTCTCAGGCTGTGCCGTAAATTGGTATACGGGGCTTGCTATCTTCTCGTTCTTTCCATCTTCTGTGGTTTGAGGGTAGCTGTTTGTCAAAATGAATTACTTCGTATAACAAATAAAAAACACTAAATCTTTTCCCCACTTTTGGAACTAAGAGTTTTCTTTCTTTTTTTCTTTTTGAAATGGAGTCTCACACTGTCGTCCAGGCTGGAGTGCAGTGGCGTGATCTCGGCTCACTGCAACTCTGCTTCCTGGGTTCAAGTGATTCTCCTGCCTCAGCCTCTTGAGTAGCTGGAATTACAGCCGTATGCCACCATGCCTGGCTAACATTTTTGTATTTTTAGTAGAGACAGGGTTTGGCTGCTCTTGAACTCCTGACCTCAGGTGATCCTCCCACCTCGGCCTCCCAAAGTGCTTAGATTACAGGCATGAGCCACCATGCCCAGTCCGAATTTTCTTAACTCTCTCTGTATTGCTCTGAAAACACAGAAGCTGTGCTGTTGAATATGGGAGGGAGCCCCTAGCTGTAGGAAGTCATGGAGCCCTTGAAACATGGCTAGTCCGAGCCAAGATGTGCTACTGTCTGGAGGGTGAAGTCTTAACCAATGTGCCCATACTGGCACTTAGTAGACTCACCAGTTTTTGAAAACTTGGTAGGATAAAAAGGTTATAAAATATCCAAATAATTTTAAAAATTGATTACATGGTAAAATGACAATGTTCTGGATCTACTGGGTTAGATAAAATGTATTATTAGGCCGAGAGCCGTTGCTCATGCCTGTAATCCCAGCACTTTGGGAGGCTGAGGCAGGAGGATCACTTGAGATCAGGAGTTTGAGACCAGTCTGGCCAACATGGCAAAATCTTGTCTCTACTAAAAATACAAAAATTAGCCAGGCATGGTGGCACACACCTGTAATCTGACCTACCTGGGAGGCTGAGGCATGAGAATCACTTGAACTTAGGAGGCGGAGGTTGCAGTGAGCCAAGATCACGCCACTGCACTCCAGCCTGGGCCACAGAGGGAGACTCTATCTCAAAAAAGAAAAAAAATTATTAAAATTAATTTCACCTGTTTCTTTTTACATTTTAAAATTTGGCTACATAACAATTTTTAATCATGCATGTGGCTCCCATTTGTGGCTTGCTTATATTTCCGTGGAACAGTGCTTCACTAAAGTAATCCTTTCCATGCCAAATCCATAGAGGTGTCCCTCTCTGCTTGCCCACCACTCCCCTGCTCCACTAGGCGAGCTCAACCATCATCCTTCCACCTGAACCTGGAACTGCTCCCTAACACCCAAATGTCCTCAGCATCCTGCTCCTACTCCTGTCCTCTTGCTGGACTGTGAGCTCCAGGACATGAGGACTGGATTTGTCTTGTTCACTTTCATATCCCAGCTATGCAGTACAGTGTCTAATACTAAAGAGGAGCTTTCATATGTTTGTTTGAGCAAATGAATGAGCTTAACATGAATATTTCTCTTCCAGACTCATGGCCTCAAACAAATTTCAAAAGTTTGTGATTTGCTATGATCAAGATAATGAGAGGATGCTAAAGAAATTAAGAGAGGAAACTAGAACGGTTGATGTGGCTTTACCTGGTTCTCATATCTTTTTCATATATATATGAAAGGTGGTTTTCTTCTTAAAAGATACATGCTGTTTTAACTAGAAAAGAAGTATATTGGAATCATGGATTGAGATACTTAATTAAGGAAAGAATACAATATAAAACAGTACAGAAGGAGAAGAGAAAGGAAGTTTGAGGGAGAGGATTGCTAAAAGCCCCCTTTTGTAAAGGGGCCTAATCCAACCCTGGGGCTATTCGTAATCAAGCAACATTTTTTACTTTTATTGCATTTGTGGTTTTAACAATACCCAGGTGTTTTTCTTTCATTTCATAGATTAGGCTGTACTTTTTGGCTTCAACATTGAAAGTATTTTTCCTCTTAAAAATAGCTATGGGCCAGGTGTGGTAGCTCACACCTGTAGTCCCAGCATTTTGGGAGGTTGAGGTGGGCAGATCACTTGAACCCAGGAGTCTGTGACCAGCCTGGGCAACATGGTGAAACCCTGTCTCTGTGACAAAAATTAGCTGGGCGTGGTGATGGATGCCTGTAGTCTCAGCTACTTGGGAGGCTGAGGTGGGAGGATCACTTGAGCACAGGAGGTGAAGGCTGCAGTGAGCTGAGATTGTGCCACCACACTTCAGCCTGGGGGACAGAATGAGACCCTGTCTCTGTGACAAACAAAAATTAGCTGGGCGTGGTGATGGATGCCTGTAGTCTCAGCTACTTGGGAGGCTGAGGTGGGAGGATCACTTGAGCACAGGAGGTGAAGGCTGCAGTGAGCTGAGATTGTGCCACCACACTTCAGCCTGGGGGACAGAATGAGACCCTGTCTCTGTGACAAACAAAAATTAGCTGGGCGTGGTGATGGATGCCTGTAGTCTCAGCTACTTGGGAGGCTGAGGTGGGAGGATCACTTGAGCATAGGAGGTGAAGGCTGCAGTGAGCTGAGATTGTGCCACCACACTTCAGCCTGGGGGACAGAATGACACCCTGTCTCAAAAAAAAAAAAAAAAGGTGTGATTTTAAAAAGTAGTACAAGATATTTTTGAGGAAATGGTACTTTCAAGAGAAACTAAGTCATGGGAAAAGGAGTGACAAGCCATAACAAAGCAAAGGTCTCCTTCACCAACATCCTCACATCCTCACACACTGACACATGCACCCATTCATACATACACACACACTCACATACCTACATATTCACACCCTACTCACATCCCCACACTCCCACGCCTTCCACACACTCACATCCTTACACTCACATACATTCACACCCACACTCACACACATACTCCCACCCCAACCCCCAGGGGCTGCACCCAATCAGCACGGAGTTGTTCTCCTCTATTGTAAACATCCTACAAAAGTGAAAGGTCATCTCACATTTCCCCATATGCAAGAGAAAAGTGCTCTCACTTTATTCACAGGCAAATGGGGTTTTACTTGGTGCTTCCTTTGATGCCAAGGCATGAGATTTCCTTCTTTGCAGTGGTGGGCGTTTCTTGCATTTGGTTTCCCAGAGTTGCTCAAAGGAAAAAAACAAAAACAAAAAAAAACAAAAAAAACCCAAAAAACAAAAAACCCCACCACACACGCCCTTGCTCCCTTTCCCCAGTGAGGTATGACTTGGGCCCTGTCACAAAGCGATCTGGCTGCAGAGTTTTCCTTCTAGCCTGACACTTAGATAACTCCCTTGTACCACAGCATTCCCTTGAATTCCCAAGCCTGCCTGAGAGTGGCATGAGGAATCCCTATTAGAGGCTGGGATAAGAGTGGACTCAAATCACCTGAAATCCCCTCACTGGAAAATCACCTCTTGAAACCTCAGTTTCCATGTTTTAAACTGTGGGGTGAGACTACATGACAGTTAAATCCCTTTGGCTCTAGAGGTCTATAACTCTGTGGTTCTGTGGTCCAAAGCAGGACTGCTCAGTAACTCTGGTCAGTGTTTCCATTCCCACCCTCAGTTGAGTGGCCTGTTTGGGGCCATTAAAGAAGCCCAGGTTTGACAGAAAAGGACTTAATCCTGTGACAATATAGGACTGCATCCAACTTTCCTTGGGGAGCCTCTTAGACTAGAGAGTCACTGAAGGTTTTGAGGTTGGCTTTTGATGACTACCATCTGACATCAAGTTATAGAAGCTTCTAGTGCTTACCTTTTTGCTTTCTCTTTCTTTCCTTCCTTTCTTTTCTTTCTTTCTTTCTTTCTTTCTTTCTTTCTTTCTTTCTTTCTTTCTTTCTTTCTCTTTCTTTTTTCTTTCCTTCTTTCTTCTTTCTCTTTCTCTATTTTCTCTTTCTCCTTCCTTCCCTCCTTCCCTCCCTCTCTTCCATCCTTCCTTCCTTCCTTCCTTCCCTTCCTTCTTTGTCTTGCTCTGTCACCCAGGCTGGAGTACTATGGCACGATCTCAGCTCACTGCAACCTCTGCCTCCCGGGTTCAAGGGATTCTCCTGCTTCAGTCTCCCAAGTAGCTGAGATTACAGGTGGGCATCACCACACCCAGCTGATTTTTTTGTATTTTGGTAGAGACAGGGTTTCACCATGTCTGCCAGGATGGTCTCAAACTCCTGGACTTCAGTGATCTGCCCACCTCGACCTCCCCAGGTGCTGGGATTAGGGATTATGGGATTATTACTGGCGTAAGCCACTGTGCCTTGCCCTTTTTGGTTTCTTCTAAGCCAGTTCCAACCCCAAGCATCCTTCTTGGGCCCACAATTCTGGCTACACAAAAGGAAACATTTTCTAAACAATAAGAGATGTTCAACCATGGCATGGGCAGACTACAAAGTGAGATTCTCCCTGTCCCAGAATATCCCCACTGAGACATCTGTCTGTCCTGGCAGGAGTAGGAGCCATGTTTATAATGAAAGGAAGGCTGAACTAGAAGAGCTTTGAAGTCCCTCCAAATTCCAAGACCTCATTATAGAACCTAAGCCTTGTGAAGATAGAAATAAAATCAGGGCAGCAGAGAAGAAATCACATACTCACATTTACCAAGCATCACTCATGGCCAACACATACTTATTTTGACTTCACTCTGGTGCTGGTTTCAGAGAACCAAGATGATGTCCACTATAAACTCTGTTTGTTACAGTGAAAAGCACGCAGGCATGGAGCTTTCACTGTCAGGATAAACACGCATCATGCAGCACTGCTGAATTTTACACTGGTGGCCCTTGTGATTTTTACATTTGTGTCCTCTCATTTGCTGATCCCCACAATGGTCTTGTCAGCTTTGCAGATACCTGTATCATTACCCTCATTCTACTGAGAGAAACCCTTGAGTTGAGAGGCGTGGAATAGATTAACACGTAGCATATCTTTCCAGATCACTGTTGAGGACATTTTTGGAGGAGAAACCTTTACATGAGAGGAGGAATTTTGGTTTTAACCAGTCACTTGCTCGTGAAAAGGAAATAATTAGGCTGGGTTCTTCTATAATATTCACAAATTATGGCTGTTCTAAATGTCCTGCTTTGAGAATTGTCTTGCTATTGAAAGTAGATTCATTTTAAAATAAATTTTGAGCTGCAGTGTTAGTTTCAAAGTGAAGAGCCTGATCATGATTCACCAGGCTATTTATAGTAGTCTCTTCTTATACCAGACGTTTTATGTGTGTGTGAGAGAGACAGGGAGGAGAAAGAAGAAGAAATCACTCATTTCTTAAAACTGAAGAAGTGTGCAATGATCAAAACCCATCATGTGAACCCCATCAGAGGACTTTATAATTGTTATTCTTACTCTTCTGGTTTTGTGCTCATTCAGATTCATAATTCCAAAACTTTCTATCCTCAACTGGAAGAGGTGTAGTGAAGAGGATGTGAGTCCTGAGAAATAAAGAGTGCAGTTCACCAGGAAACCTCTTATGAGCATGCCAATCAGTAGCTCAATTCGAATCGCACAGCATTTTCCTTCAACAAAGATGAGTCACGATGCAGCAGTTCTGGATAAGGTTTCAGTCTCAGGTCTGTGCTCAGTAGCTGGGTGACTTTGGGCAAGAACTTCCTCTCTTTCCTCTCTCTGATACTCGTTTTTTCATTCACTCATTCATTCGTTTTCTCATTCACTGGTAAGTGGGCGTACCAGTACTTACCTCAGGGGATTTTTGTGAGGATTAAATAAAATGGTAATGCCAGCTTTCAGTGCTTTGTGAAACTTTCGCATTCTATGATAATGTCAGGCTTCACTGTTTTCTGGAAAGTTGTCTAATTTACTACTGTTTTATTACCATTCCTGAGGAAGGGCTGCTTTCTATTCCTGTTTGTATGATTTTCTTTTTTTTTTTTTTTTGAAACGTAGTCTCACTCTGTCACCCAAGCTCGAGTGCAGTGGCATGATCTTGGCTCACTGCAACCCCTGCCTCCCGGGTTCAAGTGATTCTCGTGCCTCAGCCTCCCCAGTAGCTGGGATTACAGGCGCATGCCACCATGCCCGGCTAATTTTTGTATTTTCAGTAGAGACGGGGTTTCACCATGCTGGCCAGGCTGGTCTCTAACCCCTGACCTCAAGTGATCCGCCTGCCTTGGCCTCCCAAAGTGCTGGGATTACAGGCGTGAGCCACTGCACCTGGCCTGTTTGTATTATTTTCTACCACTATTACTATTCCTAAAGTAGAGCAGCTTTCTTTCCTCCTTCTCCCTCTTCAATGACTTAACAAACATTATTAAATATCCACATCCACAGCTTTTTCATCTTTTGTTTCCCAAAGAGTGAATAAGTGAAGTGACATGGTTACTGCTGGGCATATTTATGTAGGAGAGGTGGGGGTGGGCAGAAAGGGGACAACAGTCAGAAGAGATGAAGTAGTTGGGGTCAGAGGGTGGAAATGCCAGGGATGGAAAAAGACCTTGATCTTATAGGAAGTGGGATTGAAACGATGTGACTGTGTGGAAGAAGGAACTCAGCTCTCACCCCTATCCACCAAAGGCACATGACACTGTGGTGTGTCATGAATGTGAGAAAATGAGCTCTAGCAAAATCATTGAAGCTTCATATAAAAGCCACTATGCAAATAGGTCTTTTTCTGCCTTCAGTTTTATTCCCTTGAGTTTTAAGTTGACGCTTAAAACTCACCTTCCAGAAAAGAGAAATCTGTTGTCTACTGTAGTCAATGTGCCGTTTCATGTACCAGACATCTAACATCCCAGTAGGCTCTGTTTCAAAGGAGAAAAAAAGACATATTTTCATATATTTACTACTTTGAAAGTTAACTGGTCATTCAGTAAACAATTCTGGAAGAGTAGAATTAGAGGATAACTTCAATTATTTGTGTGTGTCCCAGTATTTTTTCTTTTTCTTGTTTAACAATGAACATATATATCTTTGGCCAAAAAGTCAGAAAAACAAGGTTACCTTAAAAACAAATTTAAAAAAAAATGATGAGGAATTTGTTTCTTAACTTACTTTTTTTTTTTTTTTTTTTTTTTTTTTTTTTTTTTTTGAGACAGGATCTTGCTCTGTTGCCTCGGCTGGAATGCAGTGATGCAGTGGCACGATCTCAGCTCACTGCAACCTCCACCTCCCAGGCTCAAGCAATCCTCCTGCCTCAGCCTCCCACATAGCTGGGACTACAGGTGCGTACCACCACGCCTGGCTAATTTCTGTATTTTTTATACAGACAGGCTTTCATCATGTTGCCCCGGCTGGTCTTGAACTCCTGAGCTCAAGAGATCCACCCACCTTGGCCTCCCAAAGTGCCGGGATTACATAGGCATGAGCCACTGCACCCGGCCTTAACTTACTCTTAAAACATGTGTTATTAAAATAACCCAAGGAAAGTACATGTGGCTTTAGCACCATAAGACAGAGCAAAAAAATAAAAATAAAGTATATGTGGTTCTTTTCTTTTCTTTTCTTTTCTTTTTTTTTTTTTTTTACTAGAATGCAGAAAGAATTCTCAACAGAGAAGATACAACTCATATAGAAAAACACTTTTTGGTCTTGTAAAAATACACTAATATAAATGACAAACCTTGTGTTCATCTCCATTCCTAGACTTATCATGGTATAGTACAATTATTTGGTGTGTGATCATTAGACAATGATGTACTTAAAGGGAAGTCCTATCTCATTTAATATGCCACATACCCAGCGCAGCACTTAGAATATAATAGGCTCCTAATAATTGTTAAGTAATGAATGAACAAATCATGTGATATTATCTATTTAATGCCAAAACACAGGCTGAACTGATTAAATAAATAACCACCAATCTGTAAGACAATGGTCAAATATGGCCCAACTTAATTTCAACCAAACATACTTGCAAAGAGACTAAATAATCAACTCCTGTATGTGTAAGTGTGAGTGTGTGTGTGCATGAGTTCATGCTCACGTGAGTGAGTGAAGTCATTTTGTTTCCTCTACCATCAAGTCACTTAGATTTGTTTTGATTTACAGCCAGGAGTGGAACCAGCAGAAACAACTCCTGAAAACAGGCTTCAGCTGCACCAAGCTAATTTCCTCAACAGTGAAACTTAGAGTGTATTTGAGGGGAGGCTGCGCTGGGGTTTTTTCCTAGGTTAGAAAGTTCCATCTAACCAGATGGAAATTTCTAGAAAATTAAGTCCCACCACCTGGATAACAGGAGATAAGAGAAGAGCAAAAGAGAAAGAAAGGGAGCGTAAGTACCCACATGTAGAGGGCAGGTGCTGTGTGGGCCCATCCACAGCTCCATCTCCCCTCCTCCTGCAGTAGTCAGTGTGAGCTTCAGAGCCAGGTCTGCGGGGTAAGCCCAGCTCTGTGACTTTGAACAAATGCTAACCACATCCTTCGGCTAGCTCCCTCATCTGTCAGATGAGGGTGATAATTCCACATATCACACAGGGTGGAGTGGGAATTTCAGTGGAGCGTGCTGACACATGGTGAGTGCTCAGCAAGTGTAGCTCTTGCTGTTTCCCGCATTTGAAAACTGAAGTGCTGAAAGGTTAAGGAACTTGCTTAAGGTCCCAGAACTAATCATCAGAGATGCCAGGCTTTGAACACAAATCCGTTTTATCCCAGAGCCCATAGCCTTGGCTCTGCACCGTGCAGGTGCCTGGCTCTGAGAAAGCTAATGGTTTCTCTGCGATACTTCCATCCCCCATCAGTTGGGCCTTCTTTTTGTTCTATCCTCTCCTTCATTACTTCCTTTTCCTGCCTTTCTTGCTCTACTTTCTTTTTTGTTTTTTTCTAAACATTCACTTCTTTTCTTTTCTCTCCTTTGCAGTAGTATTTACCTTTGCAGTGAGGACTTAGAGGTAAGCAACACTTATGTAAAACATTTTGAAAATGCTCTTAATTCTCCAGGAATATGAAGAGTGGCCCAGGAATCAAACCTGGGACTTCTATCTGCTAGCTTAGATGCAAAAAGAAAAAAAGCACAGGCAACAAAGGAAAGGGGATATGACGTTCACTAACCACCTACTGTCAGGTGGTGTCCGGACACTATATACATCATCTCGTTTAACCCTCACACAACGCAAGGGTGCATATGATTACATCTGCTTTACAGCTGAGGACAAGGAGGCTGGCAAAAGTTAAATGATTTACAAAAGACCTGGGTCTGGTAAATGGCAAAGCTGAGGACTGGACCCAGGTCTTGCTTTCCCCGAAGACCCTGCTTTTCCCATTACAGTTCACTACATTGACCAAGACCTGACTACTCCACAAACTAGATAATCCAGACATTTGTAAAATCAGGGTTTGGAAACCCGGGTGTGCTCAGTGTCAAAGCCAGTTGACTTGTACCACAGCAGTACATGTCTTCAGTTAATTACATATTGGTAAGAAATCTAAAGGGGACACTCACTGACTCATTAAAAATCCACAACCTAACAGATTATTACAGAGCTAAGAATCAAATTCTAGAATTATATTCTTTTCACAAGGTAAATTGCAAGTAAACTGAAATGTTAATGGTGCCTACCTGCAATGTATACCTTCATGGGAGAGAAATCATTAGTTGAATCTGCATGAGTCTCTAAAAAGTGTAACATTTCATGACCAGGGGTGTAAAATCACTGCTGCTTAAAGCAACACAAGGGCTAATAGGGAGGAGAATCTTTGACATTCAACTGTCACAGAGTCACTAAAAGTTCTAACCTCAATGTTATCTAGCCAAATACAGATAAAACTATTATAGGCACATGAGAAAAAAAAAGCCAAAGGCCAGTATGTTCAAGTGATTTCAAAAGAAATGGGTACAAATGACTAAGCATACAAATATGAGAAATGGAAGTCAGATGAAAATACTTTGTCTGTAAAGGAAAAAACTGTAGGGTTAAAGTGGAAGAAGCCACCAATATGAAAAAGAGATGACCTTGCCTCAGACTTCACCGAGCAAAAGGAAGAAATCAGATGGAAATTCCCTTCTTTTTCCACCATGAAAACGTTCAAACTCCCCCAACCAATTCCCTAACACAGCACTGTTAATGATGTCCCAGTGGATGAATCATCCCTACTTCCATCACGGTCCAACTCTTTAGCTAGAGTTCTGGACCCCGCTCCCTCTTGCTTTATCAAAGACATCTCTCCAGTCATTATCCCCACCTTCCCTGTGTCATTAATTTCTCCTTCTCTGCTGGACTCTTTTCATCCCCTTGCAGATACACTGTATTATCTCAGATCCTAAAAACAAAAACAACAAAAGATTGATATCTCTGCTCTTCTTCATATAACTTCTTGAAAAGAGTTCTGAATTATCATTCCTTCCTTCCAAGATAGGTGCTGAGCTTAGAGGAGAACAAGTGAAGGAGAGAAGGGTTTAGGGACTGTTACTGAATCTTAAACATAACACTTTCCTGTTAGTGAAAGTGTCTGATATAAATCTCTTTAGAAGAGAAAAGAATCATTCTCAAGCCTCAAGCAAAAAGACACAAATATGATGCTTTCGAGTATAGCTAGCTTAGGGGTCAGCAAACTACGGCCCATGGGCCAAATCTGGCCCTCTGCCTGTTTTAATACATCCTGTAAGAAAATGGTTTTGATAATGGTTGAAAAGAAATCAAAAGAAGAATCCGGCCGGGCGCGGTGGCTCATGCCTGTAATCCCAGAACTTTGGGAGGCTGAGGCAGACAGATCCCAAGGTCAGGAGATCGAGACCATCCTGGCTAACACGGTGAAACCCTGTCTCTACTAAAAATACAAAAAATTAGCCGGGCGTGGTGGCGGGGTGCCTGTAGTCCCAGCTACTCGGGAGGCTGAGGTAGGAGAATGGCGTGAACCCGGGAGGCGGAGCTTGCAGTGAGCCGAGATCGCACCACTGCACTCCAGCATGGGTGACAGAGCCAGACTCCGTCTCAAAACAAACAAAAGAAGAATCCTTTTTAGTGACATGTGAAGATTACATAAAATTCCAATTTCAGCATACATAAATAAAGTTTTGTTGGAACACAGCCATGCCTGTTTGTTTAGGTATTGTCAATGGCAGCTTGCATGTGACAATAGCACATTTAGCAGTTGCGACAGATCGTATGATCCGCAAAGCTGAAAATATTACTATCTGGACCTGTAGAGAAAATGTTTGCCAATCCACCAAGCTTGACTGTTATCAAATGTTTGCTATCCAAAATAATCTCTAGTATTTAATTGTTCACACCTATCTTATCTTGGCAATATTTTTAAATTACAAATGAGTGCATGAATTTCCTAGCTTCTCAATGTGGGAAGAGGTGGCTGCAGCTGGTAACTCTTCATTTTCTCCCCCTTTAGGGATTATTCACCCCTCACCCTTGCTGTCACCATGATGGGGGAAGGTTTCTCCTTTACCACTCTGCCCCTCCAAAGTACGAATGAACATGCAACGATTCCTTTGTTAGCTGTAATAGAGTTGAGCAAGATCACAAACTGCAAATAAGACTTTTTAAAATGGCGGATTAACAGACAGAGACATATTGGTAACATAGCTCTAAGGAATAGCTGATTAATCAGTATTTTGGCATCTCTTCCTGGGTGTTCTAAGTGGTGAGAGATCACCTTCCCTCAATACCTGTGCATGTTCTCAGGCATGTCTGGACACCTTGAGCTCAAATTCAAGAATGTTTTCCCACTACAAGGAAAATGTGGCTGCTCTCTTCCCAGTGTCACTATCAGGCCTGCCTTTGATGGATGCTGATTTCAAGACTGTTCTCTTAAACACAGCAAAGTAGTTTCTTTCCTCCTATCCCTTACTTTTCGGTCATTTAAAAAGTGTTTTTCAGTGATAGGAGCTGAATTTAATGACATAGTAAAGGGCCCTATGGAGTAAAGGAAGCCCTAACCCACTGTTCAAATGATATAAACAACTACACCAATCCACCCGGAGATGTTACATTTCTCTCAATTTTGAGAAGCAAAGGCTGCAAAAAGGCTGACTCTGTTGTAGAGTCATTCACAGTTTTAGAGAGTACCTAAAAAAAAAAAAAAAAAAGCTTACTATTAATTTTTTTTAAATGCCAAGTTACATATGAGTACACATTGAAAGGGTTAAAAGGAAGACGTGTTAAAAAAAATTCACACCTTTTACGTTTACATCAGTTGGTGTTTCATAAAGAAACTGATGACAGAAACAGCGGGTAAGGGGTGAAAACCAAGCAGCCTAGAGTAAGAGAAAAAAGACCTACAACAACCCACAGAAAAATCAAACATAGAAAAGGGAGATTCAGAGACAGAAAGGAAGCCAACAGAGCTTGGTAAAGGTGGTGTATCTCAGAGTATGGGTTTCTCTCTTTATGAATACCTTCAGTGACTGAATAAGCCAGCTTCCTAGGTTCAATTCATAATCATCCATGAGTTCATAACCATAATGAGTTGCTATACTCATTGTTATGATGGTGGTTTATTTTATAGGAAATAAGAAAGTTACTGTGCTGCCTTGAAGGAATTTTAATTCAAAAGACAAACACTTTTTAAAAAAGAAAAGAAAAACCTTTTCACACATCTCTAACTAGGTCATTATCATATGTGAGTAAGAATGACAAGAATTCACAAGCCCAGAGTTTCCCTAGTTTATAGTTTAGCTTAATGTGATATAACTTAAATATTTTTCAGACTACTTACTACCTTGAACTTGGATATAAAATATAGCCCATTTTCAGAAGTTTTATCTGTACCACATATATAAACAAAATCTAATTCATGAGATAGTCTTTAAAAAAATTACTTTGACTATATATAATAAAACGATATTATGAGTAAGCTCTGGATTATAAAAGTAACAACCAGAGGGCAAGTGGTTCAACATTAAGAGATTTTATTATAAAATGAGTGGTAATAAATTATCATTTGTTGGATAAATTCACTTTTAGACAATTTTTAAAATATATTCTGTAATCCCAGCACTTTGGGAGGCCGAGGCAGGTGGATCACCTGAGGTCAAGAGTTCGAGACCAGCCTGGCCAACATGGTGAAACCTGTCTCTACTGAAAATAACAAAAATTAGCCGGGCATGGTGGCGCATGCATGTAATCCCTGCTACTTGGGAGGCTGAGGCAGGAGAATCACTGGAACACAGGAGGCAGAGGTTGCACTGAGCTGAGATTGTGCCACTGCACTCCAGCCTGGGTGACAGAGCAAGACTCTGTCTCAAAAAAAAAAAAAAATGCAATTAATACAAGAAGTAAGGAAGAATATAAGATTATTCTATGAATCATATATTAGGTATTATATTCTGCTAAAGGCCCTTCCGTTCCTTGAATGTCATTGATGTATGATTGCTAAGGATCATCAGTTATCAAAAGCCATTAGTAGCTCACAGAAAATAAATGCAACTTAATTATGAGGCTAGTTTACATGCACACATATCCATAAATTTCACAAATAAGAATTTAGATTTTGCACGTTAATGTTACAAAAGCTCCAGATAATGAACAATGGATTATATGCCAAAAAGTTTTTCTCTGAGTCAAATTTATATAAATTATGAAAGACTCTCTACTATATCACTAAATGAGTGCATTTATTTATTTATTTATTTATTTATGAGATGCAGTCTCGATCTGTTGCCCAGGCTGGATTGCAGTGGCACAATCTTGGCTCATTGCAACCTTTGCCTCCTGGGTTCAAGTGATTCTCCTGCCTTAGCCTCCCGAATGGCTGGGATTACAGGCACGCACCACGATGCTTGGCTAATTTCTTGTCTTTTTGGTAGAGATGGGATTTCACCATGCTGGCCAGGCTGGTCTCGAACTCCTGACCTCGTGATCTGCCCACCTCAGCCTCCCAATGTGCTGGGATTACAGGCCTGAGCGACCATGCCGGCCTAAATGAGTGCTTTTAAAAACTAATATTCAGATGGCTATTTCTTGTGTCTCCAAAGATTTAATATTGGCATAAAGTTTACATAGGCATTTTTGCTTCAATAAAATATTTTCTTATACTTCAATAACATTCCCTTCCCAATAATTACTAAAAAAGAAAAATTCATCAGACTGAAAAACACATTTGATATCCTTTTCATAGTTATGGGTGGCCAGGTGGTTCTCATTTGTGCAGTAAATATCAAAGGCTTGAAGTACAGTGTTATAATATTTGGACAAGAGAGGATTGCTGGATGCTAAATTTTATTTTGAAATATGTGTCTCCAGAGCCTACTTTCTTTCAAGCTTTCCATATGGCTTATTGAGCCACATTACTTTTCATAGAATCAAAAATATAAAACATATGAAGCTTTAACAAGAAATGAGATTAATTACTGGTTATAGCTCTGTGAAATAAGTTACTGAGATAGTAAGAGAGATAAGTTATAACCAAGCATTATAACCAACATGACTGATAGCAAACAGGAGTAGAACTTACCCAATGTTAAAAATTTCCTTGCAACACAAACATATTTCCTTGAACAGTTTCAGCACTTAAGTTAATATAAAAATTAACTTGTTAACTAATGCAGTCATGCTTTTTGATTCAGCACCAGTAGTTTAAAGATTCTATTCCAAGGAAATCATTACATCTTCCCCCCTCTCTCCCCTTTATTGCTCCCCGATAGGTATGTATATTTTGGACATATACCTTCTTCTGGTGTTTGTGCTCTCAATGATTCACTCCAATCACTCCAACTTCCCTTATAAAGATGTAGCTTAGAGGAAATCTGAAATTCATATTCTGTAAATGGTTTCAGATCCAGCAAATCATGTCTTCCTTTGGCCTTTGTAACATTAACCTTGAAACAGACATTTTTTTAAAGTGCCTATTAATACTAGATTGCTAATTTAAGGAATTTTAACATAAAATGAAAAAAAAAAAACCCAGGCTATTTGATCTTATTTGTTTTTCAGACCTACCATTAAATGAGAAGAAATATCAGTGACTGTCTTACCGAATAGATATGATATTAATCTGAAATGATAGCATCTCATTAAAAATAAAACAAAATCTCTGGGTACTAAGAACCCATCTATGTAGGTTCTCGAGGGGAATCCTGAAACCAGCTGAAAAATAAGATTGAAAACTACAAAGTTTCTACACTAGAGATTATTTTTTATTTGATTACAATTAGGATGTGATGAATGTTTTAACACAAACATAGCACTGGCTTTTTTTTTTTTTAAAAAAACCCTTTAATTAGTTATACTCTCTTGAATATCAGCTATCTGTGGGACTGATCCTTTGTTATTATAAGCCATTGAATTTTACAACAATCCCGGAAAGAATCATAATCCTATACCTTTTATTTTAAAACATGCAATGCCTAATATTATATTAAATTGTAGACCTTTTCTTTGGAATATTAAATTCTATATAACTCTCTGTGGACATTTCTTAATATTTCTCTTTTCAATATCTTTTTTAAATGCTAAAAAATAATAACAGGACAGGGTAAATAATAAGGAGAAATGAATCCTCTGTTAGAAATAAACTATAGAAAATTAATATTGGTTTACAAAAGCTTTAAAAATTTCAGAATCAGAGATCAAAATTCAAGATATTTCTTAATCAACAGAGGCATACATGACTTTCTGATAATTCTCTCGTGTGTACTTTTGGGATAAATATTCTTAAACTCTATTTTTTGCTGTATGAAAAGACAGAGGTCTGCGCAGCAATATTAAGAATGCTTCAGTGTTTTTTCCTTCACTCTAAAGATAATTACCATATTCCAGAGCCTGCTGTTACTGGGCCGATATCTGAGTCGATTAAGCAGTACCAGTCCCTCATCTCTCCAATAAAGGGTACATCTGCTCACAGAAGCCTTTTGAAATTTGATTCTAATGTCCCACGGAGGAAGAGGCCTCACTAGTAACCAGGACAAACAAAAAAGTGTGGTTCAGGATCTGTGATCAGCAATTGTCTTATGTACTGGCATGAGCTATAAAGAGTTTGACAAAACTCAGTTCTGAGATGCACAACCATCAAATTTGGTAAAATATACAAGAGAAAAGTTCCAGGCTTTAAGAAAGAACTTTTTTAAAAGCTGGATTCACTTCTGAATCTTTAAAATAATCCCCCTTAATCAAATCTCATTTTCACCAAATAACTACTACCAACATTAGTGGTAAGTTTCAACTACACTTAGTCCAGTGGTTTTTCAAAAACCAATGTGCCAAACCCAAGAGTTCCAATGACTGAGAAGCCAGAGACGGCTAGTGATGACTGCCTCAGGAGGAGAAGAAATGTTCGTAGGAAAATTCATAGCAAAGGGACAGAGGAAAAGAACAAGGGGGCGAGAAGGTAGCCTAGAGATGAACGGTCTATGAAAGAAATGGGAGGAAGCCTGAGAAGAAATATGGTGGAAAAGTGTATAGTAAATGCCAATGATCAGACTCATCGTTAGCAATATGTATGCAGAGAAGTGCCATGGAAAGAGAGGCGAGAAGCACATAGTGTGAGGTTGGAACTTCAGGCAGCCCAGTTCTGCCTGGATGGTCAGAACTTGGAATGCTTGAGATTGGCCTCTGATTCAACTGGACCGATTACATTTGCTCAGAAATGTACTGGCTCACTCCAGGGATGGAGGTGAGTATTCTCAGAGCAAGATGCATCTGTGACTTGAGAAATTTTATTTATAGTTTGTACCTCGCTGCTCTAGCCTAGCAGGCCCACATGTAGCCTATCTCACAACAATGGGAGTAGCCATGGGGGCGAAAGGACACCTCCTCCAAGAAGGGCTTGCACTGAGCATCTTGAATGACCTCACAGGACCCTCTCCTCAGTCAGGTGGTATCATTAGTAGCTGGTTCTTTCATGGGATTTGAATCCAGGGGCTAATTTCTTCAATAGAGAGAATAATGTTGAACATCCCACTTTGTATAGCCATCTTTAGATAGCTCAGAATAATGCACCCTTTTACTTGCATCAAAGTAACTTCTATCTTTTGCTTATGCCTGTTGGCCAATTTCCATCAATCTCTGTCTTTCTTGAAACAACCATATAAAAAAGATTTGAGTGATTTTAAAAATAATTATAAAGTACCAATGAAACAGTGAAATAAAATGTACCTATGTCCAAGAATGTGAATGTGGATGGAAGTGAAGAGGAGCTTCCAAGACTATTGACAGCAGTAACCTTGGCTGTGAAATTGGATTCAGGTGATTCAGGGGTGAGGTTGATTCCAAAGTCCAAATAGTCACAATAAATGTCTTTACATTGCTTCTGCCAGGTTAAATTTTTTGGTCCACTTAGCCTGTAAACAAAACACAACCACGTGTAGCAACATGTTTTATGTGCTACTTTCTACTTACAGTAGAAAAGAACAAAATGTTTAAATATTTAGAATTCTAGACAATTTTTAAAGGTCAATCTTATGACTAGGGGATACACCCCGGGAATATTTGTACTATATGGTCATGTAAGACTATACTTCACCCAACTCCCTTTTTTGGTAGAACTGAGATGTTCTTCCACATTCATGTAGATAGGTAACCAAGCCTACGCTGCTGAAATTCCCCAAACCCTGCTTGTCATCTTGGCTCCCCAGGGCAGTTCCAAACATTATCCTAAGCACTGTGGCCACCTTGACATCTGTGGCACAGAATTGTCAGTTCCTAGTACAGCAGTGGCCAGAGTAGAATCCTGGGCTATTTTACCCTAATACTGAGACCCGCGTGTCAATAGATGTTTCCTTTAGGTTAGAAAAAGTAAATGTACTACAGAACCCCTCCTTTCCTCCATCTCCTCCTCACTCAGGAATAGCACAAATCAGCTGGATCTTTAATGGGATCATGAAATCTACTTCAAGGAACAGAATCTCCCAGACTCTCTCTTCTCATGGACTCTTAGGTCAGCCAATGGTGCTTTAAAAAGAAACTTATCCAAGCGAATGGGAAACTACCACAAGGAAGAGTTTATTTATGTATCATGACCCCAAGAGCCTACAGCTGCAGAAAAGAGAAGCGATCTTATGCAGCCAGTTTAACCCTACTAGAGTGGGAAAGAACAGCTATAACTTGGATCTTGGATGCACTGAAGAGAACTCTGAGTTAGAACTCAGACCCAAGACATTCGGTCTCTCATACTGTAGATGAATGAACCAGTTTTAACTATAAACATAGAAACTCTTTAAAAAGTATCTAATTGTCTAGAAGTATCTATTGCTTCTCCTTTCTGGTAAAAATAAAACAGATAGGCCGGGCACCGTGGCTCACACCTGTAATCCCAGCACTTTGGGAGGCTGAGGCGGGTGGATCACGAGGTCAAGAGATCGAGACCATCCTGGCCAACATGGTGAAACCCCGTCTCTGCTAAAAATACAAAAATTAGCTGGGCGTGGTGGTGGGTGCCTGTAATCCCAGCCACTCAGGAGGCTGAGGCAGGAGAATCACTTGAACCCAGGAAGCAGAGGTTGCAGTGAGCCGAGATTGCGCCACTGCACTCTAGCCTGGTGACAGAGTGAGATTCCGTCTCAAAATAAATAAATAAATAAATAAATAAATAAATAAAATAAAATAAAAATAAATAAAGAAAACAGATATTTCTAAATGTCATTTAAGAGAAGATCTACAAAACAGCTGCAAAAATACAGCCTCTCACTCACTGTAGAGTATACTCAGTGTATAAGTGGGTGTCTCGTCCTCTTTCCCAGGTGCAGGCCACAGTCCCCTGTTCTCCCTTCTGTATGCAGGATAAATTTTGAGGCTGTTCTGGAGCAACTTTAAAAAGAAAAGACAAAACCTTATATATCACACAGGTGATATTTCAACCGAATTGTTATTATCTGCCATCAACATGACAATACGTCCCCCACATGCCGTAAACCCAGGTAAACTAGAAGCTATTTTAGATTCCATTCAAGTCCCAGTTTGCCATTAAGGTGTAAATTTCTCCTAGAAACAGTAATAATAGTAGTGAATATGGATCAAATACTATATGCCTAGCCCAGTGCTATGTGCAGTTTTTCTGAATTAGACAGCGTAGCACCCCATGAGGTAGATACTATTATTATATTTTTTTTCAGAGAGGAAACTGAGAGAGGTGAAATATCTGGCCCAAGATCATAAAATTATGAAGTGGCAGATTCAAGGCTCCAGCTCAGCTGTAACTCAAGTCCAAGCCTTTTACTCCATATTCTACCATTTTCCCTGACAGGTGAACATCCAGTGCTAGCTCCATTACCCCTGGTAATAATAAATTAATTTCTTTTAGAGTGATGCCCATTCAAATATTAGAAACCTTTAAAAATGAGAGACTTATTTGCTTTCTTCACCTGATATTTGCTGTCAAGACACTTACACCCAGTTGCCTCAGTCATGTCCTCCCGGGCTATACCATCTAAATCTAATTTCTGCATTGTCTCTTGGAGCACTTTATGGACATTTATAAATTAATTCTTTTGTGTACATAGGCATTGAGTACCTCCCACGAGCCAAGCACAGTGCTAGATGTGGAAATACAAAGATGTACAAAGCAAGCATGGTCCCTTCTATTGTAAGGTGTGTATTTTTAAATAAAGCTATTTTATGGTGAAAGGACCCAAACTAGGAATTTTTTGGACAAAATGGAGGTAAGAGAAATACTCAGCTATTCAGTCATCCCATTTTACCCTAATACCCAGACCCACGTGTAGATACATATTTCCTTTAGGTTAGATAAAATGAGTATACTACAGAAGTCCTAGCTATTGTCTACACTGAAAAAATCTGTTATTGATTAAATAAATATCTTTTTTGTCCTTAGCATCCACCATAGACATAGGCACAGGAATGCCCACTGTGTGACCTTGGACAAGTCAGAGCTTCAGTTGAATCTATAAAATGGGTATAATGATATCTAGCTCATATAGTTTTAATAGAATAATAAACTTTTCCTTTAAAAAAGTCTCTTTTCGCTGGATGCGGTGGCTCACGCCTGTAATCCCAACAATTTGGGAGGCTGAGGTGGGCAGATCACTTGAAGTTAGGAGTTTGAGACTAGCTTGGCCAACATGGTGAAACCTCTTCTTTACTTAAAATACAAAAATTAGCTGGGTATGGTGGCACATGCTGTAATTCCAGCTACTGAGGAGGCTGAGGCGTGAGAATCACTTGAACTCAAAAGGTAGAGGTTGCGACGAGCTGAGATTGTGCCAGTGCACTCCAGCCTGGGTGACAGAGTGAGACTTTGCCTCAAAAAAGAAAGAAAAAAACAACAACAACACAAAACCACTGGAGGCTCTTGCTGGAAGTAGAATAAAGGAATGTTGCCAATAAATTCCAACAACAAACCTTTGAGCTCTTACTATGTGCCACACTCTGTGCTAAGCACACTAGGTGCATGACCCCATTTGATCTGTATAAATGACTCAAGAGGGATGCATTCAGATTAACCTCATATAATGGATGAAGAAGCTGAGGCTCAGAGATGTTAGGTAACATGTTGAAGGTCACAGAGCTAGTAAGTGGTAGAGCTGAGTTTGAGCTAGTTCTCTCTGATTCAACATCTATTCTTGTTCCATTTTATGAAGCTGCCTGGGGCATCAGCTTCCTCTAAGACATATAGACTGGAAACATCAGAGTCTTTCTCAACATTTCTTCTTCATTTTCTACATCCAGTTAGTCATCAAATTCAGTGGATCCTACTTCCACCAGGTTTAAGCTGTCTGTTCCCATGTTTGGTTCCCATTGCCACTGTCCTAGATAAGGACTTGATCACTTCTCCCTGGACTATTAAAATAGTTTACTCTTTTCTCAGAGACTCCACACAGGTGGTCTGAGAGTCGTTTTAACTTACAAGTTCATACTTAAAAGTTAGAGTCCTGGGCCAGGCACAGTGGCTCATGCCTGTAATTCCAACACTTTGGGAGGCCGAGGCAGGCAGACAGCTTGAGCCCAGGAGTTTGAGCCTGGGTAACATGGTGAAACCCTGTCTCTACTAAAAATACAAAAATTAGCCAGACATGGTGGTGCGTGTCTATAATCCCAGCTACTTGGGAGGCTGATGGGGGCGGATCACTGAGATTAGGAATTAGAGACCAGTCTGGCCAATATGGTGAAACCCCCTCTCTAATAAAATACAAAAATTAGCCGGGCATGGTGGTGCATGCCTGTAATCCCAGCTACTTGGGAGGCTGAGGCAGAAGAATTGCTTGAGCCCAGGAGGCAGAGGTTGAAGTGAGACGAGATTGCGCCACCGCACTCCAGCTTGGGCAACAGCCTGAGATTCCATCTCAAAACAAACAAACAAACGAAAGTCTCTTCCTTGTGTATATATACGTACCCATGTACATATATACATTTAGATATGTTTATATATATATTTACACAGTGTATACTTTTGCATATACACACACTACTCGTGACTGAGCCATATAGAATACTATATTAACTTTTCATTTTCTGTACAACTTTTACTCTTAGAATTAGTAATTATCTTGTTTTTCCATTTGTTTAGTTTTCTTGTTAATAAAATTTCAAACTTGCAAGCCAATTATCTGAATCACTGTTCAATATACTGCAATGTATTGGGACTTCTATCCATTTCATCTGCTTGAGGATCTCTCTTGGAGCCTTGTGAATTTTCCAATATAAGACAGGTTGTCTCCATGCCTGGTACCCAGCTGTCATTCTGGGACTGCTCATCCTCAATGTCTCCTAAGTTCCTTCTGTTTTTCCTTTGGCTGTCTTGTTTCTTAGATTTAATGTTTTATTCCTTCTTGTCTAATTACTTGGGTTGGTGGAGCATAGCCTCCAGTAGTTCCCTGGGAAAGGGTGCATGCGAGGAAATATTTTGAGCATAGTTTAAAATGTCTTTATTCTACCCTCACGTTTGACTGATACTTTGAGTATAGAATTCTAAGTTGAAAAGAGTTTGTAGTCAGGACTCTTGTTGCCTCCCACATTCCAGGTTGCTGTTGAGAAGCCTAAAGCCGTCACCTGAATGCCTCCCATGTGCCTTGTATGGGATTAAGCACTTTGCATATAAGAGGTCTTCTAATTACTATGACCATTTCATGAGGTAGATGTTATTATCTTCGTAATACAGATGGAGAAACTGAGGCTCAGATAATTTAAGTTGTCTAAAGTACACTGCCACTGGCAGAGTTGAGATTCAAAGCCCATGCTACTTCTACTATACCGCAGGCTGTCAATGCTGAGAGTATATGACTCACAGTGGTGTGAACAGGAGGCCCTGAGCTGGAAGGTGAGTACTTGGCCTAGTTTATACCTCCTTCCTACCAATGATCTGCTTGGCCATTTGCTTGGTCTTCTGCTCCGTGCTTCTGGTGGCCCTCCAGGAAAATCACCTGGCACCAACTATATATATATATCCTTATAGGTCACAGAGAGGAGGTTTCCATCTTTCCTGGACAGAGTCTCATTGAGCTCTATATCACTGCCTTTATGACAGAGATGATGTCTATGAGGCTTGGTCAGCCAGCCTGCTAGAGCAATTCTTCCTAGTCTCTTCATGACTCTTGTCTGCCACGCCAAAGCTTCCTTGGAACCACTGAGGCACAGGGTGCCATGGAATCCCTCAGGGCCCATGCTTGCTTATAGGATTGCCTGGTTGGACCTGCAAGGCTATGGGCCACAGGTTGCGAACTGCAGGTAGGTGTGCTGCTGGCTGCTGGTTCATCCTGTGCACTGTGGCTCATGCTGCAGATGTCAACTCTGACACTTTAGTTCTAATCCCCCAGCAGCTGCCTGAAGGGACCAGCAATGCAAGTCAGCAGTGTGGGAAACTGAGCCCCCGTCAGGTGGACTTTGGCCAGTGGGAGATAGTTAAGTTCTTCTTTCTCTTGTCATGAGATTTCTATATGCTCTTTCTGGGAATGTCCCTAAGTGTATAAACAACCAGCTGCATTTTCTGTTGAAGCTGTGGCCAGTCCAGTGATGTTACCACCTGGCATTTGCTTTTGTCCCTTTCCTGGCTCACTCCTTCCCTCTTGCCTCCCTGGGGCTGTGTAACTCCTCTGCCCCATGCCCCCTTCCCATGAATTGTTAGCAGATTTTTTTTTTTTTTTTTTTTTTTTGCTGGAGTCAGTTTCCTAGAGAACTGAGGAAAAGATAGTAAGTATGATCAATGTTTTCTTTTACCTTCTGTTAAGTATGAGAACCAGTGGTCCGGGTGAGCATGGATGGAAGAACTATTTTGGGAGGCATTAAGTTAGATAGGACGAGAGGTGCTGTTCAACTCTGTGTAGTCATCCTGGGCTGCATAAGTCTAAAAAGACATCTCTTCTTTCTTTTTAGGAGGCTGTAGCTTTAAACATATTCTCCTAAGTCAAAAAAGCATAAAGACCCACCTGCAGAGATCCATTTTTTCTGCCACTGGAGTTAAGGACAACAGATAAATGGTTTTAATGGCGAGAGAGAGAGAGAGAGAGACTTGCCAAATAAGATTCCAGTTTCTGAACTCACATTGAAGCTCTCAGGTCGGTATCAAGATAAAATACTTCAATGTGGTGGGAAAAGAAAGAACATTAACCTGTATTTGGGTTTCTGTTTAACACCAAATACCAAAAGATCAAAAATACCAAAAGATCACCAAGTTTTAAAAATTCAAAATGGAATGCTCACCACCAACGAAGATCTCTGCTCCACATATTTGAATTTCATCACTATTGATACAGGCCAGTTTGCAGACAAACAAGGTTGTACCAAGGGGAAGACCTGTGACTTGAGAATTGAGGGAGTGGCCATGGTGAAAATTGATTCTTCTGTCAAACTTGTACAGGATTAACTTGTTACGTCTGGAATAGTGAAAGCAGCCTTGTCTGGGCTTCAAAGAGCATGTAATATTGACAGTGGATCCAAGTAAAATTACATGGGAAGGCTTCACAGTCACATCGCCTCTCTTGCACGCATCTGCAATAAGATACAGATGCAATATTTAGTTGGTGATAATAAACCCATTTCAAAATGAAGAGTTTATGTAATTCCCCAAAACAGGGTAAAATTAACTCCATCAGATCATGCAAATATAATTAACCTACATGTCTCTGGTTATAATGGTGATGTACAATGAAAACAGAAGGTAAACATATTGAAGTCTAACTGTATTTGAATGAAAATATGCATCCGTCTCATAACAGTAATACTATAATCAGAACTATAACCAGGAAAGTGGTTAGAAAGCAGGATTGGAAGAACATTCAGGAACACAGTTCCGGGAAAAACCAGCCTCTCTTATATGCAAATTATTTACCAGACTACTAAAGCCTTCCCAGAAAAAAACACATTTGTTTCCATCACCATTTATGATTTATAATTTTTACTTAAATACTTGTACCAAGAAAAAAAAGACAGTTTTAAAAGAGTATTAAAAAAGTATTGCAAACATTGTGCTACTACACTCCAGCCTGGGCAACAGAGCCAGACCCTGTCTCAGAAAAAAAAAACAAACCAAACTTGTGGACGGCGGGAGGCAGGAAGAAAAACGTGCTGAACAAACCAACACAAGAACAGAAAACCAAACAGCGGATGTTCTCACTCTTAAGTGGGAGTTGAACAATGAGAACACATGGACACGGGGGTGGGGGTGGGCATCACGAACCAGGGCCTGTCATGGGGTGGGGGCTGGGGGAGGGATAGCATTAGGAGAAATACCTAATGTAGTTGACGGGTTGATGGGTGCAGCAAACCACCATGGCACAATGTATACCTATGTAACGAACCTGCACATTCTGCACATGTATCCCAGAACTTAAAGTATAATAAAAAAAAGAAAAGAAAAAAAAGAAAAATGTGCTGAAATGTAAAACATGTATTTGTGATGCCTAGCTGGGTTACCAAGCCACTTTCTTAGGAAGAAATAAAATAATTGGACCCTTATATTAATCATTAGTGCAAATTAAATAAAATAACTATTAGTTATAGACAGAACCAGACTTATCCACTTAAATGACAGAGATTGACTACAAAAGACCAACTACCAGAACATTTACCACAAATACATACTTCATCTGTAACTGAGAATTTAAACCACAAATTCTTCCACAGAGTAACTTACAGAAATATCTTACCTATTTTTGCTTTAATCAACAGCCACGTGATTATAAACATAAATGCCAATGAGCATCCTCTAAAAGTATGTGCCATCAACAATCAACTCTGGTATAGAACTCCGTATTCTTCCTTGCAAAAGAAGACAAATTCATTCATGTTAAATATGTTCAGAAAATACCAGAGCCAAAATAGCTCAGAAGAGCTTCAAGTGCCGCTTTATTTTTCTCCACCTTGTTGAGATCTTGTTATTTTAAAAAATGACATGTACCTTTAAAACTAGTAAATCGAATATCTTAGCCACCTTCCAAATCCCATCTCAGTGAGACTTCTTGGGGTCAGCAAAGGATTAGAGAAGGAATTTGGATGTCTTAGTTCATTTGGGCTGCTGTAACAAAATACCATGACCTGGGTAGGTAATAAACATCAGAAATTTGTTTCTCACAGTTCTGGGGACTGGCAAGTTCAAGATCAAGAGGTCAGCAGATTCAGGGTCTGGTGAGGGTCCACTTCATAGACGGTTCATAGATGGGGCCTTCTTGCTGCGACCTCACATGGTGGAAGGGACAACGGAGCTCTCTGGGATCTCTTTTATAAGGTCACTAGTTCCATTCGTAAAAATTCTACCTTCATGACCCAATCACCTCCCAAAGACCCCATCTCCTAATATCATCACCTTGAGAGTTAGGATTTTAACATATAAATTTGAGGGGGACATAAACATTCAGACCACAGCAATAGGCTTTGGGGTCCTTTAGAACTGGGTTTAAATACTTGAGACCATGTGCAAGTTGCTTAACCTGTCTGAGACTTAGTCCCACACAACACTTTTCTTTTTCTTTTCCTTCTAAACAAGGCTTCATCATCATACCATACAGAGTAGTTTGACCAGTGAGAGTTTCTGATCCAGTCAAGTGATTCTGGAATCAGTAGATCGAAAAATGGCTCATAACCCATCTGGAACTTAGTAAAAGATTGATCTCTTTGGCAGTAAAAAAGGAATTCCAAGGGTTGTTTGGGTTTTGTAGAGAAGCTTGTTTACTTATTTGTTTTTTAATTACTTATTTTACAGAATGATTTTATCTTGAATAGGTCAGAAAACATAAGCTGGCAATTTCTGATCTGTTTCAAATTCAAACCCAAGGAATGGCTCTACTGGTCAGTAACAAATTCTTTAAATTCTATTAAAGATAGGCCAAAAATTCATAAAGTAGGCTGGGAAGTTCTGTGATGTCAGGCCACTAAAAAGTAGTCAGTGCAAAGCAAAAGTTTACCTCTTAACCCCATACCTAGACATATGCCAGAAAATATTGAAGAGCTTCAGAAAATTTCACTTATTCATTCAATATGGATGGCTGCCTTTCATGTGCTAGGCACACTAAGTGCTAGAGACAAAGCACTCCTGTCCCTGTGGGGTTCTAGGAAAGCGCCCTTTGTTTCCTCTACCTCTAGCCTAGCCATCATTCAGGAAAACCCTAAATAATGTTAGCATAAGTCTTTGCTGGCTACTCTTTGTTTTCCTCTTGATTTTTAACTCTTGGAGGACCTTAGCTCACTCAAGGTATTTTTTTTTTTTCCATTTCTACTTTCTCTGTAGGGGATTTCACCTGGTCCCCTAGCTCTAGATGTCATCTGCTAGCTAAAGATTTCAGAGTAGATCAACTCACACATCCCCCTGAGCTCCAGTCTCATCCATCTGTCTCCTTGGCATTACCTCTTAGATGTCTAACAGATTCTCAATATTAAGGTGTTCAGTTTAAATTCTTGGCACCCTTTCTCCAAATTCATTCTTCCTTCAGCCTTTTCTATCTCAGCGAATGATATTCTTACCCCAGGTGGCTAAAAACACCTAGAAGTCATCTTTGATTCTAACCTTTTTCTCATCTCCTACAGCTAAACCATCTCTAGTCCCATCAACTTTACCTCCAAAATATGTTACAGATCAATGCACTTCTCTCCATTCCAACTGTCCCCTCACCCTAGTCCAAACCACTGTCATCTCTCCCCTAGTCTATTCTAGCCGTCAACATGTCTTTCCAAACCATCCTTGCCCTTTCTAAGCCATTTTCACAGAGCCAACTATCTTTGAAAAACATAAATCAGATCATGTTACCCCCTGCACACCACCACTATTGGAAACCCTTCAACGGGTCCCTACTGCTGTTAGAAAAATATCCACAGCCCATACCACACACAATCTCTCAGCCACTGCATGGCCTCACTTCTTCCCATCTTGCCATCATCGCTTACATTTTTGCCTGGTTCACTCTGCTCCATTCACACTGGCCTTCAGACTGTTCCTTGAACAATGCCCTTTGCTGCCTAGAGGACTTTGCATTTTCCATGTCCTCTGCTAGAATCCTCTTCCCTTGCGTCTTCGTGTGGCTGACATATTTACACCCTTTAGATTTCAGTTCATGTGTTACTTCCCCAGACAGCCCCTCCCTGACCACTGTCTCTATCCCTCCGACGCCCTCCCTGACCAATGTGGTCTTCCCCAGTTGATTTTTTACTCATCACCTTATTACTGTCTTCATGGCACAATCTGTAACTGCCTTATTCCTTTACTTAATTACTTGTTTGTCATCTGTCTTCTATACTAGAATATAAGCCCCATAAGAGCAGGAACATTGACTACCTTGCTCACTGTTGAATACCAGCACTTAACACTGGGAAACAGTAAGTACTCAACAAATGTCTATTGAAAGAAAGATGCGAAGGAGGGAAAGGAATATGATCTTTAGAAAACTCCCTATAAACATCCCTGTGGTAGACAGGAAAATGGCCCACCAAAGATGTCCATGCCCTAATTCCCAGAATCTGTGAACAGGTTACCCTACATGGCAAAGACACTTTGGAGACGTGATTAAAGTTAAGGACCTTGAGATGGGAAGATTATTCTGGATTAACCAAGTGGGCCCAATATAGTCACAGGAGCCCTTAAAAGTGTACAAGAAAGGCAGGAGAGTGGGTCAGAGAGATATGAGGTACCAAGGACTCGCTCTGCTGCTGCTGGCTCTGAAGTGGTGGAAGGAGCCACGAGCCAATGAATGTGACAGCTTCTAAAAGCTGGGGATGGATCTCAGTTCAGATACATAAAATGTGTTTCTTGTGAGTCACTGTTAAAATGTTTGAGAAGCACAGATTTAAGCCAAAATCTGCAGGTCTCCCTGTCTCTAAACCAAAAAGTCCAAGGTCATGGAATACAATGGCCTCTGTGAGCTAATTTCTGTCTTTATCACCAGCCACATCCACCACTCTCTGCTGACACTACCATCTAATGACACTGAGCTGCTTATACTCCTGCCCGTCCCATGCCTATTCATGCCTCTGTGTCTTCCCTTCATGCTATTCTCTTTACTTTCCCACTATTTTTAGACTGGGTGAGTCTTATTCATCCATCTAAACTCAGTTCAGACACCTTTCATTCAGTTATTCATTCAATAAATATGTATTAAGCAGCTGCTAAGTGCCAAGTCCTTGGGATACGGTAAAGAACAAGACAGAAGGGATTTTAGCTCTCATGGAAACAACATCCTGGAGTAGACAGGCAAAAAACAAAAATATAAGCAACAAACTGGTGAGTTCAGGTAATAATAAAAGAAGGACATAAAAGAGGAGGGACCCTGGGGAGGATAGAAACTTGTCAACAAAGGCGTTTGCAGGAGGCGAAGCTTGGGCTAAAATTGGTGCTGGCCAACTGAAGTTGTGGGAACACTTTTCCTCACAGAGGAATGGTGAATGCACAGCCTGGAGGCAGAGGAACGAGCTTGCCAAGGGAGAGGTACAGAAATAAGGTCAGGGCTGTTGGAGAAAGTGACTGCAGGGAGAATGGTATGTGATGAAATTAGAGAAGACATCAGGAGCCAGATTTACTATGGACTTGTTTGCGAAAAAAGGGAGCCTAGATTTTACTCTCAAATGTATGGGAAACCACTGGTGTTTAATTAGGAATTTTACTTATTTTAATTGAGTTTTAATTGAGGGTGTAACGAGCTACGAGTGACATTAACACACACACACACACACACACACACACACACTACTCTGGGGACTAGGGTGGATGCAGGCAGACCAGTTAGGAAATGACTGCAGAGGCACAGGTAAAATGATGATGACGTGGTCCTCAGGTGTTGTAGTGGCAATGGAAAGAAGTGTTCAGATTTCAGGAAGCCTTACTTATGTCTTCAGGTCAGAGTGAACCCTCCTGCCAGTATCCTCAGAGCACCCTGGCATCTTCCTATCTTAGCACGTACCATAATTAAAGAGAACTAATTTATTTAGATACCTGTCTATCTCCTCCATTACCTTGCAAGCTCCTCAGGGGCAGAGGCCACAATTTGTGGCACATAGTAGGCATGTGCTGTCCTGGATAAAACTTAAATTGTGTGTGTATGTTCATCTATTTTACTTCTAGTTTAGTTTAATGCAACTACATTAAAACTACTTACATTAAATCTTATTCTACTACATTGTGGTTGGATTTTTTGTTATATTAGTAAAGGTGTTAAAATATACTCTTCTGACATATTGACTATTTGAGTTAAAGGCACTTGAAAAACAGCAGGGGCAAGAAGATCACTTTGACTTCCCTGCTGTTTCTTAAAATCAGAAGGTGAAACTCCCATATGAAAGACACTCCCTGTACTAGAAAGTCAACAACATCTTTATCTTCAAGGATGAGAAATTGAGACCAAGAGAATTTTGTACAGACTTTGGCATCCCCACATAATTTAGTCACATTTTTATAGGTTACTATTCTTTGCTCAATCCAATATTTAAGTAACTGACTCTACTTCTTTGGGTCTTCATTTTTTCATGTCTCCCATGTCCCATAATATTTGTTGAGTAAATTTGTATTATTTTTTTCCTGTTAATCTAATGTCAATTTAATCCTCAGACTCAACCAAGACCCTAGGAGGATGGAGCGGAGTTTTTCTACCCCTATAGTAGCTATGTTAGCTGCTGCATTAAAATTTGGAATATTCTGGCATAGATAAAATTATGGATTGAACTGGAAGATAACTGAATGAATGGCTACATAGGGATTAAGTAGGTTTCTGCTTCCTAACTGCAAAAGATATCTATGGCGCCCCTTTGTAGAAATTTTCAACATGGATCAAAATTTATGAAGCTATAACATTCTCCAAATAGTAAAATACTCATATGATAATTATAAGGATTTAAAAAAATGGATATATATGAAATATGTTTTCATATATATTATGTCCTATTATTAAATAGGTTAAAATATATGTGTATATTATATAAACATACATATTTATATGAAATAGGTAAAATGGAAGATAAATTTGAGTTTATATAATGGTACATTGATCCAAACACAAACTTGCTCATTTTCTCTGACTACCAGGTAAAAATAGCTTCTCCTTTTATGAGAAGTTCAGAATCCCCAAAGACCTTCAAGTAAATGAGGTATCTTCCAATAAAATGAAACCTACTGTAACTGTAAACATCCTTCACATACCCTGCCTAGAGGGTAAATATTAAAACAACAACTCTGTCTTGAATCAGAAAATCAAAGAGTGTGCTATGTCATTGACTCATCACTCAAGTTGTGACAGTTTCCAGATGGTGAAAACAACGTCTCAGATCGGGGATGGGGGTGGGGTGGGCGGGAACAAGCCAGAAATACACCGACCGGTAGGAAGACAGAGACAACAATTACTCCCTGACCAGCCTCTTTCCCCATTGCTCTAGAGAGAAGCACAAAGCATGAAGCTACTTCAAAATTGTATTGTGCTAGGCTAGGAAAAAAGAAACTCTTAAGTTTCCTTTCGCAGGTGATAATCTCATGTTGGCAGAAAAACTTTCTACTTCCAAATTATTTTTCTTCTGTAGCACTGTATTAAGGTCAAGGGAAATAGTGGTATTAAGGAAAAGAAAAAGGTGAATGAATCTCAGTTCTGCTATATGCTATTGACTGTGAGAGCACCATTTCCTCATGCCTTACAGTAGGTATAGTAATACCTAGCTCGACAAAGTTACGGTGACGATTAAGGCAAAGTTATTGTGAACAGTCCATGGTGTCATGGATTCATGAGAATACTTAGCACAAAGTAAGAACCCCACTGAGGCTGGTTCCTATTTCCCCTGCTGATTCCCTCGTTTGTATTTCTTTGCTAAATCACATATGATTTTCAGTGTACTAGAGTTGTATGTTTTGTTAGGCCAGGTAAAAAAAATCTTAATTCCTAAGACCATCAAAGAACTTAAAAAGTCAGGGGAGGAAGGAGCTACACGAGTTACTAGTAACTACTGTGCCCTGCTGCTCCCTTCCCCTCCAACAGCTGACATTTCAGTCTGGGCTACCACAGACAACCAAATGATTGTTTCAAGTGTGCCTCAAGGCTGGTTGTCATATAAATGAATGTCGTTAATGATCAGGTGACTAAATGAGGCAAAGAACAAAATTCTTCCCTTCTGCCTGCAAAGCTACTTACAGAGATATGTTTTACTGGTAGCAGATCAATATACAGACAACACTTCAGAGGTCATTTATTCCCGACTTTACAAATGGATCACCGTGACCTAGAAAAAAAGAGGGGACTTGCTCAAGTTCACATTAATAGCAAAATCCAGATCAGAACCTCAGTCTCTCTCTCTCTCTCTTTCTCTCTGATGCAGTCTCGTTCTGTCACCCAGGCTGGAGTGCAATGGCACCATCTTGGATCACTGCAACCTCCACCTCCTGGGTTCAAGCGATTCTCTTGCCTCAACCTCCTGAGCAGCTGGGACTATAAGCATGCGCCACCACACCTGGCTAGCTAATTTTTGTATTTTTAGTAGAGATGGGGTTTTACCATGTTGGCCAGGCTGGTCTTGAACTGACCTCAGGTGATCTGCCTGCCTCGGCCTCCCACAGTGCTGAGATTACAGGCATGAGCCACCGTGCCCGGCCAGTCTCCTGATTTCTAATCCAACATCACTTCTAGATGTGAGGCTGCTTGTAATCAATAGCAACAGTAGCAGCATAATACTAAAAATAATGCTAATCTTAACACTATACTAATACTAATGCTGCAATTTTTTGATCTCTTACTATGTTTCAGGCACGATGCTAGGCACCTTACATACAATCTTTATGATATCTATCTAGTAAAGCATTTATAATGCCTAATGCTTTACTCTTCAGAAGGTTGACTCATTACTTCTGAGGCCCACCTCCCTCAAAAGAGGATGAAACAACAAAACTCAGCGCACATACAATATGTAACCGTATCTGATGCTATTCCACTATGGTGATGGAAAAGGATAATCAAATCAAGTTACCAATTAGCTAACCTTCTCTTCTTCATGAAATTTCCTGAGTTATGGTCATGAAAATGAACTGTTTTTCATTCCAAGTCTACCATTTGGTGAAAGAATGTAACAAGCCATTACATGGGCAAAAGCCCGTCTATCAGGCCCCATCATCAAACCGGCCCCATTCATAATGTCATGGTAAATGGCTTGAAGGGGAAGGAAAGTAAAATGCATAACCTTTTCTACTTTTTCTTCTTTCTATTCAATAGTCCAAGCACTGTTTACATGAGCCAAATTTAACACACACACTTGTTTTCCTTTTTGTGCAGCTGACGAGGCTGCCTGGAATTTTCTCTAATTTCATTGGTAAGCATTTGCTGTCCTATGGTTCCTCTTTAATTTCACCCAAGTACAGGAACTTTCTTTTCTTGCTCAAATTCAGGAGACTTCCGAATTTTTGTTCCTTTTTTTTTTTTTTTAAATTCAATGTGTTTTCTCCTTTCCCTCTTTATGGCTTTTTTTTTTTCTTAACTTCCTTTATTCTTTTCTCTCTTCTTTTCCTATTTTTTCTGGAATGTTGTTTCTGTCAATTCTGTTTGTCTTTATTTCCATTTTAGATACATCCCATTTGACATAATAGACTCCTGAAATGTTGTGCGTAAACAAATCAGAGTTGAAATGAATTTATCCCACCCCAACCCCTCAATCATCTGTACTGAGAACTATTTTATCCTATAGATTGAACAAGCATTTCTCCAATATAACAGTAAAAAGAAAGAAAGAAACAAGATACGAATGGAGTCTTGGAGAAACAAGACACTTTCAAATAAACTACATGACCTCTTTTCTTTCTTTGAATAGCTCCCATAAGCCTAAAACTTTCATGGCAAGTGTTCAATAAAGCTTCGGAAACTCCAGCCTTCTCTGATTCACTCTCTGTATCCTGCTAGGCCTATCGATAAAATAAGCTGTCTTCTATTGGGAAGGATGATGTGCTGGAAAGAGGCCCCGGGCACCATCCTTGGTTCCTCCATTTCTGCCTCTGTCACCATGGCAGGTAACTTCATACTTCAAAGCCTCCTTTCCTTATTTTAAAAATAGCAATTGACCTTTATTGAGAAAACTAAACCTCTTTCACTAACTTTTCTTCCTTAGTGTATTGGAAAGGTTTTTTCTTTGACATCCTCAATCTGGAAGTCTCTGTTTGTGGACAATGGCAGGAGGTTTATCTTTGGATCTTGGGTATTGCAAAGTCCTGGCCAAGTTTTGCTTCACCTTGTAAGCAACCACTGAGTATTTTCATAAAGTACTACAAGGCATTAACATATTAAGATAATTGCATTGTTTTGAGAATTTTCTAAGAATTTCACAATTATCTTAAGATAATTGGAGGCACACTTGGGAGGGGAATTAAAAAACTAAGGGTAGTGATCACCATGCCACAATGTTTCCCCAGGTTTCTCATATAAATTAAGAATTCAGCTGAAGTCTCTACACTAACAACCCTCCATCTCAGTATCTCCTGATATTTTACTTAATGTGTTGCTTTTCCTGCATATCATTGCAAAATAGAGGTTAATTAAGATTCTAATTTTAACAATCTTTTGTAGGCATTTACTTAGTAGTTTATCACTGTGCAAAGCATATAATTTAGTTGTTAATATTTGGTCAAATACATAAAGTAATGATTAGTATCCTATTCTACAGATAGAAAAATCTGTAAGTTGACCAAGATAACCCAGAAAAACCACACATAAATCCAGAATTGGATTCGAATTACATTCTATGCTTCCCTTCTCCATGAGCACCTGAGAAATAAAAATCCAAGCTTGATGCTCTGTTAGTCTAACTGCTTTCCCTCTTCTATCGGTTTAAATTCTGCAGGAACAGGCTTACCCCTCTCATTTATTCTCAGCATGCCTCAGGGCTCCCATGTTAAACCCACAAAGCTACTACCTCCAAGAGGCATTGAACCATGTTTACGCTCATCACCTCAGTCCAAGCTCCCAGAAGAGCCTCCTGAGCAACTGTAGTAGTAATGAAAAGAGCAGTGGATCCGCCCAGGACACCTAAGTCTTGGCTCGGATAATTCCAGCTATATGGCCTGTGACAAATCACTTGACCACTCAGCCTAAGTTCCTTCATCTGTAAAAAGGGAATACAAACAGCACCTACTGGACGGACGTGGTGACTCACACCTGTAATCCTAGCACTTTGGGAGGCTGAGGCGGGCAGATCACGAGGTCAAGAGATCGAGACCATCCTAACCAACATGGTGAAACTCCGTCTGTACTAAAAATACAAAAATTAGCTGGGCATACTGGTGTGCGCCTGTAATCCCAGCTATTTGGGAGGCTGAGGCAGGAGAATCACCTGAACCCGGGAGGCAGAGGTTGCAGTGAGCCAAGATCGCACCACTGCACTCCAGCCTGGCGACAGCAAGACTCCGTCTCAAAAACAAAAAACAAACAAACAAAAAACCAGCACCTATCTCACAGGATTGTTGGGAGGGTTAAATGACAAGCTGTTAGCAGAGTACCTGGTATATAGCAAGAGCTCAATCAATGTTACCTGCTATTATTATAAGAAAAAAGGCAGTATTACTTCTTTTCAGTGACACTACGAGAATTAAGTTAGATGGCCTTGCTTTTGACTCCTCTCTTTGCCCATTCATCTGATTTAACACTGAAAGACTGATTTGATTAAAACTAGATTCCATACCTCCTAACTTCATGCCACCTATCATTTAAGACATATTAAGTATTCTCAAAATTTTCCCAAACAATTTTGACTTCGTAGGTCATGAACTGGGCCTTACATTTCTTTATATTCACTAAGTCTAAGTCCAGCAAATGCACTGACCATAATGTACATGTTCAATACTTATTTGGAAAACAAAAACAAAAACAAACCACTGTTACACTAGCGAAGAACACTAGAAACTTCCAAGGGCAAAGGAAATTGTATAAGACTTCCTTTGGGATTTGGCTTTTTTTTTTTTTTTTTTTTTTTTTGAGATGAAGTTTCATTCTTGTCGCCCAGGCTGGAGTGCAGTGGCGTGATCTCTGCTCACTGCAACCTCTGCCTCCCGGGTTCAATCGATTCTCCTGTCTCAACCTCCCGAGTAGCTGGGATTACCATGCCACATGGTGTGTGCCACCATGCCCCGCTAATTTTTGTGTTTTCAGTAGAGACAGGGTTTCGCCATGTTGGTCAGGCTAGTCTCAAACTCCTGACCTCAGGTGATCCCCCCACCTCGGCCTCCCAAAGTGCTGGGATTACAGGTATGAGACACCGTGTCCCGCCATTCTGCACAAATTTATTTGTAGGAGTTGACAGCAGTGCTGTGAGCGTAATTACAAAGATGACAAATAATTTGGTAGAGAACAAAGCAGGTGCAGCAATACAAAAATAAGTCCACAACTGAGAAATGATGCCCAATACCTACTGTACTTGGCGGATTCTTCTACCTTAAAAATTACATGTGTGCTTTCGAATTTTTTTTCACACTAAAACTCATTCTAATACAGAAAAGATTCCGTTTGTCAAAGTTTGGGAATTTATCAGCCTATGTAATGAACATGACATTCAAGAGGCATGACATATGGAAAAGAGCATATTGCAAACTTTTCTGGAGGCTGTTGTGCCTAACAGATAGTGTAATGTATTGAGGATTTCACATTAAAATAGGGAAGGAAAGTGTTAGCTCTTAGCCACTAAGGTCCTTTTAGTTATGTGTTGGACAGAGAAATAGGGCACTGTACCATTCCTATTAATGGAAAATGAGAATCCAACGTTTGTTTGTTCAAGTGGAGGTGGTTATAAGGTTCTGAGCCAGAGAGGTGGAAACAGAAGGAACACAGTTTTGAGCCAGAAACCTGTAACTCTCTAACTGTGTGAAACATGTAAGTTTCCACATCTGTAAAATGGGAATACTAATAACAATTTCACCATGTTTTTAAGGAATTAGATAATATATATCCAAAAACCAAATACATAGTAGGTGCTCAACAAAGATGTTCATCTACACAGAGCACACACATAGCAGATTATAACAATTATCTAGAGTTTTAAAAATGGGGAAAAAAGGACTAATTTAGCTTTATTCTTTATATATATATGTGTATGTGTGTGTGTGTATATATATATATATGTATATGTATGTATGTATTTATTTTTAAGACAGAGTCTCGCTCTGTTGCCCAGGTTGGAGTGCAGTGGCCCCATCTTGGCTCACTGTAACCTCTGTCTCCCGGGTTCAAGCAATTCTCCTGCCTCAGTCTCCCGAGTAGCTGGGATTACAGGTGTGCGTCATCATGCCCAGCTAATTTTCGTATTTTTAATAGAGACAGGGTTTCACCATGTTGGCCAGGCTGGTCTTGAACTCCTGACCTCAAGTGATCTGCCCACCTTGGCCTCCCAAAATGCTGGGATTACAGGCGTGAGCCACCGTGCCGGGACCCTGTTCTTAGACAAGGTCTATTTGTATGCTTTTAGGTTACTATTTGTAAGACCTGGATCTAATGGTACAGATACATAATCCCGTACAATGCTGACACTGATATTTAGTGTGTCCTAGGGAGATGAGGAGGGCCTCATAGTTCACAAAGGAAGGGGCATTTCACAGAAGAGAAAACTGAGGCTGGCCAATTTGCTTGCACCAGAGCATCTTGCTAGTAACTGGCCAGGCAGGGACTCGGGGTCAGTCCAGAGGCCACAGGAAAGACTGCTGAGACAAGGTTAGTTCACCCTCATCCGGGACTACGGAAGGCCCCCCCCAATATCTTACTCACATTTGATACATTTTCAAGCAACGGGAGCCACGTCTGTGGGCCTGAACCAAGGCTGGACCCTCAGGGGTGCCCTCTGCCCTTTTCCAGTCGCCGTCCCCTCCCTTCCGTTTGAGCCCACCACTCTGTGCCCCGGCCCAGAGAGTACCTTGGAGGCTCAGTCCGCGCGCTCCCTCCCCTCCATCCAGCCAAACCACCACCCAGTACCTCCAAGTGAACATCTGTGCCCAGGGCGTTAGGACTGTGATGAAGAGAAGCCATTTCGGATCGTATTGGAAGACTTTAAAAATATATATATACATATATATATATAAAGAGAGAAGCCGTCGCCGAAGCCCCCTCGGGAGACGCGAGACACGGAATCCCGGGCACGCAGACACCCCGCTGGTCCGGGATCCTGGGGCTCTCTCTGTCCCCGACCCCGAGTCACTGGTCACTCACCACGTGTCGCCTGCCAGCGGGCGCGGTCCCGGGCCTGCGGGGACCGGGTGGCCCCGGTGCTCTGGGCCGCACGTGTCGCGCTCTCCGCGCTCTCTGCCGGCGCTCGGGCGTTCCCGGTGCCAGCGCCCGCCCTCCCGCCTCCGCCTCCCGCCTCTGCGCCACCAACTCCGGGGTGGGCGCGGGGAGCTGGCGGCGAGTGAGGATCGGGCCGGGGCGGGGGTCGGGGCTGGGCGGTGGCCGCAGGGCGGAGAGGACTCGCTTCTCAGTTCAGCTCTGGAAGCGCAGCCGGGCGGGCGCCCGTGGTTTCCACCCCGCGGGTCGAAGCGGGCTCGGGTGGGATTCTGCCACCTGTGGGCTCTGCTGTGTCGCCTTGAGCAAGATAATTCTCTCTCCACCGTCAGTTTCCCCTCATATAAAATGCGGATAATAAAGCCTGTCTCATAAGACGGAGCAAGGGTTGACCGAGGTGAGGTGCGTTTATGCACCAAGATATGATAGGCGCGATAAAATCGTGTGCTCAGCGTTCACAGCCATAGAGACGTGGCACTTTGTTGACAGCCATCAGGGAACTTTCCTCGCAGATGTCCTTTCTCTGTGCTCTGCACCGCCCAGCTCTTACCACACCTGAGCGCCGAGGCCTCCCAAGTGGGCTGTGCACAAGACCGCCCACTGGAGTGCGGGCAGAACATACTGGAACTTCCATTTGTATTTGCTGTCTAAAAAATGAGAAAAAAGTTAAACTTGAACAGATGGCGTGTCACCACTCCCGTATAGGTCCCGTGTTATAAGTGGTGTTCTCAGGCAAGAGGGAAAACTGCCCAGAGTACAGAGGGGTCGGCAGCTCTGCATAATATTCATGACATAATATTTATGACAATATTACTTAGAAAAAAACTGTATTTAAACCTGTAAAGACAGACTCTCACTCTGTTACCCAGGCTGGTCTCAAACTTCTGGCCTCAAGCAATCCTCCCGCCTTGGCTTCCCAAAGTGCAGGGAATACAGGCCTGAGCCTCTGCACCCGTCAGCTTAGATTTCTTTAAATCTAAGACTTCCTTAATTATAAGATATACCATTATTTATGCGCTAGTAAGAAATAAAAAGAACTGCCAGGTAAACAATAACAATGCTTTCTCAACATTTAGAATCTTTTAAACTAAAATTTTATTTAGTTTAGAGATTTTATTTAGATATCTCTAAATAAAATTTAGATTTTAAACATATGTATATTATCTATCGAATTTTTTTTTAAGTCCCCCCCCCTCCCCCACCCCGTTGTCTCTGGAGTTTTCTTCTAGTCCACTGAGCCCAGTACAGGTTTGCTGAGCCCGCAGAAGTGGACAACTGCATACCACGCTTCTGGGCATTACCTTAAAACCGCTCTCAATGTTTGAGATGTTAAATATGAAAAATGTACATCTTGGAATCAACAATGTACAGTAGATTGTCTTTATGGGATTGTGACATACTGTAGTTTACATGCTTTAGTAATTTATCTACATGAATAATTTTACTAAAATCTTTTAAATCGTAGAATCTAGAATCTTAATATTACTTTGTAATGAGATGATACATAATTGTAGAAATCATTTGTAACAAAGATTTTAAAAGTTGTCTTAAAGTGAGTTATTTTCTTTATTTTTACAAAAAAACCCCAAATATCCTAAATTTGCTGATCTTTTCTGTATTGATATATGGCTCTCAGTACATGTTATCTAATAGATCTTTTTGAAGAACAAAAAACCCCAGAGGTTTATTTGTTGTTTCTTCAAGGTAATTTTCACACCAAGTGATACGTTGTTATGAAGAGACGATTTGAAAACAAATATTTCGAAGTGTTCCCATTATTGTGTGTTTTTCTTACTGAAGATTTTATGATTGTCATCACAGAAAATGCTTTTAAAAACTCGGAAACAATTTGCTATTTTGTTTCAATCTTTTAATTGAGCAGTTCAGTGGATTTTAAATCCATTTGTTAAAAAATATAAAAATGCAGCAGCTTCTCATTACTTTAAAAACTGATTGATATCAAGAATAAGATTATGATAGCCAAATGTTATAACAATCTTGCATAATTCATGGATTTTTCAACACTTTTTAGTGAGAAGGAAGGCTTTTAGTTTTGTTAATAAATCAATAATTTCAAAAATGCATTTTACTCTATCTCATTTAAAAATTTAATTTATATATTTGTGTGTGCATATGTGTGTGTGTGTATATACACACATATAAATATACATATGTTTTTCTGTTTTTTTTTTTTTGAAACAGCGTCTCACTCTGTTGCCCCGGCTAGAGTACAGTGGCACAATTTCAGCTCACTGCAACCTCCACCTCCCGGGTTCAAGTGATTCTCCTGCCTCAGCCTCCTGAGTAGCTGGGACTACAGGCACGCGCCACCATGCCCGGCTAATTTTTGTATTTATAGTAGAGATGGGGTTTCACCATATTGGCCAGGCTGGTCTCAAACTCCTGACCTCGTGATCTGCCCACCTCAGCCTCCCAAAGTGCTGGGATTACAGGCGTGAGCCACCGCGCCCGGCATACATATGTTTTTCAAGGAAATAAAAAAACAACCAAACATATGTTGGGGATGTTTCTCAAAAATGCTTTTTTTTTTTTTCTGAAGGAGTATACCATCTAAAATGTTGAAAGACCACTGCTCTATTAACTTCTAATGGCAGCATCTTACAAAATTGCAGAAGTCAGACACAAAATGGTGTCTCAAATGCATCTAAGGCATATTCTTTGAGGGAACAGATGAGAGCTGTTGAGGAAAGAACTTGAATCTGGTTGTTAAGCAAGCACAACAAATTATGAGAATACAGTAAGATGCAGGTAGCAATGATAATCTTCTTTATTCTCTTCTTTTCCCTAGATGCAAGAAAAAAAAAGTCAGAAGATGACAACTCTTACATAAGTATTATTTGAGAAATTATCATGCTCTAGGTCCATCAGTATATTGTTTAACTTAGACTTACATTATCAAGTGAAGACTTGCACTGATTGCCATTGATAACAGTGGTTCTCTTATCCTGCATGCTCCCTGGATTATAAACTCTATGCACGCAAGGATCCCTCATCTTCAGCATCTGGCACACTGAGTGGTACAGGGCAGGTAGTCAATAAGTATTTACTGAGTTGAACTGACTTGTTCTGGAGAGATCCCATTCTTTTTGGCCAGTTCAACGGGATTGTAGGTGTTGTTCAATCTTCACACTTTTCGACAGTTAAAAATTAGTTGGAAAATTAAATATAATTTTTCTTAGCAAGTCGGTAACCTTTCTGTATGAAATCACCATCTGTAGAGGCCTTTCTATTTCCCCACTTCTTTTTTCTGCCTTCTCCTCCTATTAATATCTGGGAGTTTCACTAATACAGGCATGGCTTTTGTCAGTGGTTGCCTGTCTAGTTAGAGAAAAAAACAAAAACAAAAATAACAATGAAAACAAAAATAACAACAAAGACAAACTTGCTTCTGTGCTTTCTAAAGAATAAACCCTAGATGGTAGACGATGCCTGATGAAGCAAGAGCCTAATATACAACCCAAAATGTCAACTGTGATTGTTAATGTAATCATTTTTAAGTCTATGGGTATGATATGGTCTTCTGTGTAGCTGTTAGGTAAATGAATGTACTTGTAAATCAAAAGCTCAATTAAGTGGATAACCACAGTGACAGTGACAAAGTCTTTTCTAGGAAATACTAGTTCAGTTTCCATTTCTGGTATAGTTCCATTACTTTAAATGTCTAATTTGGTTCATTGCTGATACCAAACACCCTGAAAATACGTAATCACACTATTCTATGAATAACTGAGATGTGCTTTTCCTAAAGTGTCACTTGTCAGGATAAATACTAGGAGGTGGTTGCTAACATAGTCATTTAGGGCATCAAATGAATGCTGGCACTCGTTAAACTTGGTAAGACGGTTTTAACATCATTTTAAACTTTTACTTATAATGAGAAAACTCAGAATCTAAGATTAACTGTTCAACCTTAACTGCTTCATTTTGTAAAAGTTTCATTTCTAAAAGTTATTACTTTGTTAGTTTTACTCATCTCTCCAAAGTATTAAACTTATAGGACAGCAACATAACTCCTGAATATATTTGTAGTGTTATGTATTGAAAAAGTTTATATAAAATTAAAATAGTGCAATACCAGATTCTCAGATTATGAATAATCTCCATAATTCTTAAAATGTAGACTTATACCTTCTCCACAACTGACATTTAACAAGCACAAACATTGTTTATAGAGGAACAAACTGGCCAGGCTCAGTGGCTCATACATATAATCTCAGCATTTTGGGAGGCTGAAGCAGGTGGATCACCTGAGGTCAGGAGTTCAAGACCAGCCTGGCCAAAATGGAGAAATCCCATCTCTGTTGAACATACAAAACTTAGCCAGGCATGGTGGCACTCACCTGTAATCCCAGCTACTCAGGAGGCTGAGGCAGGAGAATGGCTTGAACCCGGGAGTCAGAGGTTGCAGTGAGCCAAGATGGCACCATTGCACTCCAGCCTGGGCAACAGAGCAAGACTCTGTCCAAAAAAAAAAAAAAAAAAGATGAACAAACCACATGGAAATTGCCATGTCTTGGAGAGCAGCAGTGCGTTTTTGAGAGGTCTTTAGATTGCTGGATGCCTTGTTAAATGAACATAAAGGTTAAAGAGTAAAGTGAGACATGAGGTAAATTTAAAGCTGTGATAGCTGCAGGGTCCTACACAACATAAACTTTATTCACAAACTGGCTCTGCTATTCTTAGCAGCTAAATCTAAACATATGTTACAGGATTCACAGATTCCATCATGTCATGGCTGGTTACCTGATCATCAGAGCCAGAACTTTTGGTGGTGCAAAACTTTGGCAAGTTCTTATAAAAAGGAGAGTGATTTGCATAAAAGGCAAATTTCTCACAAACATTCCCACATAAAACCACACATATGTTCCTCATTTTTGTTGTCGTTGTTGTTTGTTTGTTTTTGGTTTGTTGTAGAGTACATCAACAGAAGCCCTATGAGAAGTACTCTGAAATGTGGATGTATAATCATTAAGATTCTTTTCTACATTCCACTCTTCTGGCTTCAAATGTCCTTTTTTTCCATGCTTCTCATACATAGAAAATACTCTGATTTCCCAAATGAGACAACCCAAAGTCCTGTCCAGTCATGGCATCCAGCTGAGATCCAAGCTCTCTGAAAAATGAGCAGTGGTGGCTACCTAGTGAGATATGCCTCCTCTGGGTCCACAGCCTATAAACAAACAAGTAAAAAACCCAGGTTACCTGCACCTCCCACCTCGCCCTGCCCCGCTCCAAGGATATAAAATGGTGGAACAGGGACAATGAATGCTCAGCTTAGGAAACAGAGAAGCATGTGACACACCAGAAGTCACTGGTCCAAAGTACCACTGTCTTCAGTGGTGAATGCATTAGTTTTTTTATTTTGGCCTGTAGGACCTCTGCTAAAGAGGCAGGAAGAATCTCAATTAAGTATCCTTTTCTACAAATCAAACACTGCAGAGTAGTATCAAATGTTAATAATATTTCCTTTCCCCTCCAGTCTCTCCTTCCCAAATAATAGTTTTACGAGAATCTTTCCACATTTTTCTTCATGCCTTTATAGACGTATAAAAGCGTTTTAGGTTTTTCTTTTATATTTAAGCCATACAGAAAATATATTCTAGGTTTAAACAAATTGAGCTATTCTATTTCCCTATCTGTCCATCCATCTATCTTTCGTTTTCCTTTTACCACATGACACAAACTTCATTCCATAATGCACGTAGTAGCGCTCTCATTTTTTTTCTTTTTTCCTCTCTCTCTTTTTTTTTTTTTTTTTTTTTTTTTAGACAGAGTCTCACTCTGTTGCCCAGGCTGGAGTGCAGTGGCACGATCTCAGCTCACTGCAGCCTCCGCCTCCTGGGTTCAAATGATTCTCCTGCCTCAGCTCTCAAGTAGCTGGGACTACAGGCATGTGCCACCACACCCTGCTAATTTTTGTATTTTGTATTTTTAGTAGAGCCTCGGCCTCCCAAAAGTGCTGGGATTACAGGCATGAGCCACCGTGCCTGGCCTCATTTTTTTTTTCAATAGCTACAAGTATTCCATACCATGCATGTACTAAGATTTAGTCAACCATTCTCTTATTTACAGGTCTTCAGGTTTCTAATTCCCACCTGCCCCCTTGTCTCCCCCAAAATGCAGCATATTCACCAAAATAAAAATATTCTTACACATATACTTGTACAAATATATGGTGCTTTTATTTGTGGGTAACATAATCTCACATGTAGCTTGTTGAATCAAAGGATATGAGCTTTTTCTCTTTAATGGATTATGCCACATTACTATCCAAATTATAGTAATTCATACTTCCACTAGCATGCCACATTATCACTAATAGTGAATGCTATAAATCTTCTGTAATTATCAATCTATCAATCTAACATGTAAAAAATGATATTTCATTGCCTTACACTGTGTATCTTTGACTGCAAACATCTTCTCATATGTCTGATAGTTTAAAAATATGTATTATTATTCATCTATCACAGTCTACCTTCAAATAGTAGGCCAGTTTATGTATAATACAAAAACTTTACAACAGTATGCTTCTATCCTTATATCTTTTGTACTATTTGATTGTACATTTTACTTTCATTTATGTTTTAAGCCCCATGATACATTATTACTATTTTTGCTTTACTTAGTTATCTTTTAAAAAATTAAAAAATATAAAACCCAAAATTTTCTATATTTCCTCATATATTTACAATTGCAAGTGCTATTTATTCCTTTGTATAGATCAAAGTTTCCAGCCGGTATCATTTCCCTTCAGCCTAAAGAACTTATTTTAATATTTCCTATAGGACAGGTCTGCTCTTGACAAACTTTCTTAGCTTTTGTGTTCTTAAAAATTGTTTTATTTTGCCTTCATTTTTGAAGAATTTTTTTTACTGTATGTAAAATTCTAGGTTTACTTCTCCTCCTCCCAGCATATTAAACATATTATTTCATAGTTTTCTGGCTTGCATCGTTTCTGTTGAGAAGTCAGTGTTAAGTCTAATCTTGCATTCCTGTAATTTTTTTTCTCTTAATGCCTTTCAGATCTCCTTATAATGGACTTTCAACTATTATATTATGATGTGCCTTGGTGTGGTTTCCTTTGTGTTTATTCTGCTTAGTATTTATTGAGCTTCTTGGATCTGTGGTTTTGTAGTTTTTGCCAAATTTGGAAAACTTTTCAGATTTATTTCTTCAGTTGTTTCTTCTGCCTACCATCGCTAGATTCTAATTACACAATTTTGGTGTGTTTGATACTGTGCTACAGGTCACTGAGGCTCTATTCACTTTTTTTTCAGTCCTTTTTTTCTCTGCTTCAGTTTGCTGATTGCTATATCTCCAAGTTCATTGCTTTTTCTTCTGCAGTGTCAAATCTGTGAAATCCATCCAATTAGTTTTTTACATAAGTAAGATATTAAAGTATTTTTCAGCTCTGGAAATTCCATTTATTTTTTATAGTTTCAGTTTCTCTTATTATTAGTTTTTCTCTTTAAATCCTTGAGATTTTTATAATAGTTGTAAAATCCTTGTCTGCTATTTCTGTTATCTCTGTTGTTTCTGGGTCTGTTTCTATTGCTGACTTTTCTCCTAGTTATGAGTCTTATTATTTGTGCTTCTTTGCCCATCTAGTAGCTTTTTTCTACTGAACCCTTGAGATTGTGAATGTTGCATGACCTGCAAAGCCTAAGATATTTGTTATCTGGCCCTTTAAAGAAAAGTTGCCGCGCCCTGCCCTAGATGTACAGAATTGGGTTGAGTAAAATTGTCAGTATACGGAGTTCACAGTACGCAATTGTCTTTTTAAATCCACATCCCCTTTTAATTTTTTGTTTTATCTTATTTTCTTTTCCCTTCATTTATCATTCATCTCAATGCTATTCTTCTTTCTACTCCATTGACACTCTTATTTATAAATATCTTCCCAATTCACATCCCTTGTGTTTATTTACATACATATGGATCTGTGATAAAATACATTGCTATATGCTTTAAAATTTTAAATAAATGGTAGTATGTTATAGATTTAATACTGCTTTTAAGTTTTTTCTCCATCAACATTATGTTTTTATAGTCAATCCATGTTGCTACAAGTAGCTTCATTCTTTCAGCCTGCTGCATAGCATTCCATCACCAGCATAAGCCACATTTACATGGCCATGCTCATATTGATGGGCTTCTAGGTTGCCTCCAATTCCTTGCTACCACAAATAATACCTTGATAAAAGAACATCCTAATGTATGTCCCTTGTGTGCATATCTGGGTGTTTCTATGAGGTGTGTATCCAGAAACAGAAGTGCTGGGTCATAAGAGATGCACCCACTCAATTGTACTAAGTACTACCACATTGCTCTCCAAAATTGGCTGTGCCAGTTGGCATTCATATGAGTACCACATAAAAATATGTTTGCCCACATCCTTTCCAGAATTTTGTCTTATCCAACTTTATTTGTTTCCTGTTGCTTTGCAACAAATTACTACAAACTTACTGGCTTATGGCCGGGTGCAGCGGCTCACGCCTGTAATTCCAGCACTTTGGGAGGCCGAGGTGGGCGGATCACGAGGTCAGGAGATCGAGGCCATCCTGGCTAACATGGTGAAACCCCGTCTCTACTAAAAATACAAAAAATTAGCTGGGCGTGGTGGTGGGCACCTGTAGTCCCAGCTACTTGGGAGGCTGAGGCAGGAGAATGGTGTGAACCCAGGAGGCGGAGCTTGCAGTGAGCCAAGATCGCGCCACTGCACTCTAGCCTGGGTGACAGAGCGAGACTCCATCTCAAAACAAACAAACAAACAAAAAAACAAAAAAACTTACTGGCTTACAACAATACAAACTTTTACAGTTCTGAAGGTCTGAAGTTTGAAATGGGTATGGTTGAGCTAAAAACCAACGTGTTGGCAGGGCTGCATTCTCTTCTGGTGCCTCTAGGAGAGAATTCTTTTTCTTGCCTTTCCTAGCTGCTACAGCTACTGGCACTCTGGCTTATGATGGCTTCCTTCCATTTGCAAACACAGCAATAGCCAGTCAAATCCTTCTCACCTCCTATTACTCTAACACTCTTTCTTCTCACTCCTTCTTCCATAGTACAAGAATGCTTGTGACTACATTGGGCTCACCTGAATAACCTCTCAATCTTGAAGTCAACTCACTAACAACCTTAATCCCATCTGCAGCCTTAATTCTCTTTTGTCATGTAACCTAACATATTCACAGACTCTGGGGATTAGGATGTAGATCTCTTTGGGAGGTCATTTTTTTTCTGCCTGCCACATGAACTTTCTAATTTTTGCCAATCTGTAAAGCATCTCAGTGAAGCTAAAATGCACAAAGAACTCCTGTACATTGATAAAGAAAAGAAAATGAATAGGAAATAAGTAATTGATAAAAATAGACAATTCATAGGCGGAGAAACCTGAAAGGCTAATAAATATATGAAAAGATGTTCAACTTCACTATTAATAATAGAAATACACATTAAAACTATACCGAGACCATTTTTGCAATAGTTTCACAGTTGTGCAACCATCACTACAATGAATTTTCTTTCCTTATTTGAGATGGAATTTCCCTCTTGTTGCCCAGGCTGGAGTGCAATGGCGCTATCTTGGCTCACTGCAACCTTCACCTCCCGGGTTCAAGCAATTCTCCTGCCTCAGACTCCTGAGTAGCTGGGATTACAGGTATGTGCCACCACACCTGGCTAATTTTGTAGTTTTAGTAGAGACAGGGTTTCACCATGTTGGTCAGGCTGGTCTCGAACTCCTGACCTCAGGTGATCCACCCACCTCGGCCTCCCAAAGTTCTGGGGTTACAGGTGTGAGCCACCGTGTCCAGCACAATCAATTTTAGAACGTTTCATCACCCCCAAAATAAATACAGTAGCCTTTAGTTATCATCCTTAGCCCCTCTCTCCCTGCACCCCACATTCTTGCAAAACAGTAATCTACTTTCTGTATCCATAGATTTGACTATTCTAGATAGTTAATGCAAATGAAATTATGTAATATGTAGTCTTTTGCAACTGGCTTATTTTACTTAGCATAACGTTTTCAAGGTTTATCTGTATTGTGGCGTGTATCAGTACTTCATTCCTTTTTAGAGACGAACAACATTCCGTTGTATTTATACATTGCTTTTTGTTTATCCATTCATCAGCTGATAGACATTTTGATTATTCTACTGTTTTAGTGGAATGATGCTGCTATGAATATTCATATACAAATTTTTCATGGACATATGTTTTCATTTCTCTTGAGTATATTCCTAGGAGTAAAATTGCTGGGTTAAATAGTATGTTTAAGTTTTCAAGAAACTGCCAGACTGTTTTCCAAAATGGCTGCATCATTCTAAATTCCTACTATCAGTAGTATATGAAGGTTCTGAGTTTTCCACAGCCTCACCAAAACCTGTTGTTATATCTTTCTGATTATAGCCATCCTACTGAATGTGAAGCAATATCTTTCCCTGTTTTATTTGCATGAGACCATTTTTTTACATATCATATTGATAAAGATAAAAACTTGAAAAAAAACACTGAGATGGAGAGAAAAATTGAGAGAAAACAGTACATTAACCTACATTGCTGGTGGCCATGTACATTAGCGTAACCTCTATGGAGGGCTATTGTTTTAGCTATCAAAATTTTAACTGCACATAACCTTTGACTTAACAATTCCTCATCTAGCAATTTGAACTTAAAATATTCTTGCACTTGGAAATGTGGAAAATGATGTATGTCCAGGGATTTTTGCAATAACATTGTTGGTACCAATTTCCATTTATATGGTGTTGGTTATATACAAGGAATATGATGCTTCACTTTAAAACAATGAAACAGCTTTATTTGTACTGATGTGAATTATCCCCAAGATATATTCATATGTGAAAAAAGTGAAGTGCAGATGAATGTTCTACTATGCTGTCATTTTGTAAAACAATAAGAAAAAGATATTTGCCTATGTATGCCTAGGATATCTCTAAAAAAATGCAAAAGAAAAAAAGAGTGACTGCCCCAGAAAAGGAAATTGGATGGCTGGGAAAGATGGGAGGAGATTTTAAAGTTATATTTCTTTTTGTATCTTTGAATTTTGAGCTATATGTTTGCTATACCTATTTTGTAAATAATGTTTACTTAAAATTTTTTACACACAAAATTCTGGCATTACTTATTATGTTAATTCTAACTTTGTTGTTTGTCATTATGATAAAAGAACTCTTTTGGTTACATTTTCTAATTGGGTGTTGCTGGAACCAAGGGACACTTTTTTTTTTTTTTTTTTTTTTTGAGACAGTCTTGCTTTGTCGCCCAGGCTGGAGTGCAGTGGCACGATCTCAGCTCACTGCATCCTTGACCTTTTGGGCTCAGGTGATCCTCCCACCTCAGCCTGGTGAGTAACTGGGACTATAGGAATGCAACACCACTCCCAGCTAATTTTTTTGTATTTTTAGTAGAAAAGGGATTTTGCTATGTTGCCCAGGCTGGTCTTGAACTCCTGGACTCAAGCAATTCACCTGCCTCTGCCTCCCAGAGTGCTGGGATTATAAGCATGAGCCACCACGTTTGGCCCACTAGTGCTTTTTATATACTGATCTTGTTTTGGTAAACTTTATAACAATCTGTTACAACAGTTTATTTTATTGGTTATAATAGTTTATCTTGTATCTTTTAAATGCAAATGATTATATCACCTAAAAATAGTGAAACCTTTGTCTCTTCACTTCTAATTCTTCTTATTTCTTTTTATTGTATTATTGTGTTGTTTTGGTGGAGTTTTCTTTTTCCCATTCTCACTAATGGGACAGCCCTGTGTGGTTCCCAGGGTTATGCAAGATTTCCATCAAGCACAGGTCCAAGACTGATCACTTAACTCTCCTAAGCAGTATTAAAACTCCAGTCCTAAAGGCCTATAATTGTTTCTTTTACTCCTGTGAGCTGTTCTGTTTTCTCTCTCACTTGATGCCCTTACTTTGGGCCTCTTTTCATTTCTGGCATATGGGGTTGTTCTTTCTTGCTTTTTGCGTGGCTATATATTTTAAACAATTAAAAAACATGTTTAGATCATTGGGGAAAAAAAGAAAAAATAATAGGATTTCTATCTGTTCGGAGTTAGAGAGAGCTTCCTGTATCAGTCTAGTCTGCCATATTATTTTCTGGATGTCTCTGCCTGATCATCCTCCCTTTTAATTCCCCTTACTGTCCTTATTTTTTTCCCCACTCATTCAAAGGCAGGTACATTTGTCATTTGTCAGAATTTTTTTTTTTTTTTTTTTTTTTTTACCATCTTTGCTTCTCTCCATATTCTCTTTCCTTTGGTGTATCAGTATTCTACTGCTACGTCATGAATTGCCGTAAATGTAGGGCTTGGAACAATACATTATCATCTTATGGTTTTGGCAGCTCAGGAGTCTAGGCACAACTTAACTATGTTCTCTGTTTGGAGTCTCACAAGTCTGCAGTCACCGTGTGGACCGGGGCTATGACAGCATCTGAGGTTTTTGTTCTCTCCCAAGTTCAACAGGGTTGTTGGCTGAATTCATTTCCTTGCATCTGATGAACTCTTGGTGGCTTGCTTCTTCAAGGCAAGCAGGAAGATTTCTTTGAACTCAGGGAGGGCTTCAGTCCCTCTTTTAAAGGGCTCATCTGATTAGATGAGGTCTATCCTAGATAAGCTCCCTTTTGATTAACACAAAGGTAACTGATTAGGGACCTTAATTACAGCTGCAAAATACCTTCACTTTTGCCACATGAAGTAGCACAATTACAGGTGTGATATCCCTATCACCTATACCATATTCCGTTGGTTAGAAACGGGTCACAGTTTCTACCCACACTCAAAGAGGAGGGCACTACATACGGGTGTGAATACAAGGGAAGGAGAATCATAAGCTATCTTAGAATTCTGCTTATCACATTTAGTAATCTCACACTTAGATCTGTTGAAATGCACTCCTTAGCAGGAAAGACTCTCAAATCACAATCCTAATTTCAGTTTCTTTTCCAGTGCTGTTTCAACTTAACGAACACCTCTGTCTCCAAACTCAAACGCAGTAAACCTTGAGAGTCAACATGAATTAATATATCTACAAATTCTCTCATGGAAAATGCTTGCTTCCGTCGATAATTTAAACTTATCCTTTAGAGTTTTGAGTTTCCTTTGCATATATCCACTTCAGAAACTGATCTTTTTCACTTTGGTAGGACCAATATATAAATCAGTTGAGGTTTATTTGCTAGGCTCCCAGCTGGGCTACTAAGTGAGTTGCTGTTTTGTAGCAGTGCCTCAGGATTTGAATGTGCCTTGGCATCACTACAAATTACTACACATCGTGCACCTCAGGTATCTCCAAAGTAGTCAAATCTGTGAACACTATAGGGGCTTCTATTTAGGTTGGTGCAAAAGAAATTGCAGTTTTTCCATCACTTTTAATGCAAAAGCTACAGTTATTTTGTACCAACTTAATATATGATTAAAACCCAACTTTCCTCTACTCCTCTAACCCAGCTATTTTTCAAGATGTTCATAGGTCAGTTAATGGTATCACTACCTTGCAAACCATCTAGTCTCACAGTTTAAAGTGGTCTGTAAACTTGAGTTGAGGACATTTAAGAAAGGAATCTCCTCATTTAATATGCAAAAAGGCATACGTGCATTTTTTTTTTCAGGAATGAATGTTTTTAACTTCCTTTAGATTTTCAAAAGGGTGTACAACTAAAGAATTTTGATTTGGAGTCAATTCTGTGTATTCCTCTCTCCTTCCTTTTACTTGATTGTTAAATCCTTTTAACTTTGCCACCTTGATATTCTATGTATTCCTATTGTCATTACTAGTATTTGATTTCATTGCCTTTGTATTATTCTCCTAATCATTCTTGCCAATTTAATCTTCCTCAAGCTCATATTTGAACATTTGTTTAACCAATCATTTAGTGTGCAGTGCTAATTGCTGAGAATATCAAGATGGGTAGAATTTAATGTCCTCAGTCTGTTCTCAATTTTGGGAGGAAAACAGATATAAAGATTTTTCTAAAAGCATGATATGTGCAAGAATAAGTTACAAAATGTACACACTGCTATGGCAATAATCCGAAGAGGATCTGACTCATTCCTAGGGAATCAAAAACAGAGTGGCACTGGATGTGACACTTGAGGTGGGTCCAGGAGGATGAATAGGAACTTTGCAGGCACAAAAGATTGTGGAAGGACCATTTATGGTGATGGAATAGTATGGTTAGAAGCAAGAAGTCAAAGTGCAGGTTGAGCTTGGGGAGGTTTGCATAATTCCTGTGAGACACAAAAATTCACGAGGTGTGAATGGCAGTAGAATAGGTCACCTCAAAATATGCCACTTTGGCATAAAGATTACTTTAAGCTCAAGGTACCTTAAAAAAAAAAAAACAGCAGGTGCAAGAAGGGTTTTCCTGGCAGAGGACAAAGGCAGAGAGGCATGTTACCTCTAGGGAAGATAGTTGTCCTTTGTCCTGGACTATAAAGAGAACTATTGAGGGACTGAAAACATTGAACTAATCCTCTTTTTAAGTCACTCTTGAAACAGAGAGGAGAATGACTTGGAGGAAGAAGAGAATGGGTACTCTGTGGATGGGGCAGAAAGATGCAGAGGGGGCCAGGCATGGTGGCTGACACCTGTAATCCCAACACTTTGGGAGGCCAAGGAGGGTGGATTGCTTGAGGCCAGGAGTTCGAGATGAGGCTGGCCAACATGGTAAAACCCTGTCTCTACTAAAAATACAAAAATTAGCTGGGCGTGGTGGTCTGTGCCTGTAATCCCAGTTGCTGGGGAGGCTGAGGCAGGCAAATCACTTGAACATGGGAGGTGGAGGTTGCAGTGAGACGAGATCGTATCACTGCACTCCAGTCTGGACAACAGAGTGATACTCTATCTAAAAAAAAAAAAAAAAAAAAAATATGCAGGGAGAGTAAGGTGGCACACTCCACAACTTCACAATAAGACTTGACCAAGCGATTGTGAAATGTCACAGAAAACAGGAAATAAAACTCTCATATGGAAGATGTCCTCCCTGTACCAGAAGGAAAGTAACATTGTTATCATCAAAGTCAGAAAGTTGAGATCAAAAGAATTCTGTACAAACAGACCTTATGAATATATATATATATATATATTTTTTTTTTTTTTCCTGGTGGAGTTACCCAACCTTCATGGGTCATTTGTAGTCCTGCCTGGATTGAGCTGTTATAATTTCCCATTGACCTTAATCATAGGGCATAGTAATACCAAGAGACACCCTAATGGATCTCTTGTATTCCATGCATACTCTTTCTCACCTCTGTAATGGAATAATAGACTGATTTCACCTTGATAGTCTGGGTCAGTCACCCCAGCCAACACTGTAACTCCCTTCTTAGCCTGTTGACTTAAAGGTAGGAGGAGCCCAAAGTGTCCAGGTGGCAATCTTAACTTCCACTTTAATGAAATCATTGTTGTGTCTCCTGGTGGCAGCGTACCTCCCTCTGGAACTAAGACCTCTAGGCCAGAAGAACATAATGTTGCAGGAACAGGAAGCAAAAAATTTGCTAGTGGATCACTAGGGGTGATGGTGAGGGGTGCCACTTCCACCCCTTGATTCCTGGACCTGTGAATCCTGGCTTTGGGAGAAACAGTAACATATTGGACACTGATTCAGAGCATACCCGGCCTTCTGGAGAACTTTGTCCCAGCCCTGCAAAGTATTGTCATCTAGTTGGCACAGTAATTGTGACTTCAATAGGCCATTCCACCATTATATCAATCCAGCTTCTTCAGGATGATGGGGAACATGGTAAGACCAGTGAATTTCATAAGCATGAGCCCACTGCCACACTTCTTTACCCCTAAAGTGAGTCCCTTGGTCAGAGGCAATGCTGTGTGGAATACCATGATGGTGGATGAGGCATTCCATGAGTCCATGGATGGTAGTCTTGACAGAAGTATTGCATGCAGGATAGGCAAACCCATACCCAGAGTAAGTGTCTACCAGTGAGGACAAACCTCTGCCCTTTGCATGACGGAAGAGGTCCAATATAATCAACCTGCCACCAGGTAGCTGGCTGATCACCCCAAGAAATGGTGCCATATCAAGGGCTCAGTGTTGGCCTCTGCTGCTGGCAAATTGGGCACTCAGCAGTGGCCATAGCCAGGTTAGCTTTGGTGAGTGGAAGTCCATGTTGCTGAGCCCATGCGAAACCTCCATCCCTGCCACCATGGCCACTTTGTTCATGGGCCCACTGGGCGATGAAAGGGGTTGCTGGGGAAAGAGGCTGAGTGGTGTCCACAGAATGGGTCATCCTATCCACTTGATTATTAAACTCCTCCTCCACTGAGGTCACCCATTGGTGAGCATTCACACAGAATACAAATATCTTCACAGTTTCTGACCCCTCAGAGAGGTCCATCCACATACCTCTTCCCCAAATTTCTTTGTCACCAATTTTCCAATCATGCTTCTTTCAAGTTCCTGACCATCCAGCCAAACCATTGGCTATAGCCCATGAATCAGTATATAATTTCACATCTAGCCATTTCTCCTTCCATGTGAAGTGCACAAGCAGGTGCACTGCTCGAAGTTCTGCCCACTGGGAAGATTTTCCTTCACTGTCGTTCTTCACGGATGTCCTAGAAAGGGGCTATAGTGCTGCAGGTCCACTTTCGGGTGGTGCCTGCATATTGTGCAGAACCATCTGTGAACCAGGTCCTAGTCTTCTCTTCGTCTGTCAACTGATCATAGAGAACTCCCCATGAGGCCATCAGTGCAGGCTGGGGGAGAAAAGGCAGGGTGGCAGGAGTGGAGATCATGGACATTTGAGCCACTTCCTCATGTAACTTACTTGTGCCTTCAGGAACTGCTTGAGCCTTATCACGTGTATACCACTTCCATTTCATGATGGAATGCTGCTGTGTGTGACCCACTTTATGGCTAGATGGGTCAGAAAGCACCCAGTTCATGATAGGCAGTTCAGGTCACATGGTGACCTGATGACCCATAGTCAAACGTTCAGTTTCGGCCAAAGCCCATTAATTACCTGACCTCCATAAGCCCCTACTTTAACTGGAGGACCACAGTGACATTTTGGATCCCCTGGAATCAACATCAGCTCAGAGCCAGTGACAAGTAGTCTCTGAAATGTCTGATCATTTCCCTTTCCCCAGTGCACAGTTACCCTGGTAAAAAGTCAGCTGTCTCCTTGGGGAAGGATGGGAGAAAAATTCACTGAATAAATTGTCGGTAATGTAGTGGGGTCCTTCTCCAAGGGGATGCGGCTCCCCTTCATTCAAGGGGTTCTAAGTCTGTAAACTGGCTCAAGTCTGGAAATTGATTGAGGGGCTGTGACTCTCTGTTTTTATAATTCAAATTAGTCTTTTGTCCATTCGACCTAAAAGTTTTCTGTTTGTGTACTTTAAATAGGAATGCAGTAGGCTTCCTGTCAATTTCGCTTCTAGGAACACCATGATTAATTAGCCAATGCCAGAGTTCTACATGAGTCAGACTATTCTGATTTCTGCTTTGCCTCTGCTGTCCATTACAGGAGCTACATCCACCTTGCCTTTGACAGTCGAGTGCTGCTACTTGGCCCCTGCCACCTTGTGATCTGATCATTCCCATTGTATTTAAATTTTGTAGTTCCCACTATTAGATCTGACATACAGAGAAGAGCGATTACAGGACTCTTCAAAGATGCAGGTGCCGCCCTCGCAAATCTATTTCACAAGGCATTAGTTAAGGGTATATCTTCTGGATCCTCCCAGCTGGGATGAGAGGTCTAAAGTGACTAATCTACTCCACTGTCCCAATCTCCCTAAGCCTTTGGATCCCTTCTTCTCCATTAAACCAAGAGAGATCAGGCATTTCCAGCTCGCTCACAGTGGGCCATATTTTAATCCATATTTCAGCTAACCAAGCAAATAAACTATTAGAACCTTTTTTAACTCCCTGAGCTGCAACATTAGATGCAGAGTCCCTACTTAGTGGGCCCAAATCAATAAATTCAGCCTGATCCTACTCTATGTTCCTTCCAACATTATCTCATACCCTTAATATCCATTCCCATGCCTGTTCTCCAGATGGCTGTTTATATTAATTAGAAAACTCACAGTTTTTTTCAAGTGTAGTACACCTCCTTATGGGTCACACTCTCAACCTCACCTCTAGGGGCCCGCCAGGACTTTCATCTAGTTGTAAGTCTAGAAGCAAACAGAGGTGATGAGTGTGACTTCTGAGGAAAATCAGCATTACCTTGCCTGGCAACTGCCTCAGGGGAGGCCATCACTGTTGCCTCAGGCAGCACAGGGTTTATCTCCTCAGACAAAGGTGGAAAGGCTGATGGCAGCGTGGGTCCAGGAGGGGATGTTGCCACTACTGGGGATTAGGAAGCTGTTCCTTCTGGCAAAAAAGTTCATCAGAGTTTACAAACTCAGTGTCCTCAGCTTCATCAGGGTCCTCCCACACGTCCCCATTCCAAGTTGCAGGGTCCCATTCTTTTCCAATCAATGCCCTCTCTTTAACAGTAGACACCTGGCGAGGCTGTGCACGCATCTTTCACTGCAGGTCAGCCACTCACATAATAAGAGCGCGTGTCTGTTTGTCCACAATTTCAGCTCTTTCTCTACAGGAAACAAGACTCTCACTCAGGGAAATCTTAGCAGATTTGAGGCTCAGTATCTGCTTCTGAAGCCAGGACAGAGAATCCCTGATTTCATCATTTTCTGTAATCACTTTGTCCACTGAGTTTAGGAGCAACCAACCAGCTTCATTATGTTCCTTGGTTCTCCACATATGGTCAAAGTTACTATGTATAGAGTCACTAAACTCCTTGCCTCTCATGAGTGGTGAATTAGGAGCATCAAATGCATTTATTTTGCATAACTCTCTAAAGAGCTCATGCCAAGGACTATCAGTGTTATCTATACTATTGGAAGTACAGTCCCTAGCATTGTGGGGTCTAATCATATTAAGCAGCCAACTCCAGAAACCCCAAAACCAACTAAAGAACTCCATCCTTAATATTCTGTTCCTCTAGAACCATTCCTGGTACCAAAATCTGTATTAGTCAGGGTTCTTTTAGAGGGACAGAACTAATAGGATATGTTTATGTGTGTGTGTGTGATGTACACATACATATATATATATATGAGTTTATTAAGTATTAACTTACACTATCACAATATCCCACAATAGGCTGTCTGCAAGCTGAGGAGCAAAGAGAGCCAGTCTGAGTCCCAAAACTGAAGAACTTGGAGTTTGACGTTTGAGGGCAGGTAGCGTCCAGCAGGGGAGAAAGATGTAGGCTGGGAGGCTAGGCCCATTGTCTCTTTTTCACATTTTTTCTGCCTGCTTTATATTCGCTGGAAGCTAAGGCAAATTAAGGGTGGATCTGCCTTCCCCAGACCATTGACTCAAATGTTAATATTTTTGGCAACACCCTCACAGACACACCCAGGATTAATACTTTGTATCCTTTAATCCAATCAAGTTGACACTCAGTAGTAACCATCACACAAGGATTGGTGATGATGCTCTTTGTTCAGGCAGTACCAGGAGGCAAACAAGAGACAGACACCTGAGCACAACTCAACAGACCTGACAATAGAACCATCTCAGAAAGTCAGCTTCTAAGAAACCAATTCTAGTTATATATTTTCCCATCTAAACCTAATTGACAAGAGACCAGGGAAGACAGAATTTGCAGGACCAAGTCTTGGAAGAAAAAGAAAACCTAGATATGTGAGCCTGGTATTTGGACTCTCTTTCCCCTTAGAGGAACCCGACAAAGTGGCTGGTGGCTGAGGAGCTCCACGAGGTGTCCTGTGAGCTGTAGGGACAAAAAAAAGTGGAGGAAAAAAAAGACAAAGCTAGAAAAGGCTAGAAAAGGTTCCCTGGTAGACACTTCAGGCATTCAGCGGGGATCCTGAAGGGCATCATCTCAGGAATAAATGTGAATGAGAACAGACTTCACAAGAACTGAGGCCTAGCTTTGGATTATTTTAATCCCAGATTGCATTAAGATGACCTACTTCTGGCCAAACTTGCTGCCAGAAGCAAATGTTAATCCTCTGTGGAGGAAGAGAACATTTTCCAAAGCCTCAAATTGCTCTTATAATTTTTCACATACAAATGTTTAGAGGTGAGTTAAGAAATAATTCGGCCTACAAAAATAATATATAATTGACCCCTAACTGGAAAGAGCCATGGGAGATATAAATATTGGAATTTTTAAATGTGTATTTTAATGAGCATTTTAGTTCTCATAAAACTAAACAAATTAAATTAAGAAGTTAATGTTTAAGAAATTAAATAACAAAATGGAAAAGTTTGGCAGAGAAGTGACAACTATAAAAATTAATCAAATGGAAATTCTAGGACTGAAAAAATACAATTACAAAGCAAGAACTGATGCAGCTGAAAAGAAAATAAGTACATTGGAATACAGGCCAGAACAAAATATGCAGACTGAAGCAGGGAAAGACAAAAAGATCTAAGAGACATATGAAACAGAATAAAAAGGTCTAGCATACATGTAACTGGATTCCACAGACAGAAGAAAAAGAATATAGCAGAAGAAATACTTGAAGAGATGATCTCTGAGAGTTTTCCAAAATGACAAAAGTTATCAAGCCACAGATTTAAGAAAGATAAATATCAAGAAGTCCTAAGCAGAATTCATGATAATAAAACCATAGACTTAAAGACTTAATGTTATCAAAATACCAATTTTTCTGCGGAATAACTTATAGATCCAATGCAAGAGCAGAGAGGAAAATATGTTTTTTTTTCAATCAATGGTGCTGGATCAATTAAATATATGTTTCGAAAAATACATATTGAACTCTTCCTTACACCATACATAAAAAGAAATTTCAGGTGGATCATATGTCTAAATATAAAATGTAAAACAAACAAAAGTTTTGAAGAGACATAGAGAATGTCTCACTACTTTGGAGGAAGCAAAGATTTTCTAAATAGAAAAAAGAAAAGCACTAGTCGTAAAGGGAAACATTGACAAATTGGACTATATTAAAATTAGGGACTTCAATTTATTGGAAGATATCATTAGAAGAATGGATGGAGATAGTGGTAACCCATGTAACCAACAGCAGAGGGCCTGAAGAAAAGGCTCGAGTCAAAGAGATATCAAGAGCTTCTATCAGCAGATAACTCAAAAGAAAAATGGACAAGAGACTTGAAGAGACACTCATACAAAAAAGATGTTATGAGCTGAATGGTATCCCCCCAGGTTCATATGTTGAAGCCCCAACTCCAGTACCTCAGAATGTGACTGCATTTGGAGATAGTGCCTTTAAAGAAGTAATTAAGTTAAAATGAGGTCAGGGGGTGGGCCCCAATTCAATATGACTGCTGTCCTTATAAAGGGGAGATTAGGACACACACAAACGGGGGAAGACCGTGTGAAGACACAGGGAGAACACAGTCCTCTACATGTCAAGGAGAGAGCCCTCAGAAGAAAGCAAACCTGCCAACACCTTAATCTTCTAGACTTCTAGCCTCCACAATTGTGAGAAAGTAAATTTCTGATGTTTGAGTCACCCAGTCGGTGGTACCTTGTTATGACAACCCTAGCACACGAATACAGAGGGTATTCAAAAGGTCAATAAATGCATGAGATGGTGCTCAACCTTATTAGTCATCTGGGAAATGCAAATTAAAACCACAATAGGATACCACTTCTCACCCACCAAAATTGCTAAAATTAAAACATCTGACAATGCCAGATATGTTAACTATTACTCTAATTGTCAACTCAGTTAATGTATATTTGAAGCGTTACTCCAGGCACCATACTAAAGAAATGGGCCACAAAGATAAACAAGACAGACACTGTCTCTACCCCTCCTTGAGCTTATAGTCCAGGAGGAAAGACAGACGACCAAACTAGTTAATGGAAATAATACATGCGAAGGGTTATGGTTGTGAAAGTGTAAAGGCCTTTGGAGACACAAAGCAAGAACATCTAGCCTAATATGGAGGCAAAGTCAGTGGCAATTAAGAATAAAAGGTCAGCATTTCATGGATCTCCTGACGAGAACTGGATTGAGATATATGGGCTCCACAAACAGGCGGATAACTAGTGCTCCTGCAGAAAGGTGGTTGGTTTTCAAATGTTCAACATTCATTCAAAGATGAGGCCAAATCTGTTTGGAGGAGAGCAGAGAAGGACCACAGGTTCTGCCTCTGCCTCTCCCCTACTGTTTACAGCAATCCTGTTCTGGTTCCAACTCAAACTCGTCAAAACAGAAGGCTACAATCAAGGCTGGCTCCATGGGCATGTGACCTGTGAAGCTGCACACGCTCCAAGAGTAGAATAGCTCTGTGTTTGGTTAAATGCTTTGTTATCACTTTTTTTAAATTCTTAATAATTGTTGACTGATGGGCCCCACATTCTCATTTTGCACTAGGACCCTCATATTAGGGGCCTAGTGCAAACTAACTACTGTGCTACTACTACTGCTACTACTACTGTAGTGACTTCAACTAACTACACTCGTAATACTTAGCAGATTAGCATGCACCTTGGGAGTCTGATCTGAAAAGGGCTGTTGGAAACGCAGCCTCTCTGGGCCTATTCCAGAACAGCTGAATCAGAATCTGCATTTTATTTTTTATTTTATTTAATTAATTAATTAACTTTTTTTTTTGAGACAGGGTCTCGCTCTGCCACCCAGGCTGGAGTGCAGCGGTGCGATCTCAGCTCACGGCAACCCCCACCTCCCAGGTTCAAGCGATTCTCCTGTCTCAGCCTACCTAGTAGCTGGGACTACAAGCGCACACCAGCACGCTCGGCTCATTTTTTTATTTTTAGAAGAGACAGGATTTCACCATATTGGCAAGGCTGGTCTCAAACTCCTGAGCTCAAGTAATGTGCCCACCTTGGCATCCCAAAGTGCTAGGAAAAACCTGCATTTTAAAAGCTCCCCTGGCAATTTGAAGGCACATTCAAGTTTGAGAAGTGTTGACTGAGAACATCTCCTCCCTAATACGCGCAAGAGTGGAGCTAGTTCCCCATCACCCCTCTGGTGAGCATGTGACTTGACCTGGCCAATGAGAATACCATATTTCCTGTCAACGATGATTATTTAGTTCATGGATAAGCATGTGACTCCAGTTATGCCAAACAATCTAAACATTGGAATTTGTATGGGAACTACTGAGCTGAGGCTGTCTTGTTTTTCCAGGACTGTAACAGTAAGGATGACCTGAGTCTGGAGGTATATGTGTAAGCCTAGAAATGATGCCAACATTGCAGAAAGACAAGTCAAGAAATGGGAAGAAACAGTCTTGATGCTGAAGAGGTTAAGGATATAATGCTCCAAAATGCTCAGCTTGTACTTTATTTCTAGCTGAAAGCACTTGAGAAGCAGCAGCTGCAGAAAGCACCATCTGAACTGCCCTTTCTTACCTATAGCAAGCCATAAAAATTCCTGTGAGAAAGCTGCCTTCAAGCCAGGCGTGAAGGTGCACACCTGTAGTCTCAGCTACTCAGGAGGCTGAGGCAGGAGGATTGCTTGAGCCCAGGAGTTCAAGGCTGCAGTGAGCTATGATCACACCACTCCACTGCAGCCTGAGTAACAAAGTGACACCTCATCTCTTAAAAAAAGAAAGGAAGGTACAGGTATAAAAAAGAATGAGCTCATGTCCTTTGCAGGGACATGGATGAAGCTGGAAGCCATCATTCTCAGCAAACTAACACAAGAACAGAAAACCAAACACCGCATGTTCTCACTCAAAAGTGGGAGGTAAACAATGAGAACACATGGACATAGGGAGGGGAACATCCCCTGACAGGGGCCTGTCAGGGGGCAGAGGACAAGGGGAGGGAGAACATTAGGACAAATAGCTAATGCATGTGGGGCTTAAAACCTAGATGACGGGTTGATAGGTGCAGCAAACCACCATGGCACGTGTATACCTATGCAACAAACGTGCACATTCTGCACATGTATCCCAGAACTTAAAGGAAAGAAAGAAAGAGAGAAAGAGAAAGAGAGAAAGAGAGAAAGAGAGAAAGAGAGAAAGAAAGAAAGAAAGAAAGAAAGAAAGAAAGAAAGAAAGAAAGAAAGAAAGAAAAAGCTGCCTTGCCTGTTCCAGCATGAGAAGATAACCCTTATTAGCCATGACTGAGAAGTGATGCTGCAATGGATCCGAATAAATAAGCTTACTAAAATAATCCTCCTCTTTCACTAGCCTTACAGCCCTCCATATATCTCTTAGTGATTACCCTAGAATTTACTGCCCCTAGCCCAGACCCAGTCTTGTCATTTCTTCACAAAATGTATCATTCTTTGCCTGAAAGGTATAAAAGCTTTCTGCTTTGGCCATTTCTTTGGGTCTTCCCTCTCTTGTGAGGATCCCCATGTATATGTAAAATTAATAAAACCTGTATGCTTTTGTCCTATTAATCTATCTTGTATCAATTTGGTTGAGATGGAGCAGGGAACCCTTTTAGGGGCCTCCTGGGGACTTCCTTCAAACATGGAAATAAAGGAAAGTCTTGAGTACCTTCAAGGGAAATTCCAGGCACCCAGCTAGCCTTGAGAAGTACATGAGCAACCTGATAATCAAGAAGGTAATAACAGCTTAAAACAATAGCCAGGAAAGTTAAAGTCCCAAAATGTTTGGCTCCATGTAGAAACTAAAGATAACATCTCCGGCCCCAAGTTGTTTTTCAGAAACCTGGACCGCTACCCAATGGAAAATGTCATCTGCTGGCACATAGACCTCAGATAAGGGAGCACTGAGGACTGAACCCTGATCACCATCCTGTGTCCTAAATTTCTTCCTGAGGGTCCTGAAGGAAGTCCTGCCCACAGGCCAGAGCTCAACATTTCTTCCTGCTGATGCCAAGTTTTTAGACAAAGCTTTGCTTCCCTAACAAATCACAAATCAGAGAATCTTTTTGAATCCACCTATGACCTGTGGGCCACCGCCACCCCGCACCCCAGTTTGAGAGGTCCTGCCTTTTTAGGTCAAATTAATATATAACCTCCATGTACTGATTTATGATTTTGCCTGGAACCTTTGACTTCCCATCTTTTTTAAAAAAATGTTATTTATTTATTTATTTTTTAAATAGAGACACATTCTTGCCATGTTGCCCAGGCTGGTCTTGAACTCCTGGGGTCAGACAATCCTCCCACCTCAGCCTCCCAAAGTTCTGGGATTACAGGCATGAGCCACTGTGCCCAGCGTGCCTCCCCATCTTTAAAAACTCTTACCTATAAGCCATTAGGGAGTTCTGATCTTAAGCATAAGCTGCCAATTCTCCTTGCTTGGTGCCCTGCAATAAATGCCTCATTTTCTCCAGCTGCAAATCCTGATGTCAGTGTTTGGCTTTGCTGTGCCACCGAAGTTTGGTTCAGTAACAGCTCCTAGACCCAGCAGAAGATTTTACTTAAAAACAAAGATGGGCAAGTCACGGTGGCTCACGTCTGTAATCCCAGCACTTTGGGAGGCCGTGGCAGGCAGATCACTTGAAGTCAAGAGTTCGAGAGCAGCCTGGCCAACATGGTAAAACCCTGTCTCCGCTAAAAATACAAAAATTAGCTGGGCGTAATGGTGTGTGCCTGTAATCCCAGCTACTCAGGAGGCTGAGGCAGGAGAATTGCTTGAACCCGGGAGATGGAGGAGAGCCGTGAGCCGAGATCGCGCCACTGCACTCTAGCCTGGGCAACAGAGCCAGACCTCATCTCAAAAAAACAAAACAAAACAATCAACAAAAACAAAAAATCAAAAACCCAAAACCCCAAAGATGGGTAGAGGGGGTCTTTAGGCTCCCTTACAATGCCATTGCTTGAGCTCCTGGATCAAGGTGTGCTTGAAGTTAAAAATCTATCCTTGGACCTTTCAGTTTCATTTAAGTTCATTGGAGTCAGGTTTTCTGTTTTTTGGTACTAAAAGAGCCCTGATGGATAAACGCCTTCTGTTCACAATTGCCTAAGATGACTCTCAGAGATAGAGAGAGATGTTTTGCTGTAAGGGTGTGCACACATCAATAGATGAACTCCTTGCTCAAATTATCCAGTTTGGTTGTTAAGTTGCAGAAATTCACAGGATAATTACCAAATTTCCACTTTGTTTTGCTTTGGATACTAGTCCTTGATTAAAAATATTTTCTATCTGTATGTGTTTTTCTGCGGTTTTAATACATAGAATTCAATTGTAGGTACTCATGGAGGACCAATCGATTCCTATGTGTAATAACATGTTTCCTTCTGGAATGTAACTTTCCTAGGCCATTCACTGAGCCAACAATGCTAAGAATAAATATTCACATAAGGAATATATGCCTAAAAGCATAGCGCTAACAAAGTCCTCCCTCCCTCATATGTCCAGTTTCTCCTTTAATTGTAGCTTATGTGCCATTATCTCAAGGAAATGATTAACCAACTTTATCTTTAATACCACATCAGAGTCCTCTTTCCCTCAAAGCATTCCAAACCATGTTTTATTTCCCTCTGACTATACTGTAGGTAGCTGAATGCCCTGGGTAAAGAATTTTCTCAGCACGTGCTTGTTGAATTCTGTTAAATCTATACACACTCACAAGCAGGGTAAATGCTATAAAGTATTTTAAGGTTACAAATCTAACTTAATTATAAATCATTAGCGCTGGAAGACACCAAGAGTCGTTAGCTGAACCCACCCTTACCGTAGATCAATCTCTCACTCTCTCAAGAAGAAAAAACATAGATGTAACTACAGCCCACTCTACTCCTTCCTTCTTCCTCCCTTTCTGCCCAGAGGTAAGCTCTAAGGTGATGTTGGCATATATCAATCTGATGTATGTTTTTGTACTTTTATGATGTATGTTAGTGCCTGAAAATTTACATAAATTGAATCATATTTAGTGTATTTTCAGTGTGCTTTTTTTCACTCGATGTTACATTTTTTAGTTTACCCACATGGATCAACATGGCTGTGCCCTAGGACACACCTGCACGTGAGCACACGGAACAATGAATACAGCCGTTCACTGCAGCACTGCTCATAACAGGGAAGAAATAGAAACCACTCAGTTTAGAGGAATGAGTGAGCTATTTGTTTCTATAATGGAATGCCAATCCACAGTTAAAACAAATAACTTTTGTATTTTACAGAAGAGGGGCGTGGTCCAGAGAAATTCTGTGAAATGACAAATGTCACTCAGATGGATAATGGGAAATCTGAACCCAAAACCAGGACTCCTGAGTCTAAGCCTAGCGGTCTTTCTAATGAACCTTATCTTTTGTAATAATTTAAACTTCCAGAAAAACTGTGAAAACAATACATACAAAGAATTCTCCTATACTTTTTACCAGATTAGCTATTTTTAACTTTTTGCCACATTTTCTTTTCTTTTCTTTTAAATAGAGACAAGGTCTTGCTATATTGACCAGGCTGGTCTCGAACTCCTGGATCGCTTGAGGTGATCCTCCCATCTTGGCCTCCCAAAGTGCTGGGATTACAGGCATGAGCCACCGCGCCTGACCACGTTTGTTTTATTCTCTCTCTCACTCTCTCTGTTTAGAGATATAATTTTTTCCCTAAACCATCCAAGAGAGAGGTTGCTTGAATATATAATGGCCCTTTTGCTGTAATATTTCACTGTGTTTTCATATTAATAAAAATGTTTTAAAATATCCACAGCAGAGATATCAAATGCAGAAAATTTCACATTGATACAGAATTTCTTTTTATAATCTATAATCCATATTAAAATTTTGTTGAATGCCTCAATAGTATCCCTGAGAGAGAATCTCCCATCACATTCACCCTCAGCATAGGAGTCAGTCCTGGATTATGCATTGTGTTCAGTGGTCAAACTTAGTTTTTATTTGTTTATTTATTTGCACCAAACACATTTGCATTTATTTTCTTTTTTAAAAAAGCAAATGACGGCTGGGCGCAGTGGCTCACGCCTGTAATCCCAGCACTTTGGGAGGCCGAGGTAGGCGGATCACGAGGTCAGGAGATCAAGACCATCCTGGCTAACACAGTGAAACCCCGTCTCTACTAAAAATACAAAAAATTAGCCGGGCGAGGTGGCGGGTGCCTGCAGTCCCAGCTACTAGGGAGGCTGAGGCAGGAGAATGGCGTGAACCCAGGGGACGGAGCCTGCAGTGAGCCTAGATCGCGCCACTGCACTCCAGCCTGGGCGACAGCGAGACTCCATCTCAGGAAAAAAAAAAAAAGCAAATGACAAAGACCCACTTTACCTGCTTTGCTTTTTTAAACCTAAGCTTAACATCACATATTTAAACAATTGTCAAGACTTACTGAGTTGACAGGATTCAGGCTCAGCTAGAAAACACCCTTAATTTATATTAAACCAGAAATGTATTACCATTAATGCATTAATATCTTTTACTACTACATACTGAAAAACAAAATGAATTTAGTTCTGTAGAAGATTCGCCCTGGCAATGGTGACCTCACAGCAGGCCAACACTATGTGGCTCACATTTCAGACACAATGGAAAAGCAGATCCATGCTGGTGTTAGTGCACAGTCTTGTCCTACACTAAAGAGTCAAGGCTCACCTTGGAGTACATTTAATAAAAGGGCAAAAAGCATACAGACATTTACAATAATATATATATTTTTGAGACAGAGTCTTGCCCTGTCACCTAGGCTGGAGTGCAATGGTGTGATCTTGGCTCACTGCAACCTCCACCTCCCGGGTTCAAGCAATTCTTCTGCCTCAGCCTCCCAAGTAGCCGGTATTATAGGTGCCTGCCACCACACCTGGCTACTTTTCTGTATTTTTAGTAGAGATGGAGTTTCACCATGTTGGCCAGGCTGGTTTTGAACTCCTGACCTCACTTGATCCACCCGCCTCAGCCTCCCGAAGTGCTGGGATTACAGGTGTAAGCCACTGCACCTGGCCTACAATAATTTTGAAGACAAAAAGAAAAAATGGTCCTATTATGGGTCCCAACAATAAACTCAAAAGCCTATGACAAATAGAGGTTCCGATTAGCTGTTTATAAATACTTTAGGTACTATTATTCTGAAAGGCAAGTTCCCTTGAAATCTACAAAAAAAAAGTTTCTGTTAATCCTCAGATGGTTCTTGTTATAGTTTAACATTTCTGTTAAGTGGGCGCCTTGAATTACTTGTTATCCAAGTGCAGCAGCTGCTCCTTAACACTTATTGTTAAAGACATTAACTGGCTGTCTTCTTCAACTTCTACTCTTTCTTGACCATTCTTGATAATTCTCTTTATCGTGATTTTTCTGCCATTAACCTTTTTAGTAGAAGTGTTATCGATTTGAAGTTGCCCATCCCACTACCAACATATGATGTGGAAGAAAATGAAGTGAGGCCCCCGTGACCGAGTGACCCAAATGAAGTATTAATAAATCCTATATCAAAATAAGAAAATCCACTTCTAAAAGATGGAAATCCACTGAATGTGGAGAAAAACTACCCCGACCCTTGGTTTCTGCTTCCACGGGGACCCCTTTGATTCTGAAACAAGTCCTCAAAAGAGTTCTTCAAAGAAGTCAAATGAAAATGGGTCCCTTCCACCAAAAAATTCCCTGAAGACATCATCTGGGTTACAGAATGTGAAGCCAAACTCAAAAGGACTGTCAAAATGACTTCCACCTCCTCCTCCACCATTTAATCCTTCTTTGCCATATTTGTCATAGATGTCCCGTTTTTTAGCATCTGACAACACCTCACACACCTCAGCTACTTGTTTGAATTTTCTCTCTGCTTTTTATTCTCAGGATTTTCATCTGGGTGCCACTTCAGTGCCAGTTTCTGGTGTGCCTTTTTAATATCCTCGGGTGAGGCCTCTCTCCACACTCCTAGAATTTCATAGTAATCCACCATGATTTTGTTTGTTTGTTTGAGACAGAGTCTCGTTCTGTCACCCAGGCTGGAGTGCAGTAGCACCATCTTGGCTCGCTGCAACCTCGCCTCTGGGGTTCAAGACATTCTCCTGTCTCAGCCTCCTGAGTAGCTGGGATTACAGACTTGTGTCACTATGCCCAGCTAATTTTTATATTTTTGGTAGAGACGGGGTTTCAGCACGTTGGCCAGGCTGGTCTTGAACTCCTGACCTCAGGTGTTCCACTTGGCTCGACCTCCCAAAATGCTGGGATTATAGGCATGAGCCGCTGTGCCCAGCCTAACCCATCATGCTTTAAGAGATTGCTGGAACAGGATGGAGGCGACTGACGGCAGGCGGGAGGCAGGGGCAGTGGCCGGGATCTCCTCCTGGCTCTGGCACTGCTGCGCTGGTGGTGGTGACTACTTGTGCTTTCCTCTCAAGCCTAGTTTTTTTTTTTTTTAATTTTTTTTTTATTTTTTATTTTTTAAATTTTTTAAATTTTACTTTAAGTTCTGGCATACATGTGTAGAACGTGCAAGTTTGTTACATAGGTATACATGTGCCATGGTGGTTTGCAGCACCTATCAACCTATGCTCTCCCTCCCCTTGCCCCTGACCCCCTGACAGGCCTCGGTGTGTGGTGTTCCCATTCCTGTGTCCATGTGTTCTCATTGTTCAACTCCCACTTATGAGTGAGAACACGCAGTGTTTGGTTTTCTGTTCCTGCATTAGCTTGCTGAGAATGATGGCTTCCAGCTTCATCCATGTCCCTGCAAAGGACATTAGCTCATTCTTTTTAATGGCTGCATGGTATTGCATGGTGTATATGTGCCACATTTTCTTTATCCGGTCTATTATTGATGGGTATTTGTGTTGGTTCCAAGTCTTTGCTATTGTAAATAGGGTTGCAATAAACATACATGTGCATGTGTCTTTATAGTAGAATGATTTATAATCCTTTAGGTATATACCCAGTAATCGGATTGCTGGGTCAAATGGTATTTCTGGTTCTAGATCCTTGAGGAATTGCTACACTGTCTTCCACAATTGTTGAACTAGTTTACACTCCCACCAACAGTGTAAAAGCATTCCTATTTCTCCACTGCCTCACCAGCATCTCTTGTTTCCTGACTTTTTAATGATCACCATTCTAACTGGCATGAGATGGTATCTCATTGTGGTTTTGATTTGCATTTCTCTAATGACCAGTGATGATAAGCTTCTTTTCATATGTTTGTTGGCTGCATAAATGTCTTCTTTTGAGAAGTGTCTGTTGATATCCTTCACCCACTTTTTGATGGGGTTGTTTTTTTCTTGTAAATTTGTTGAAGTTCCTTGTAGATTCTGGATATTAGATCTTTGTCAGACGGTTAGCTTGCAAAAATTTTCTCCCATTCTGTAGGTTGCCTGTTCACTCTGATGATAGTGTCTTTTGCTATGCAGAAGCTCTTTAGTTTGATTAGATTCCATTTGTCAATGTGGGCTTTTGTCGCCATTGCTTTTGGTGTTTTCGTCATGAAGTCTTTGCACAGGCCTATGTCCTGAATGATATTGCCTAGGTTTTCTTCTAGGGTTTTTATGCTTTTGAGTTTTACATTTAAGTCTTTAATCCATCTTGAGTTAATTTTTGTATAAGGTGTAAGGAAGGGATCCAGTTTCAGTTTTCTGCATATGGCTAGCCAGTCTTCCCAGCATCATTTATTAAACAGGGAGTCCTTTCCCCATTGCTCCTTTCCCCATTGCTTTTTTTGTCAGGTTTGTCAAAGATCAGATGATTGTAGATGTGTGGTGTTATTTCTGAGGTCTCTGTTCTGTTCCGTTGGTCTATGTATCTGTTTTGGTACCAGTACCATGCTGTTTTGGTTACTGTAGCCTTGTAGTATAGTTTGAAGTCAGGTAGCGTGATGGCTCCAGCTTTGTTCTTTTTGCTTATGATTGTCTTGGCTATTCAGGCTCTTTTTTGGTTCCATATGAAATTTAAAGTAGTTTTTTCCAATTCTGTGAAGAAAGTCACTGGTAGCTTGATGGGAATAGCATTGAATCTATAAATTACTTTGGGCAGTATGGCCATTTTCACGATATTGATTCTTCCTATCAATGAGCATGGAATGTTTTTCCATTTGTTTGTGTCCTCTCTGATTTCCCTGAGCAGTGGTTTGTAGTTCTTGAGGAGGTCCTTCATGTCCCTTGTAAATCGTATTCCCACGTATTTTATTGTCTTTGTAGCAATTGTGAATGGGAGTTCACTCATGATTTGGCTCTCTGCTTGTCTATCATTGGTGTATAGGAATGCTTGTGATTTTTGCACATTGATTTTGTATCCTCAGAGTTTGCTGAAGTTGCTTATCAGTGTAAAGAATTTTTGGGCTGAGATGATGGGGTTTTCTAAATATACAATCATGTCGTCTGCAATCAGAGACAAGTTGACTTCCTTTCTTCCTATTTGAATACCCTTTATTTCTTTCTCTTGCCTGATTGCCCTGGCCAGAACTTCCAATACTATGTTTAATAGGAGTGGAGAGAGAGGGCATCCTTGTCTTGTGCCGGTTTAAAGGGAATGATTCCAGCTTTTGCCCACTCATTATGATATTGGCTATGGGTTTGTCATAAATAGCTCTTATCATCTTCTCAAGCCTAGTTTTTAAACAATTTATTACTGCTGAATCTCAGCATGTTTCACAGATATGTCTTTCATAATTCCTCTATTACACACACCCGCTGACCTTAATATACTCTTGAGTACAATTGCTATATTCTTGGTATTGTACACGTTATTTCTTACTACCAAGAAGAAGCCTCTAGTCTTTCATGACAATTTAAAGACACAAGCTAAATACCAGTCCCCATCCCTTGAGGAATTCATAGTACAGCACAGACACATGGGGTGCGAGCGAGGTGAATACATTCAAAACCAGCTCCACCACTTATGACCTAAGTGGTGCTGGGCAAGAAAAAGCATCTCTCTGACTCAGTTTCCTCAGTGTAAAATGGTGATAATAATATCTACCTCACAGCTTGTTTGGAAGATTAAGTTAAATAATGTGTGGGAAGAGCCCAATATGAATTCATTGCAGATACATTTTCTTTGTGCACTGAGATTTAGTTTCTGTCAAGTTTGTGTGTTCGTGGTTATGACACCCCTAAAGGCTATTCACAGCAGGAGATGTGGGAGCTGACACTTAAGTCATTTCTTCCCCAGTTTATGACAAGGTTACCTGGTTTCCACTCAAACACAGATAAAGGTGCTTTCTCTTTTACATGCTACACCACATCAAACTTAGTATCGTGCAAAAGAGTTTTGCTTACACAGTCATAGAAAAGGAAATTTGCATCAGTTTGCTTGAACATTTTGGTTAGCCATACTTTACTCACATTCTGAAACTCAGTCATGTAATTCAGAGGGGTTTTTCTCTTCTTAGATGATTTGCAGTATATTTATCCAGGAATAATTGCTGAGATGCAAAGATGACAATTATAAGCATTTATACAAGTAAAAGTATTAGAATTTTAGTTCTATTTTAGACTTCCAAATAGGATGCACAATGAGTTGATAAGGCAATCCGGTGGTTCTTCACAGGTTTCTAATATTTAGGGTGTTTTCTTCAAGCTGAATTGCATTTATTGCCAATTCTTCCATCTGCCATTGCAAAGAGGGTGATGTAGGGAGGAATTGTCAGGATAGCAAGAGGTTTAACTCCAGTAACAATTTATTGAAAATAACATCAAATATTTATTTCCACTGTAGTACCTACCCAATTTCAGATAATTTAGCGTACAAGATAAAACAAACACCATTAGTTGTTGCTAATCATTATTAAAAGAAAATAATGTGAGTTCTAAGAGCCTAAAAATACAAAGCTTTTTTTCTTTTCTTTTTCTTTTTTCTTTTTTTAATTTTGGAGAGTTGTATTAGCTAGGGCTCTCAATTGAAAATAGTAGAAGCCCAACTCTAAGTAGCTAAGGAAGAAAGAAGGCTGTATTATAAAGTTTCTCATGGGTCATGAGTCATGAATATGATTGAACATTATTAACAATTAGAGCAAGGGATTCTAATGCATTCAGGGTTCTCATTTCATCTCTCCTCTGTCCTTTTCTGTGGATCTGTTTATTATTCTTCTTATTCTGCGTCTATGGGCCATCTTCCTTTCATTCTGGCCACATGGAGAAAAACAAGACTGACAGCTTCTGAACTTGCCACCTAACACTCTGTCACTGGAAGGAGTCTGTCTCTTTCGCAGGCCTAATTGCACAATTCCTAGGGAAAGCCTTTGATTGGCCCAGCTTGGATCAGGTGCATACTTCACACCAATCAACTGCTGCTAGCTAATCAGAGTGATACTGAAGCAACATGTGGATAGGAGGAAAAGAGCAGGTCCTAGAAGAGGAAAACTGGCAAGACAATAGATGACCGCTGTTACGGACAGAATTGTGTCCCCCAAAATCCATATGTTGAAGCCTTAAGTCCCAATGTGACTGTATTTGGTGATAGGGCCTTAAGGGAAGTAACTAAGATTAAGTGAGGTTATAAGGACGGGGACCTAATTCGATAGGATCAATGTCCTTATACAAAGAGAATGAGACAGCAGAAATATTTCTCTCTCCTTCTCTCTGCATGAGCCTAAGGGAAGGCTATATGACATGGTAAAGAAGATGGTCATCCACAAGCCAGAAAGAGAGGTCTCACCAGACACCAACCCTGCCAGCACCTTAATCTTAAATTCTTAGCCTCCAAAACTGTGAGAAAATAAATTTCTATTGTTTAAGACAACCAGTCTGTGGTGTTTTGTTATGGCAGCCTGAGCAGACTACTACAACCACCATAGGCATGTACTCCATCCATTCTCTGAAAAAATAATTTCTGATTACGTATTACATCCATTAGGATCAATTCAAATACAAATAGCAGAATCTGCAAGAACAGTGATATTAGAACATTACTCTCAGGTAAAAGAAGTTAAGGAAAGTGATCCAAGGCAGCTCCTCAAAATCATCGGAGATGTGGGCTTTTCTGTCTTCTGCTCACCTTACTCAGCACACAACTTCTATCTTCCAGGTCACCTTATTGTCTCAGATAGGAGCTGGAGCTCTAGATGTCATGCTCGCTTCCCAGTCAGCAGGAAGGAGGAAGAGGGAGGAAAATATTCTCCATTTGTCTGTCCCCACTCTTTAATAAGACAGCTTGGAAATCCCTCTAACAGTTTCTGTGTATATCTCATTGGACAGAATTCAGTTACATGACCACACCTAGCTGCAAGGGAGGCTAGAAATGTATCTTTTCACTGAGAGAACTGCTATCATCAATGACATAGGGGTTCTGTTAGGAAGTAAGAATTTGAGAACGGAAGTTGAACGGACAATTAGCAGGCTCTGCCACAGTTACTATGAGCCAGACACTGTGGTAAATGCTGTATAAGTCCATTTTCACGCTGCTGGTAAAGACATACCCAAGACTGGGCAATTTGCAAAAAAAAGAGATTTAATGGACTTACAGTTCCATATGGCTGGGGAGGCCTCACAGTCATGGTGGAAGGCAAGGAGGGGCAAGTCACATCTTACATGGATGGGGGCCGGCAAAGAGAGAGAGCTCATGCAGGGAAAGTCCCATTTTTAAAACCATCAGATCTTGTGAGACTTATTATCATGAGAACCACATGGGAAAGACCTGCTCCATGATTCAATTACTTCCCACCAGCTTCCTCCCACAACACATGAGAATTCAAGATGAGATTTGGGTGGGGACACAGCCAAATCAATCAAATGCCAATTACAGCTTCATTCAGAAAATTAGCAGGCTAGATAAAAACAAAATTTAATAGCATTTAAAACAATAATAAATAAAATTACCCCCTGTGGATTATCTCTAGCTAACTATATCAAGTAAAATCATCTGTGATTTATAATTGATGTGACACATTATGCCAAACTTCCTACCGGCAGTTTATGATGATGATGATGATGGTGATTAAGATATTTGGCTGGGCATATTGGCTCATGCCTGTAATCCTAGCACTTTGGGAGGCCAAGGTGGGCAGATTATTTGAGCCCTGGAGTTCAAGGTCAGTCTGGACAACATGTTGAAACCCCGTCTCTACAAAAAATTAGCCAGGCCTGGTGGCATGCACCTGTAGTCCCAGCTGCTCGGGGGGTACTGAGGCAGGAGGATTACCCGAGCTTGGGAAGTGGAGGAAGTCAAGGCTGCAGTGAGCCAAGATCATGCCACTGCTCTCCAGCCTGGGCAGCAGAGTGAGACCCTATCTCAAAAAAAAAAGACATTTGATTAATATTCTCTAAGTTGATTGCACCTGTTTGCTCATTTTCTTTAACATGCTACACCCTTTGTCTGCCCCATTATCAGCCAGAGAGCTATCTAATTAGTGTGGTGGCTAAAAATATCTCCCCCCAGAGAAAGGAAGGATAGTGTTTGCCCACTGAGGTGTTATTAACTCTGCCACATGAATCTATCTGAAGACAGGGTTTCAGTCAACAGCAAAGAAGATGGTTGAAAATGACTGTCATTTCAATGACTCCAATAACTATTGGAGTGGTCCTAGAAAATAAAACAAAGCTGCATAAATGAAAATAAAAACACATAATTTTACATTATGTCGTTGCTTTCTTGTCAATTATAGAGTGGCAGTTTAGAGAAAAACAACAATGGTGATGATAAAATAATGGAGTATTGAGGAAGAGCCTCAGAAAACACATTGAGGTCTGAAAGCTCTTTGCCTTCGTGAAATACTCTTTTCTGTCTTGTGAGAAGTAGATGGAATGACTAGATTGGGCCATTATCTATTGTTCATTCATTCAGTCAACAAATATTTATTGAACACCTACTATGTGCCAGGCACTGTTCTAAGCATTAAAGGTTTATAGGGAACAGAGTAGACACAATTTCTGTCCTTCTGGATCTTACACTGTAGTGACTGACAGACAATGAACAAGATTAATGAGTAGGATGTGTAGTATGTTCAATTTTAGATGGTGGTGAGTGTTGTGAAGAAAGGCAAAGCAGAGGAGACTAGAATGCATGGGGGTGGAGGTTTGTCATTTACATGGAATGGCTGGGGAGGGCTGAATAGGAGGCAACAGGAATTCCGAGAGGTAGCGTGCTAGTGCACGATTCAGAAGGGAACAGCAGGAGCAAAGACCCTGGGGTGCTTACAAGGTTCCCAGTATCTGGAGCTGAGTGATTACAATGGAGGATCCTGGGACAGAAGAGGTAAACCAGGTGGGGCCTCCTAGGTCATTATAGTGACTCAGACTCCTGTCGTGTGTGGGATGGAAAGCCACTGACAGATTTGGAGCAGACAAGTATGGTTGTAGCAGGATCATCTGGCTATTAAGACAGACCTTTGGGAGGCTTTTGTAATAACTCAGGCAAGAGATGACTGTAGTTTGAGCTAGGCGGTTGAGTTGAGGTGGTAAGAAATGATTCAATTTCTGAATATATTTTGAAGGTAGGATGGATAGGGTTTCCTGATGGAGTAGATGTGAGGAATGAAAGAAAAAAGTCAAGGATGGCACCAAGATTTTTGGGCAACTAGAAAAATGGCAACACTATTTACTGAGATGGGACATCTGTGAGAAGAAAAAGCTTGGGTCTTAAATACCTTGATGATAGACAAATGAAGATGCTAGTAGACAGTTGAATCTGGAGTTGAGTCTTGAGTTCAAAATAGATGTTGGGTTAGCCTGTTCTTATAACATGTAGATCGTGTTTAAAGCCACAAGAATGGACAAGATCACCAAGGGAGAAACCAAGGCCTTCACTGTGGGGCCTTCAACGTTTAGGTGGCAAAGAGACTAGGAGAAACCAGAGAAGTAGACTGAGAATGAGTGGTCAGAGTAAGGGGTCAGGGGTGTGTGGTGTTCTTGGAGGAAGAAAGTGTTTCAAGGAGGAGAGAGTCAACTCAAATTTTCTCAAGCAAGGTGCACCAAGATCAGTATCCCTGTCCCAGAAAGTAGGACAAGGAGAGAACATGAAACTCCAGTGATTGTCCAACATCACATACTTGGCATATAGTAAATTTGAAATTCAAAAGCCCAGATTGTGGCTAGGCATGGTGGCTGACACCTATAATCCCAGCACTTTGGGAGATCAAGGAAGGAGGATTGCTTGAAGCTAGGAGGTCAAGACCAGCCTGGGCAACATAGCGAGATAACATCTCTACAAAAAACAAAAAAATTAGCCAGGCATGTTTTGTGCACCTACAGTCGTAGTTATTCAGGAGGCTGAGGCAAGAACATCACTTGAGCCCTAGAGTTCGAGGATGCAGTGAGCCATGATTGCACCACTGCACTCCAGCCTGGGTGACAGAGCAAGACCCTGCCTCTAAAACAAAACAAAACAAAACAACAACAACAAAAAAACCCAAAATCCCCTCTGATTGTTTGACCTTAATCCAAGCTCTTAAAAGGAAAAAATAAAGTTTAGTCTACCTATTTGTAATATCAGTTACATTTGTAGTTCCACATGTTTTTCTGATTTTTTTCTAACTGAAGATTTCTACTTCTTAGTAAAACAAAAGCAACAAAATGGAAAAGACAATGTAAGAGTTTTAATAAGTGCCTCAAAAATTATCATTTCATTAAAGCGATGAAGATGGGTTGAATCTATTAATATCATTTATTGTGTTTGCAAAGTGCTTCTGTTTTTTTGTTCTTTGTTTTTCTTACATTAGAATTGCTTTTCTTCATTGCTCTGGGCTTCAGCAGCCTCCCTCCTGTTCTTCAAAGAGTTCTGCATGGGCTGCCTCTATTCAATCAAATGGAATCTCCAAAGTAACACATTGAATGGGATGTGCAACGAATACTAAAAAAAGAATGAATCTGCAAATACTTAGCAGCTGGCAGTTTCTTAAAATCCTAATCTCTTCATTTGGTGAAACAGAAGTGATTTCCAATTTCAGCAACTAAGATAAAATAAATCTTCTATATTGAACCGCAAAATAAAATAAATGCTAAACTTTGTTTAAATGTAGATAAGACTGGGTGCAGTGGCTCATGCCTGTAATCTCAGCACTTTGGGAGGCTGAGGTAGGAGGATCTCTTGAGTCTAAGAGTTTGAGACCGACCTGGGCAACATGGAGAAACCCCATCCCTACAAAAAAATATATTTTAAAAATCTAGATAAGAAGAGATTTGCAATAAGTATCACAGCAACCGTTATCAAATGAATATCAAATTTTGCATGTTTACTATGAGATCCTGAACACTAAAATGAAAGATCAGGAGTATGACAGGAATTTAGGGTTGTGCTATTTAATAGTTGGACAAAAACACTTCTGCACTACCTAAGAGTGCATGCTTTTAGAGTTTTCTAGTCCTGTTTCCTCGCCTCTTTTTCACTCCACTTAGTCCACTGACATTTTCTGCCTCTCCTCTCAGGTACCTAGTATTCCTATTCTTACTGTATCAAAATTCCTCCAGTGCCTACTTCATGCTAAGCACTCTGCCAGTGCTTTCTTCTTCTTCTTTTTTTTTCTTGACACAGGATCTTGCTCTGTTGCACAGGCTGAAGTGCAGTGGCCCATCTCAGCTCACTGCAACCTCTGCCTCCCAGGCTGAAGCAGTCCTCCCACCTCAGCCTCCTGAGTAGCTGGGACTATAGGCACACACCACCACACCTGGCTAATTTTTTGTAGAGATTGGGTTTTGCCATGTTGCCCAGGCTGGTCTCAATGTACTGAGCTCAAGTGATCCACTGGCCTTGGCCTCCCACAGTGCTGGGATTACAGGCATGAGCCACTCTGACTAGCCTGCCAGTGTTTCCAAATGTTATTTAATTTAATGTTCTCAACGAATGGCCAGAGGAAGATATTAATAGGATCTTTTTTAAGGAAAAAGAAACTGAATCCTCCTGGTTAAGGGTTTGCTGGAAACCACATAGCCAGGGTCTGAGAAAGGTGGATTCTTTTTATTTATTTATTTTTGAGACAGAGTTTTGCTCTGTCGCCCAGGCTGGGGTGCAATGGTGCGATCTCGGCTCACTGCAACCTCCGCCTCGCCGGTTCAAATGATTCTCCTGCCTCATCCTCCCTAGTAGCTGGGATTACAGGCGTGTGCCACCATGCCCAACTAATTTTTTGTATTTTTAGTAGAGACAGGGTTTCACCATGTTGGCCAGACTACTCTCAAACTCCTCACCTCAGGTGATCTGCCCGCCTCAGCCCCGCAAAGTACTGGGATTACAGGTGTGAGCTACCGCATCCAGCCAGAAAGGTAGATTCTAATCTGATCTGTGTCTTCTAATGCCCACTGTTCTCCCATTGCTTAATATCACCGTATGTTAGGCTGTTCTTGCATTGCTATAAAGAAATATCTAACCATCCTTTTCTTGGGGTTGCACTACTGTCTAATGAGTGCATAATGAGGGCAGTATTGCTAACGCCTATACAATGCACCTGCATCAACTAGAACTTTGCTTTACCTTGGTACAATTTTTGGAAAAATGAAAAACCTCTTTTCCATGAAATTGAAAAAAAATGTTTTTGAAAAGGAAGAAAAAAAAGAAATACCTGAGGCTGGGTAATTTATAAAGAAAGGAGGTTTAATTGGCTCACAGTTCTGCAGGCTATACATGAAGCATGGCACTGGTAGCTGCTTTGCTTCTGGTGAAGCTTTGGGCTGCTTACAATCATGGTGGACGGTGAAGCAGGAGCAGGCATCTCACACAGGGAGAGCAGAAGCAAGAGAGAGAGAAGGGAAAGGTGCTACACACTTTTAAACAACCAGCTCTCTTGAGAACTCACTTACTACAAAAGAGATGGTGCTAAGTCATTCCTGAGAGATCTGCCCCTGTGATCCAGTCACCTGTCACCAGGCCCAACCTCCATCCAATACTGAGGATTACAATTCAATATAAGATTAGATGGGGACAACGTTCAGACTATATTACACCACTACATGTTCTAGCGTAAATACATATTTTACTAATGTTAAATCAAATGTATAATAGATCATTGGTTTGGACTGAGCTCCTGTACTAGGCCCAACAGACAAAACCAAACTGGAGTCAGTCATGCTGAAGTTCCACACTAACCTGCTGAAACTAAGATCTTTATCTGACCTTTCAACAAATCAGGACACAGAGATAACAGCCAAATCCCTAAACAGGCCAGTTTTCGCCAGCGTGATAAGAAAGTTCCTTAAATCAACCTCCTCTGCTCAGCTCATCAGAACACTCACTCTGTTTTATAGTATGAGGTGTTGTCCGATTCTAGAATTGCAAATAAAAGACAATTAAAATTTTTTAAAAATATTTTTAAAATTCTTTATTCTTTTTAATAGTGATAGGGTCTCACTATATTGCCCAGGCTGGCCTTGAATTCCCAAGCTCAAGCAATCCTCCCACCTCAGCCTCCCAAAGTTTTGGGATTACAGGCATGAGCCAAAGCACCTGACCTCAATTAAGATCTTTTTTTTTTTTTGAGATGGAGTCTCGCTCTGTTGCCCAGGCTGGAGTGCAATGGTGCAATTTTGGCCTACTGCAACCTCCGCCTCCTAGGTTCAAGCAATTCTCTTGTCTCAGCCTCCTGAGTAGCTGGGATTACAGGCACGTGCCACCATTCCCAGCTAATTTTTGTATTTTTAGTAGAGAAGGGGTTTCAGCATGTTGGCCAGGCTGGTCTCGAACTCCTGACCTCAGGTGATCCACCTACCTTGGCCTCCCAAAGTGCTGGAATTACAGGCTTGAGCCACAGCACCCGGCCCCACATAAGATCTTTGAACTAAATTTGTTGTGATTTTGTCTTTTGACACTAAACATGATACCCAGTCTAGAAGTCATAAAGAAAAATGGCAACAGATTGACTGCATACAATTTTAAAACTTTTGTTTGGCAAAAGAAAACATGAAGATAAAAAAATAACACACAGGCTGGGAAAACGTATTTAGAACATATATAACAGAAAAGATTTATATTAAGCACTCCTGCAAATGACTAAGACTATAACCAACAACTCAGTAGAAAAATGACCAAATAATATAACAAAGGTGAACCAAAAAATAAGAAATACAAAAAAGCAATAAACAAATAAAATATTCAACCTCATCTTCTAAAAAAATGCAAACAAGATACCCATCAGGTTGGCAAACATTTTACGTACTAATAATATTGGCAAACTCTTTTTAGAGAAATAATTGGTAATACTTACCAAAATCTAATTTTTTTTTTTTGAGACAGGGTCTTGGTATGTTGTGAAGCTGGTGTTGGACTCCTGGGCTCAAGCAGTCCTCCTACTTCAGCTTCCCAAGTAGCTGGGATCACAGGAGCACACCACCACACCTGGCTGCAAAATGTAAATGATTTTATCTTCCTTTCTGTCTCTTGGCCCAGCAATTCCACATTTAGGTATCTGTCCCTGACAACCTAACACACAAAATTCTTATATGTGTATAAACATATGTACAAGAGGAATTATTAAAGGAATAGGTGTACTAGTGAAAAATTGGAAATAACCTAAATGTTCATTAATAGATTAGGTTAATATATTATTGAAATTTATTCTATAGATTATTAGGGCAATTGTTTAAAAGAATAAGGTAAAGCTACATATAATGACATGTGAAGATTTCTGAGACATATTGTTAGGTTAAAAATAGCATGTCATAGGACAATATCATATTTTATCATTTAAATAAAAATACTAGGAAAAACCTCATAATTTGCTGAGAGTCATTACCTTTGATGATGGGGTAGGAGTGGGAAAAAAAGGAGTGAATAGCAACTGTCACTTTTCACTCCATTTACACTGGTATTCCTTTGATTTTTAAAAAGTGTGTTTTCATGAATTACTGTGTAGTTCAGAAATAAAAATGCATTCCCTTTATTTTACTGTTGCATTCTTTCTCTCTTGCTCTCCTCTAATACAATTCTCAGACAGGATGTGAACAGAAAGAAAACAGTAACGTTTATTGACTTCCGTACCTCACACTTGTGTTCCAGTGTTTGGCTATTTATGATTTCCTTCCTGTGCTCTGACAGTCTCTAATTTTAGGTATGCCTTTATGGTTAGAAACAGCATTTTGTTTTGCTTGAATTTTTAAACCAACAATCTCAGGAAAGAGTTATGCTTCTGTAACACTGTTGTTTAGGGTTCCCCCCCAACCCCGTCTCATAAAAGTAGCCCAGAATACTTTTACTACCCCAGACAAAAATGGACCATTTAAGAATAAGTTCCTAATCTGTTGCTAAATGCTAATTATGAGAATTAGATAATAACTTGTATTCCTGAAAATAATCATAATGGGAATGCATCTTCAGGAAATTGATGGGAATTCTGGATCTAAAAGGTGCAGTGTGGTTATCTTAAGTTGAAAAGTGAAATTAGCAAAATGGCTAAGAAAGCCTTAACATAAAACATTAATTGGGGTTTAATGATGTAATCTTAGCAGTAGGAAAGACACATAATAACATTCTGTCAAACCTTTGTTAGACTTTCTTGTAATTTTGTCTTAACTACAGCATCGAAGAAAGTTGTGTACAATTCATTTTATGAATCAGAACCCAATTATGTTATATTGTTTTCATTCTTTTACCCAAGAGAGATTCATAAGTTGTTTTTAATCACTTCTTTTATTTTAAACCAATAGTGTCTGCCAAATGGGTAATATTTCCCATTAAAACATTATCTTCTATAATTGGTATAATTGCTTCATAAAGAGATAAACCACAGCATAATTCCAGAGTCTTTGGGTTTATAAAATCTAATTATGTTCACAACACAGTATTTTATTCTTAGTGATCTTAAAAAGAACATAAACTTGAACAAAGCCCAGACATTTATGGTAAAGTAATTGGGAGAAGCAAGTTAATTATTGTGAATAGAACTGCCTCTATTAGCAGCCTCTGAGAGAAAGCCCTTTTTGCAGTCATTAATCTCAGTATAGGAAGGTTTGGTTTTGGTCCCCTGAGCCTGCGTTGATAGCCTGTGGCTAAAGTGCAGAGTAAGGTTCAGTTCTAAAGCACAGGCTTCTCAAGGTTGGTCCAGCATCCCAGTCTCCTAAGTATAGAAGAGCACAGCTCCTAGCCTCAGCTTTTCATGTTGCTTCAGAGGCAAGGGCGGAGAAGAGAGAGGGAGAAGCAGAGGGCACAGGTATGACCTCCAAGGTCTGTTTCAACAGGAGATTTGCTTTCATCCGTTTTACATTTAAGGATTCTACAACAGATTGCTTTTTTTTTTTTTTGCGATGGAGTCTCGCTCTGTTGCCTAGGCTGGAGTGCAGTGGCACAATCTTGGCTCACTGCAACCTCCACCTCCTGGGTTAGGCACCGCCATGCCCAGATAAGTTTTGTATTTTTAGTCGAGATTGGGTTGCATCATGTTGGCCAGGCTGGTCTCAAACTCCAGACCTCAAGTGATCTGCCCACCTCAGCCTCCCAAAGTGTTGAAATTACAGGCGTGAGCCACTGTGCCTAGCCAACAGATTGCATTTGGAGAAAGAGAATCAATTGCTAAAATTAATTTTTGAAAACTTTTGCTCAATGCCATAGTCATGTGCTGTCTCTATGTCAAAGGGAGAATGACTAAATATAAGAATTAGCCACTCAAGGGAACACACTGGAAGGCCAAACAGCAACCCACATTACCTGAAAACCACACCTTAAAAACTCATAAGCCTCTCTTCAATACTATTTATAACTAAAAAGAAATCCTAATTTTAGTCTGGGTGCAGTGGTTCATGCCTATAATTCCCAGTACTTTGAGAGGCCAAGGTGGAAGGATTGCTTGAGCCCAGGAGTTTGAGTCCAGGCCTGGGCAAAATGATGAGACTCTGTCTCTACAAAAAATTTAAAATATAGCTGGGTATGGTGATGTGCACTTGCTACTCAGGAGGCTGGGATAGGGGAATTGCTTGGGCCTGGGAGGTTGAGGCTGTGGTGAGCTGTGATTGTGCACCAGCCTGGGTGACCTGTTAAAAAAAAAAAAAAAAAAAAGGAAAGAAATTCCAATTAAACACACACACGCACACACACGTACACACCTGCACACGTACCAAGCAAACATCCCTAAACTGTACTTGACTTGCACCTCCTCCTTGGTTTTTATGTAAGAAAAGGGAGGGAGAGGGAGAGAAAGATACTAGAGCAGGAGGAAACGATATTCCTTAGTCAGCATTAGTGTTGTCCAGAACTATGACACTCCATTTTGCTTCAGCATTCCTAAGTATCAACCTGCCTTTCTTTGTATTTCTCTTCCCTTCCTCCCTCTGATTGATACCTTGAGAGGCTTTTTCTCTCTTCTTCCTTCCCCTTTACCCATACCAAGAAGCAGGACATGCCCCTTTAGGAATCAGCGACTTAAAAGATTGTGAGACTCAGAGAAAGAAAGTTAATAATAGACACAAGAGCTAGATAGAAAGATGAATAGGTATGCACTTGTCCTCAGAATCTGCAGAAAATTCTGGCTTAAGAAGGTTAAGATGGGAGGTGGGGAGTGGTCAGGGTGGAAGATAATCAGTGGCAAGTTGTACGGGAGGGAAAGAAGTAAAGACATTAGCCACTCAAGGCTTTCTCTATAGAAGGATTTGTCAGTGGCAAGCTGGCTCTTACCTGAGACTCAGATGAACATCAGTATCACTTCCTGGGAGTGGTCTTTCCTGACCACCCAGTGTAAAGTGGCCACCGATTTGCTATCCACCACATTATCCCATTTTACCTCTCTAGACAGCACTTATTATCTGACATTTTCCTTTATTTTTTTCTGCCTCTCTCCACCCCCTACCTCTGGCCTCTTCCCCTACTAAAATGTAAGCTCCTTGGGGGCAATGACTTGTCCTAATTTACTGTCTGTCTCTTCCCCCTAGGATATAAGCCCCAAGCCTGCAGGGATTGACTGGTTTTGTTAAATCCATATCCTTCAAATGGCCTTGCACATATAACAGTAAGGACATTCAGTAGTTCAATGAATCCTTCTTGAATACAAGAATTATAGAAAGAAACCCTTTCTCCCCCGCGAAGTTTGCATTGTGATAAAGCAGCTTGAATTTTTCCCCTGAGTTGGGACAAAGGCAGGTACATTGCTCCCATTGCAGGTATAGCCTCAATTTCTAGTCCATTGGGACCAACAAGGGCTAATGGCAAAGACAGAATCAGAAGTGTCTCCTTTGTGCTGAATAGTGATGTGGGTTAAGACACCACAGAATGAGAAAGCAGCTTCCTTCCCACTCTAGGGGGCGAAAAGGAGGCACTCGCTGCAGTGGAAACATTTGCAGAAGATCAAACAATGCTGTAATCCTTTAAGCTTGATAAAAGCTTTTTTCATGTGTGATAGATTACAATTATGGTGAAACGTACTATAAAAATATTCTTCACATGTTACCAGACGTCTTCATCAGGTTTGCAAACATCAAAGATTTATCTTAGTCTTTTGTTATTTCAATCTCAAATGCTACCTCCTTCTTGGCTACTTTATGATTCTCCTTTTGCAAAAGAATCAAGCAAAGGCATACGGCAATTTACAAGTCAAGGTATTTAAGATTAGCATTTCATTAGTGATTTAAAATATATTCCTTTCAGAATATGCAAAGTACAAAAAATATATACATATTTTAGGATAAACAGAATAGAGTTTATCTGGGGGATAACTTTTTTTTTTTTTTACACTATGTAAAAGTATCAGGGGATACTTTTTTTTACAGTATGAATAGTAATACCCTTTTGGAGCAAAATGGCCTTAGTAAATGATAAAAAGTAAAATAAAGAGGATTGTCAGTGCAAAAAAAAAAAAAAAGATAAATTTCTGATGAATTACTTACATGCTGGACATTAAGTAGTCTTGAGTGACCATATGATTTATTATCCAAATAAGGGATGCTTCTGAGAGTGAATGAGGGCAGTTATTGGTCATAATTAACAATAGGACAATGGACAGAAACCAGGGCAAACTGGGATATACAGTCAACCTCATTTCAAGGATACTTAATGACCATAAAATTGCTTTTAGATTTTTATCAAAAAAAAAAAAAGTAAAACAAAATAGCCTGCTCATTTGCTAAAGACATAGTAAGCAATGAGTCTTTTTAAAATTAACTGCTTGATTTTTCATAATAAAATTAAATGACTAAATATGAGTATAAATTGACAACTGTTGGAGGAGAAAAAGAAATTCAGTGTGTAATCTACCTATTTTAATGAATGAATGAACGAATATTTATTTATTTTTTAGAGACGGGGTCTTGCTCTGGCACATGATCATTGATCATAGCGCACTGCAGTGTCTAACTCTTGGGCTCAAGTGTTCCTTCCGCCTCAGCCTCCTGAGTAGCTAGGACTATAGGCATGAATTTACATGCCCTACTCTACCCTATTTTAAACTGTTCTGATCATTCAGAAAAGTTGTCCTTGCCCATAAATATTAATCACAATAGTCTGCTGGGTAACATTTCTCAGCTTAAAATATGTATTTCATTTTTAAAGATCAACCACTTTTCCATATTGACATCATTGGTAGATAGATTTAATCTCCTACTCCAGTCCTTATGGATTGTGGCCATAAGGAACACTGCTTGGGAGGCTTCTGAGGGCACTTGTACAGCTCAGTAGAAAGGCCTGTTCTGATTGGCTGGTGATATCTGCAGGAGACATGGGATATGGGGCAATGGTAGGTTCAGCAAGTATTTGCCATCAAAACAGGTACTGAACAGATACCTGTTTTAACAATAATTTTCTAACATATATCTGGTTTGTAAACAAAAAATTACGTCTTGCTGATCCTGCATCTGTTACCTCTCATAGGTTCTATTATAGTATAAATAATATCCCAACTATGCCACAGGAAAACAAGGCCATCACTCTTGACTTAAGTGAAGACAGCAACCCATGATTCCACACATTATTGTTTCACAGCGCTGTTAGTCCCAAATCACACTAAGATCAAATCCCTAATACCTGGAGAGTAGGGGAAAAAAATAATACAGCAAACGACTAACTTCTCTTCTGTTTCTATTCTTCACTTATTTTGTCATTTGGGGCTATATTTTTATCTACTCAAGAGAATTTTAAGTGATAAAATGAAAATTAAACTTGCCTCTCCCTTTGCAAGCAAGTATTAGTTATTCTTTTTTTTTTTTTTTTTTTTTTTTTCCAGACAGAGTTTTGCTCTTGTTGCCCAGGCTGGAGTGCAGTGGCACAATCTCAGCTCAGTGCAACCTCTGCCTTCCTGGTTCAAGTGATTCTCCTGCCTCAGCCTCCCAAGTAGCTGGGATTACAAGCACCTGCCACCATGGCCGGCTAATTTTTGTAATTTTAGTAGAGACAGGGTTTCAGCATATTGGCCAGGCTGGACTCGAACTCCTGACCTCAGGTGATCCACCTACCTCAGCCTACCAAAGTGCTGGGATTACAAGCATGAGCCACCACGCCTGGCCTAATGATTCTATTTTAAAGGAAAATTTTCAGCATTTATTTTACTACCAGGTATTTTGCATTATTTACCCTTTCTGTACACAATAGAGAGCTGTTTTGCATCTTTCAATGAGGGAAAATAAAGAGGAAATAGTTGACTCTATAAAAAATACATGAGGCGTCCACATAATGCTGTTTTTGTGCCTGTATGTGTGACCATGAAGCATGTTCCACCTTCGGGACCTTAATTCTCTAATTTTAAGAAATGAGGCAGAAGAATGGCTAAAATTAAAAAGGCATGGAGCTCCCGGGAATTCTTACATGGTGATGGTAGGAGCACAGAAATGTCACTACTCTGGAAACAAGATTGGTAGAACTGAAACATATGCTTATCATATGGCCCAGCAATCCCCTACCTAGGTATTTATCCAAGGGAAATGAAAACATGTGTCCATGTGAAGATTTGTATGTGAATACATTTTTTTCAAAAAGAGGCAGAATTCAATTTCTATTGCAGGGAAAACCCAAGTTCAGATTGCAAGGCAGCTTTCTCATATTGATTTTGACCACACAGCTCTACTTTTCCAAGAGTGAAATCCTATTGAAGTGGCTTTCCAAAATATTTTGTGGAAAATAAGTATTAATAGATGGCAACTCCTCATTCACGATCCCCAAACAGGAGACAAATTCATCAGGAAGCAGGGTCTGTTCTGGAATAGTTTCACTGGGTGAATCATTTTCCAAAAGCATGGTGGTTTCCTCCTCTACTGAGTTTTGTATGTCAGGAGAACTGCATTCTCCTTGATTTAATATGAGGCTTAATTCTCCAAGAAATATTGTGTTGCTTAGTGAATTCACACTTGAAACAGAAAAAGCAAAATTAGGATGCTTTTGTAACCTGGGATTATTTCCTGAGTCTAAGGAATCAACTGGTGGTTTAAGTGTTAAGGAAGTAATTTCATTATTATTGCTGAGATGGCTTCCCTCAGGCAGAAAATTTGAAATTTGGGGTTTATATCCAGTGTTGAGATCAGGAATATATACAACTGTAGTATTGTCGAATAGCGAGTTTTGCGGGTAGTCTCTTGTCTCCAGGGGTCCTGTATTCTCCTTCTTGTAGTCTGTAGGCTTGTGTTCTGGGATGAAGATTTCTTTTATCTCTGTAATCATGGGATCAACATATAGGACCTGCTCACTGGAATTATTATTCATAAGTTCACTATTTTCCTAGGAAAAAAAGACATCATTTTATTTTGCAAAAGACATTTAAAAGAACCAACTGGATAATTGAATGAGGATAGGAATTTTGCTTTCTTTCAACTTTCCTTTCTCCCTCCATTTTCTCATATTGTTTATCTTCCCATATGATTTCCTCCTTTTGTCTTTTGTTATCCTGCTTGCTTCCAAATCTTTATTAAATTTGCATGAGAAGACTGAAGAAAAGGAATAGTAAAAATAATCCACTTCTTAAGCACATTTCTTGGTTTAAAAGTTTTAAAGAGAAAAGTTGAGTCTTATATATTAACTTATTACTTATTACTTAATTTTAGGGCCTTTTAAAAGTTGGTCTTCTGAGGCAAGAATATTAATATTAATATTTCTTGTTACAAGAAAATACTTTGTTGCTTAAATAAAAAAAGGTTGGGGAGAATCCTATTTTGCTCACATACCGAGAATGAGTGTGTGACAAATGCTTGATGCCGAGGTTCTAAAGGTGGATAAGGCCTGTAATCCCAGCACTTTGAGGCCAAGGCAGGCAGATCACTTGAGATCAGGAGTTCAAGACCAGCCTGGCCAACATGGTGAAACCCTGTCTCTACTAAAAATACAAAAATCAGCCAGGCGTAGTAGCGCAAGCCTGTAATCCCAGCTACTCAGGAGGCTGAGACAGGAGAATTGCTTGAGCCCGGGAGGCGGAGGTTGCAGTGAGCTGAGATCATGCCACTGCACTCTAGCCTGGGTGACAGAGCAAGACTCTGTCTCAAAACAAAAAACAACAAATAAATAAATAAAGCTACTCACAATTCAGACATGTTTGTGATGATAAGGAGGGTGGGTGAAGGTTTTAGCCTGATGACTTTTCTGGGCAATAAATGGACTGGAGGCCTTCCAACAGATGGCTGGCCTTCCTGGGCAAACTGTCACCCAACACAATTATAATATTATAGCCCCCTGTTACGGACTAAACGTTTGTGTGCCCTCTCCCCAGCCCCCCTCACATTGAAGCCAATGTGATGTTATTTGAAAGTGGAGACTTTGGGTGGTAATTAGGTCATGAGGGCGGAGCCTTCATGAATGGGATTAGTGAAGAAGAGACAGGAAAGAGATGATCTCTTCCTCTGCCATGTGAGAAGGCAGCTGTCCACAAGACAGCCCTCACTAGCAAGTGAATTGACTGGCTCCTTGATCATGGACTTCCCAGCCTCCAGCACTGTGACAAATAAATGTTTGTTGTTTAAGCCACCCAAGCCGACTAAGCATTCCTTAGTCTCTCGGGCAGAAAACAAAACCTTATCTGAGGGAAGCCCTAAGGTTTGCCTCTAATTCCAGGAGCCCAGAATAGGAAAGGAGTTTAGCAAAGAAGGAGATCTTGAATAAACAGACATGAAGTGTCATTCCAATTTTCTTCAGCCCCAGCCTCCTTAGGGAGCTTGCCAGGTTTGGGTAAGAACAGCACATTGGGTATTGCTTCATCAAAAATCTTGACGTGAGGAGTGGCTGGAGTAAAGCTGGAATGGTGAGTGGATCAGATCACAGAAGTCTTGTGTTACAGAACTCAGACTCTATTCTGTTGACCAGTTGTTTTTGAACTTTTAAAAAGTATTTTATTTTTAGCCTAGAAACCCTTTGTTCAGATGACATGAGGTTGGGGAAAGAGTTAGCTAATAGGCTTACCAGAGCTTGAAACAGAGCCACTTCTATTTGTTTTACAAACACCTCATCTTCTTACCCAACATGCAGTTCTAACCCCCAGGGGTCCCCCTGACTTTGAATTCTCCCTGCTTCTCCTGAGCAGCTCCTCTCCTTTCAGTGTTTCCTTTCCACTCCCATCACATGTTTGGGCTCATTTCTATCATTGCACTTACATCACTGCATTGCAAGGCTTGGATGATGTGTTTGTCCCTTGGACTGGGTTTTGAGCCCCTTGACAGCCAATCCCGAGGGCCAGGGGTTATCAGGAACACACATAGCTTGTTCCTTCCCTCCTTTATAATCAGTAATGTCCCTGTACCCTCAGGGGCTTCCTGGTGTGTGGCCTTCTCTTTGCCAGAATGGAAACCTAGCCCACCCCTGTGACACTATTGTTCACAGTTCTCTCACATTGCTTTTCTCAAATTCCACTGGGTTTAAAGAGTAAAATGATGCCCTTCTTGGGCTCCACCTGGCTCTCCATCTCATGTGAAACAGAAGCCCTTTGAATCTTTGAGGCTCATTTCATTGAGCTTTTCTTCCCTACTCCCTTTGTTCCTGAAGACATCTACCATTGTTTGGTCACCAGGTGACTCGTGCACAAGGCCCACAATCTTCCACTTCACTTTTCTCTTTTGAACAGGTTTGTTTCTTTATTTCTTCTCTGTTTTCTTTCCCCCAACTCTATTGTCTCATCTCTTTTAAGTATGATTTGAAACAGGTACAGTTTTGTCTTTACACATGTCTATATAATTATGTTAATATGTGTGCACATTTATTTATTTGAATGGAAATTCTATTCTAATTATTAGACTGCACTCTTGGTCTCAATTGCCACTCAGTTTTTGTTGGATGATGTTAGGTTACCTGTAGCATTTTCACAACATTGCTGTTTTTCATATTAGGAATATCTTCATAAAGCCACTTTGGTATTAACAATAAGATCCTTCTTTTAATCCTAAAAAACAAAAATGACACGTTAGAAGAAGCAGGCAATCATATAGGAGATTAGGAAGTCAACTAGAATAAAATGTATATTAAAAATCAAATTTCCTAGGTCGGGCACAGTGGCTCATGCCTGTAATCCCAGCACTTTGGGAGGCTGAGGTGGGAGGATTGCTTGAGTCCAGGAGTTCGAGACCAGCCTGGGCAACATAGCAAGACCCTGTCTCTACAGAATATTAAAAAATTAGCTGGGTGTGGTGGTGCATGCCTGTGGTCCCAGCTACTTGGGAGGCTGAGGTGGAAAGATCGCTTGAGCCTGGGAGGTCAAGGCTGTAGTGAGCTGTGACCATGCCACTGCACTCACTCTGGGCAACAGAGTGAGACCCTGACTCAAAAAAAAAATTAATTAAAGAAATCAAACTTCCTGATGCCGAGGCTAAAGTTTTCATCTCTTACTTAATGAAAATTAAGTGGGAAATTGTGTCATTATCTTTTCAGATTTTCCTCTCATCTCTATTGCTCTGCTTCTTTTCAATGAGCAGAAACATTTCAAAACACTCACACTAGATTCAAGATAAGTGGGAGAACCACCCTAGCAGTGAAACCGTACACATATTAAATAGAGCAAACTCTCATAACCAGAAGATTCCCATGTGGGAAAGTTCAAAAAACTTAAGGGATATTTTGTAGAACTTTCCAAGGTGACCGTAACTACCGCATATTTAAAAAGAGAATGTTATATAATAAAGCCCTAAAATTTAGGCTGTTCTGAGTCTAGATTTTGTAATTATTTCAAATAGGGTTGTAATGATGGTGACAGCTCCAAACTTTCTTGATGCGGATGGAGAAGGAGGCTGGGGAACATGTCTTGCAGTTGTGTGGCATAGTGAGAACTGGTTTCTACCTAGACCATGTGCTTATTTTAAGGATCAGTGGGGTGGGGCTTTGGAAAGAAAAGGTAGAAGTCATAAACATCCCACTTTTTCCCCCAAGCTATCTATTAGCACTGCCATTGTGTTTAAAAACACTCTCTGCATTGACAGTACAAATTGGTTTGGGCAGAAAGGTTGTACCAAGAACTTAGAAGAGACTAAACTGATCTCAGACACCTTTTTACATATTAACAATGGATCCTGTTAGCAACGGATCAGACTTATTTGTTTAAATTGGTTCTCAAAGGACCTGTACTAAATAACAACCAAAATGGCTGAGTGAACTTTGCTAGCCCAATTTGACCTTGGACTTTAGGGTAAATATTATTTCTTTACTCATCTTTATACAATGTTTTATGATTCCATTTTTTTTGTTGTTGTTTTGTTTACTAATTCACACTCTCTTCTGTATTTAAAATTAGACCAAATTAGTAAATTCAGGCTATTGGAGTAAAGTTTTTATACAGTACACTGATACAGTGAGAATATATATATATATATGTATATATATTTACCCACTTTTGGTTTTATTATATTTAAAATGTTTTGGGCCGGGCATGTTGGCTCACACCTGTAATCCCAACACTTTGGGAGGCAAAGACAGGCAGATCACTTGAGGCCAAGAGCTCAAGAGCAGCCTGGCCAACATGGTGAAATCCCGTCTCCACCAAAAATATAAAAATTAGTTGGAAATGGTGGTGTGTGCCTGTATTCCTAGCTACTTGGGAGGCTGAGGCATGAGAATCACTTGAACCCAGGAGATGGAGGTTGCAGTGAGCCGAGATTGCACCACTGCACTCCAGTATGGATGATAGAGCGAGACTCTGTCTCAAAAAATAATAATAAATAAATAAATAAATAAAATATTTTGCTTTCTGTTGCTCACTTCTGTTTCAGAACTAAGGCTTTTATAGATAATGAATAGTTGTATTAAATAAAAGTATCTGTTCAAATGTAAAATAAATATATTGGAATTATGTCTTGTTTTATCTTTTTAAAAAGAGTACTTATTTAAATAATTAAATGAGCAAAGAATTGCCCTAATTCCTTGTTATGAACTGAAAATTAGTTTTTAGGCTATTCTTAGTTATGAACTTAGTGTTACTTAAACTTTTACACTAGGGCATGTTTAAATAATAACACAAATATTGATTTTTTTATGGGGTATTAATTTGAACATTAAAATATTTCAAGGGACTTCATAATCAAGTATATTTTAAAACAGCCTCAAATAAAATTCCGTATTAGTTTGCCTTCCTTACAAGGGTATTAGGAATATGTTTATTAATGTGTAATTTAAATTTTGAAATATTAAGTTCTGAGCAAAAAACCTATGTAGATAAGAAATCATTAGTAGACTTTATAATAGCTCATTTAAAATCTTTCTACTGCACTTGATTATAAATGTAAACGAAAGAAAGATTATTTCATGAAGCAAATGATGGCAAGAAGGAGAAACTCAGTGCCAATTCGGCAAAGAACATTCAAGTCAAAATTTGTGAGCAACTGGACACACTGGGGAACTGCCACACCAAACAACTCTAATCTATCGAGCAGCTTAGAAATACTCAATGCATCAGTAAAATTTAGAAATCCAAGGGTCTTGCTTTTCTCAAAGTCTCATTTTAAATAACTAACCATAGATCTTTACTAATACCATCACAGGAGGGAAAAAACTGAAGGGGGCCAAGAGTAAGGGACTTTGGGGCTGAATGCTAAAACACTAAAACAATTGGTAAGGAATTGACAAATTTAAAAATTGTCACACTTCCCTTCACACTGATTCAAGCTGATTTGTTTGGGTGGAATTCAAGTGTTAAAGCAAACTAAATATGGCCTGAGAAGGACTTCATACCTCTATATTTGAATCCCTGTGGATGAACTGTAACCTAACTTAACAGGCAGACAAGAGTGAAAACCTGACTTAGGAGTATGTGCCTGTAACAGTAACTGAGTCTTGGCCAATCCCAGTGGACCATACTTCAACCACTCATAGACTGCTAAATGTTCAAACTGTGTTCAAATAAGACAAATGCCAACCTGTAACCAACCAGCTGTTTCTGTACATCACTGCCAATTTCTGTATGTCACTTCTCTCTTTTTTTTTTTTTTTGTCTATAAATTTGTTCTGACCACAAGGCATCCCTAGAGTTTCTCTGAATCTGCTGTGATTCTGCTGCCAAATTCCCAAATTGTTCATTGCTCAATTAAACTCCTTTAAATTGGCTGAAGTTTTTCTTTTACTAGATGGTGTCAGAAGCGGGATATGAATTAGACCTTCTAACGACCCCCAGGAGCACTGAGTGAACAAGCAAGGAACCTGTTGGACCTACTTGTGTCCTTTGATCTCTCAGAGTGGCTGGGGATCATGGCAAGTTCTCTTTTGGATTTCAGAGCTCCACAGATTTGTGTTTTGAACTCTCCAAGTTTCTTTGAGCAAATTCCTGTTCCAAACTGGGTTCAGAAGTCACAACAGAAACTGGACTGGGTCCAGGATTGGATTTGATCAGTAATTAACAGGCTAGGATCCAATTAGAGGCCTCTTAGATTTGACTAGGTCAGAAAGAAACTGGTAGTAAATGGTAGTATTGCAGGGGTTGTAAAATTTGGCATTTGGAAATTCACAGGGATTTTTGGTTTTCTACACCTTTGTTTCATTTTTCTTGCACACTTAGGTAGGAAAAATCATTGGCTAAGTTCATCAAGGGAACCTGAAAGCAAAGCCAATATTTTAGGTAAAAATGAGATCCTTAATTTCTGAAAAGCAGAGTTCCTTCCAGTTTATACATTAGGCTTGGGAGGCAGCAAAGTCTTACAGAAATAGCAAAATTTTACTAAAGATAACTTACAATGGAACATTCCAAATGAACAACAACACACTGAAGTGCATTAAAAAAAAACTGGATGAGGTCTCCATCTTGTTTTACATTCTTGGGAGCTTGACTTTGTAACCACGTGGTGGTACTTTTTCTTGGTCTCTGCCTTCAAGGGAACAGGAATTTTAGGGTTCATGTCACAGTTAGCTCTAAAAATTAAGTTGAGTAGTTAAAAGCTTTTGCAAGCTCAAAATTAAGTACTTTAGAGCCCTTCTGGGAAGCACAATGGAGACTACCCAGTACTGTAGCTCAGTAGCTAAAGTTTTTTACTTTCACAGTGGTGGCCTGGGTTCAATTCCTGGGTTAAGGAATGAGTCCTTTCTGGTTTGATACCTGTGGGAACTTTATCATTTGCTGATTCTCTTCCCTTCCATGAATTGTCTTGAATTTTCCTTTCTCTGAGCACCTGGGAGGTAAAGTTCAAAAGCCAGAAATACAGGCCACTTGGCATGGCTAAAGTTGGGTAACAAGAGATTTAAAAGGATTTTTTAAAGAGCACTATAGTTAAGAGTCAGCTTAATTAAAAGTGGATATCCAAGCTATAGGTATATTTAAAAGGCCTTTATGTCTTTTCCTTTTTTTTTTTTTTTGAGACAGAGTCTCGCTCTGTCACCCAGGCTGGAGTGCAGTGGCATGATCTCAGCTCACTGCAAGCTCCACCTCCTGGGTTCACACCATTCTCCTGCCTCAGCCTCCCAAGTAGCTGGGACTACAGGTGCCTGCCACCACACCTGGCTAATTTGTTGTATTTTTAGTAGAGACGGGGTTTCACCGTGTTAGCCAGGATGGTCTCGATCTGCTGACCTCGTGATCTGCCTAGCTCGGCCTCCCAAAGTGCTGGAATTACAGGCATGAGCCACTGCGCCTGGCCACATTTATGTCTTTCCTTTTTGTGGATCTTGTTTTGCTGAAAAAGGTTTTTTCTTCTCAGTCGACTGAATTATTTTTCTCCATTTTGTCTTGCCACTCTTAAGGCACACATGAGAGGCCCTAAGATAACTTCTGATAGCCTAGGACTCCTTGGGAAAAATAAAGAAGGTGCCACTGATCCTGTTTTGGAAAAAACCCTCTGTTTTCCTCATGGAACCTCAAGAATTAAAAGCAAATAGATCTCTCTCGAAATCCATTTTGCCTTCCAGCTGTGCCTGCTTATTAGACCCCAGAAACTGCATGTTTTCCTAGCCATTTCTTGATGGGCTCCACCCCAAGGTCAGTAATCCAATGAAGAAACTGGCAAATGAAAAATCCTACAACTACTGGATCTTGTTCTCTGTGTAGTTATATATGTGTTGTGTGTGTGATGTTCATATAAAAGAACTCTAAGTAATTGGCTTAAAGAAAAATAAGTGCTTAGATAAAACACTTTTGGAAGAAAAAATAAAAACTGTAATGTCTTAGTTCAAGTAACTTTAGTAATCTTTGGGAAATAAAAATGGCTTTAACGATTATTGGTAAAATAAAGACATTTTGTCTAAATTAGACAGGTCAGATATTAGGTTTACTAATGCTTTCAGGTCATAAACTGCTTTGACTTTTGAAAATTGTTCAATTTACCTATCTTGGAGGCATTAGATTCTCAATAAGGCCTGGGGACATGTGGAATTAGCCATGCTCCCCTAGCTATGCAAAAAAGATTATAAAGAAAATAGATTTTATATAAGAAAGAAAGTTGTATGGTAAATTCTTGTCCTAAAGTAAAATAACTGGTTGCTTAAAAAGAGGGATGATTAGGACAAGTCAGAAAGTCTAAGCATGTCATAGATGGTCTGCATAAGTCATGAAAGGATACATGAAAGGAAATTTAGGCACCAAAATTAAAAGTTGCTAACAGTTACCATTACAACATGTAATCCAGACTACTGAAAATAGATTTACATGCAAGGTGTGTCAGGAAACTAAAATGCGTTTTTACTAAAAGGTTATAAGAAGGCACAGGAATGTAAATTTTTGTCTAGGTTAGAGGGTTAAAATATTGTTTTAAATTAGATTAAAATAAAGCTAAAGGCTTGAATACATTGTGGAAGGTTTATGAAAAGTTAATCTTATAAAAAGAAATTCTGTGTGGACATTGGCTAAAGATAAAGGGGTATTGCTAAGTTTTTCTATAAATTAAAATTGAAATAAAAGCACAACATGTTTTTCTTAGAGCACTGATCTGCTTTTTAACAAAAATTTGTAAAGGGTTACAAAATGTTTACAAGAATTTCACCTCATGGTCAAACTGGTTAAGCATTATATCAAGTATTTTAAACCTTTAACATATTTTATAGGCTTCCCAAAATGAAATTTCAGCTTCAAAATTGTCTTTCTAACCCCCAAATTTTGGATGCTACAGAGGGCCCTTGGAGCATCCAAAGGAGAGGTAAATAGGATTATCTGACATGTTTAGTTACATGGGATTGTCAAAATAAAAACAATGTTTAATCTTCTTCAGGTTAAATAATATTAATATATGTTCCAAAATTGTATAGGATTTCTAAAATTCTAATGTCTGAGTATATCCTTTCAATCATAATTAAGGTTATTATGTTAATTTATCACAGACCACAGAGATAACCACATTTCCTTGTGAATTGTGTTTTTAAATATCACTGTTTAAAGTCATTACATTAAGTTAATTACTTAATGCTAATGCAATTTCTGAAAACTTCACAAACACGGAAAATCCTAGAATATGGTATCTTTTAGAAAGTTCATGAAAGGATAAAAAGGATGCTAAAAAGCACTCTTGAATACAGGTTTCTAATAACTTTAAATTCGTATCATTTAGACTCGGTAAGAATCCCTAAAACTTTAATAAAAAGACTAACTGGTTTATAAGACTGCTAACCAAAGTAGAACAAAAATTAATTAAATACCAAGAAAATACTATGCCAGATTTTCATGCTAAATCAGCGTGAAAAATCAGCATGCTGGAGAGCTGGCAAGGTGGCTGAATAGGAACAGGTCTGGTCTGCAGCTCCCAGAGAGATCAACGCAGAAGGCGGGTTATTTCTGCATTTCCATCTGAGGTACCAAGTTCATCCCATTGGGACTGGTTGGATAGTGGGTACAGCTCATGGAGGGGGGGCTGAAGCAGGGTGGGGCATCGTCTCACCCAGGAAGCACAAGGGGCTGGGGGATTTCCCTTTCCTAGTCAAAAGAAGCCATGACAGACTGTACGGGGAGGAACAGTATACTCTGGCCCAGATACTGTGCTTTCCCCACGGTCTTCACAACCAGCAGATCAGGAGATTCCCTCCGGTGCCTGGCTCAGTGGGTCCCACCCCCACAGAGCCCAGCAAGCTAAGATCCACTGGCTTGATTGGGAGAAACCAGCACAAAAAAGCTGAAATTTCCAAAAACCAGAATGCCTCTTCCCCTCCAAAGGATCACAACTCCTCGCCAGCAAGGGAACAAAACTGGATGGAGAATGAGTTTGATGAATTGACAGAAGTAGACTTTAGAAGGTGGGTAATAACAAACTCCTCTGAGTTAAAGCAGCATGTTCTAACCCAATGCAAGGAAGCTAAGAACCTTGAAAAAAAGACGAATTGCTAACTAGAATAACCAGGGTAGAGAAGAACATAAATGACCTGATGGTGCTGAAAAACACAGCACAAGAACTTCGTGAAGCATACACAAGTATCAATAGCTGAGTCAATCAAGTGGAAGAAAGAATACCAGAGATTGAAGATTAACTCAATGAAATAAAGCAAGAAGACAAGATCAGAGAAAAAAGAATGAAAAGAATCAAACAAAGCCTCCAAGAAATATGGGAATATGTGAAAAGACCAAATCTATGTTTGAACGGTGTACCTAAAAGTGACAAGAAGAATGGAACCAAGTTGTAAAACACATTTCAGGATATTATCCAGGAGAACTTCCCCAACCTAGCAAAACAGGCCAAACTTTAAATTCAGGAAATATAGAGAACACCACAAAGATATTCCTGGAGAACAGGAACCCTAAGACACAACTCATCAGATACACCGACGTTGAAATGAAGGAAAAAATGTTAAGGGCAGCCAGAGAAAAAGGTCTGGTTACCTACAAAGGGAAGCCCATCAGACTAAAAGCAGATGTCTCAGCAGAAACCCCACAAGCCAGAAGACAGTGGGGGTCAATGTTCAACATTCTTAAAGGAAAGAATTTTCAACCTAGAATTTCATATCCAGCCAAACTAAGCTTCATAAGCGAAGGAGAAATAAAATCCTTTCCAGACAAGCAAATGCTGAGAGATTCTGTCACCACCAGGCCTGCCTTACAAGAGCTCCTGAAGGAAGCACTAAACATGGAAAGGAACCAGTACCAGCCACTGCAAAAACATACCAAATTGTAAAGACCATTAACACTATGAAGAAACCGCATCAACTAATGGGCAAAATAACCAGCTAACATCATAATGACAAGATCAAACTCACAGATAACAATATTAACCTTAAATGTAAATGGACTAGGCTGGGCACGGTGGCTCATGCCTGTAATCCCAGCACTTTGGGAGGCCAAGGTGGGCGGATCACCTGAGGTCAGGAGTTTGAGACCTACCTGACCAACATGGAGAAACTCCATCTCTACTAAAAATACAAAATTAGCCAGGCATGGTGGCACATGCCTGTAATCCCAGCTACTAGGGAGGCTGAGGCAGGAGAATCCCTTGCACCTGGGAGGCAGAGGTTGCAGGGAGCCAAGATCGTGCCATTGCACTCCAGTCTGGGCAACAAAAGTGAAACTCCATCTCAAAAAAAAAAAAAAAGTAAATGGGCTAAATGCCCCAATTAAAAGACACAGACTGGCAAATTGGATAAAGAATAAGACCCATCAGTAGTGCTGTATTCAGGAGACCCATCTCATGTGCAAAAACACACACAAAATAAAGGGATGAAGGAAGATTTACCAAGAAAATGGAAAGAAAAAAAAAAGCAGGGGTTGCAATCCTAGTCTCTGATAAAACAGACTTTAAACCAACAAAGATCAAAAGAGACAAAGAAGGGCATTACATAATGATAAAAGGATAAATGCAACAAGAAGAGCTAACTATCCTAAATATATATGCACCCAATACAGAAGCATCCAGATTTATAAAGTCAGTTCTTAGAGACCTACAAAGAGACTTAGACTCCCACACAATAATAGTGGGAGACTTTAACACCCCACTGTCAATATTAGACAGATCAGCGAGACAGAAAATTAACAAGGATATCCAGGACTTGAACTCAGCTCTGGACCAAGTGGGACCTATAGACATCTACAGAACTGTCCACCCCAAATCAACAGAATATACATTCTTCTCAGGACTACATCACACATACTCTAAAATTGATCACATAATTGTAAGTAAAACACTCCTCAGCAAATGCAAAAGAATGGAAATCATAACAAACTGTCTCTCAGACCACAGTGAAATCAAATTAGAACTCAGGATTAAGAAACTCACTCAAAACTGCACAACTACATGGAAACTGAACAATCTGCTCCTGAGTGACTACTGGGTAAATAACAAAATGAAGGCAGAAATAAAGATGTTCTTTGAAACCAATGAGAAAAAACACACAATGTACCAGAATCTCTGGGACACATTTATAGCAGTGTGTAGAAGGAAATTTATAGCACTAAATGCCCACATCACAAAGCTGGAAAGATCTAAAATTGACACCCTAACATCACAATTAAAAGAATTAGAGAAGCAAGAGCAAACAAATTCAAAAGCTAGCAGAAGACAAGAAGTAACTAAGATCAGAGAAGCACTGAAGGAGACAGAGACATGAAAAACTCTTCAAAAAAATCAATGAATCCAGGAGCTGGTTTTTTGAAAAGATCAACAAAATAGATAGACTGCTAGCCAGACTAATAAAGAAGAAAAGAGAGAAGAATCAAATAGATGCAATAAAAAATGATAAAGGAGATATCACCACCAATCCCACAGAAATATAAACTATCATCAGAGAATACTATAAATACCTCTGTGCAAATAAACTAGAAAATCTAGAAGAAATGGATAAATTCCTGGACACATACACCTTCCCAACACTAAACCAGGAAGAAGTGAAATCCCTGAATAGACCAAAAACCAGTTCTGAAATTGAGGCAGTAATTAATAGCCTACCAATCAAAAAAAGTCCAGGACCAGACGGATTCACAGCCACATTCTACCAGAGGTACAAAGAGGAGCTGGTACCATTCCTTCTGAAACTGTTCCAAACAGTAGAAAAAGAGGGAATACTCCCTAACTCATTTTATGAGGCCAGCATCATTCTGATACCAAAACCTGGCAGAGACACAACAAAAAAAAGAAAATTTTAGGCCAATATCCCTGATAAACATCGATGTGAAAATCCTCAATAAAATACTGGCAAACGGAATCCAGCAGCACATCAAAAAGCTTATCCACCACAATCAAGCTGGCTTTATTCCTGGGATGCAAGGCTGGTTCAACATAGGCAAATGAATAAACGTAATCCATCACATAAACAGAACTAATGATGAAAACCACATGATAACCTGAATAGATGCAGAAAAGGCCTTTGACAAAATTCAACAGCCCTTCATGCTAAAAACTCTCAATGAACTAGGTATTGATGGAATGTATCTCAAAATAATAAGAACTATTTATGACAAACCCACAGACAATATCATACTGAATGGACAAAAACTGGAAGCATTCCCTTTGAAAACCAGCACAAGACAAGGATGCTGTCTCTCCGCACTCCTATTCAACATAGTATTGGAAGTTCTGGCCAGGGCAATCAGGCAAGAGAAAGAAATAAAGGGTATTCAATTAGGAAAAGAGGATGTCAAATTGTCTCTGCAGATGACATGACTGTATATTTAGAAAACCCCATCATCTCAGCCCAAAAACTCCTCACACTGATAAGCAACTTCAGCAAACTCTCAGGATACAAAATTAATGTGCAAAAATCAGAAGCATTCCTATACGCCAATAACAGGCAAACAGTGAGCCAAATCATGAGTGAACTCCCATTCACAATTGCTACAAAGAGAATAAAATAACTAGGAATACAACTTACAAGGGATGTGAAAGACCTCTTCAAAAAGAACTACAAACCACTGCTCAAGGAAATAAGAGAGGACACAAACAAATGGAAAAACATTCCATGCTCATGGGTAGGAAGAATCAATATCATGAAAATGGCCATATTGCCCAAAGTAATTTATAGATTCAATGCTATCCCCATCAAGCTACCATTGACTTTCTTCACAGAATTGGAAAAAACTACTTTAAATTTCATATGGAATCAAAAAAGAGCCCACATAGCCAAGACAATTCTAAGCAAAAAGAACAAACCTGGAGGCATCACGCTATCTGACTTCAAACTATACTACAAGGTTACAGTAACAAAAACAGCAGGATACTGGTACCAAAACAGATATATAGACCAATGGAACAGAACAGAGACCTCAGAAATAACACCACACATCTACAACCATCTGATCTTTGACAAACCTGACAAAAACGAGCAATAGGGAAAGGATTCCCTATTTAATAAATTGTGTTGGGAAACTGGCTAGCCATATGCATAAGGCTGAAACTGGATCCCTTCCTTGCACCTTATACAAAAATTAACTCAAGATGGATTCAATACTTAAACATAAGACCTAATAACCATAAAAAACCTAGAAGAATACCTAGATAATACCATTCAGGACATAGGCATGGGCAAAGAGTTCATGATGAAAACACTAAAAACAATGGCAACAAAAGCCAAAATTGACAAATGGGATCTAATTAAACTAAAGAGCTTCTGCACAGCAAAAGAAACTATCATCAAAGTGAACAGGCAACCTAGAGTATGGGAGAAAATTTTTGCAATCTACCCATCTGACAAAGGGCTAATATCCAGAATCTACAAGGAACTTAAACAAATTTACAAGAAAACAAACAAACCAACCCATCAAAAAGTGGGTGAAGGATATGAACAGACACTTCTCAAAAGAAGACATTTATGCGGCCAACAAACATATGAAAAAAAGCTCGTCATCACTAGTCATTAGAGAAATGCAAATCAAAACCACAATGAGATACCATCTCATGCCAGTTAGAATGGAGATCATTAAAAAGTCAGGAAACAAGAGACGCTGGCAAGGCTGTGGAGAAATAGGAATGCTTTTACACTGTTGGTGGGAGTGTAAATGAGTTCAACCATTGTGGAAGACAGTGTGGCAATTCCTCAAGGATCTAGGATCAGAAATACCATTTGACCCAGCAATCCCATTGCTGGGTATATACCCAAAGGATTATAAATCATTCTACTATAAAGACACATGCACATGTATGTTTATTGCAGCACTGTTCACAATAGCAAAGATTTGGAACCAACCCAAATGCACATCAAAGATAGATTGGATAAAGAAAATGTGGCACACATACATCATTGAATACTATGCAGCCATAAAAAAGGATGAGTTCATGTCCTTTGCAGGGACATGGATGAATCTGGAAACCGTCATTCTCAGCAAACTAACACAAGAACAGAAAACCAAACACCACATGTTCTCACTCATAAGTGGGAGCTGAACAATGAGAACACACGGACACAAGGAGGGGAACATCACACATTGGGGCCTGTCAAGGGGTAGGAGGCTGGGGGAGGGATAGCATTAGGAGAAATTCCTAATGTAGATGACGGGTTGATGGGTGCAGCAAACCACCATGGCACATGTATACCTATGTAACGAACCTGCATGTTCTGCACATGTATCCCAGAACTTACAGTATAAGAAAAAAAAAGAGAAATCCGCATGCTAAATCAGCCAATACTAAAATTGTTTAGATATACAATTTGAATAAACTCCATGATCTAAGCCAAATTACCTATGATAACCCATCAGTTATCAGTGCTATGCACCTAAATTGGAGAAACAACTGGTATTCAAGAGGACATAAGTCCATTTTTAAGCATGGACTCGTGGAGAACCAAGACAGCCACCTTATCCTTCCAGAGTCCTTAAGGCTTTCATTATTAAAAGTTCTGCATTTTACGACTTGTAATGGAAAAGATAAAATGATCCAAATTAAATATGTTTGTGTGGTGACTTATAAACTACTAAAATAGTTATAAACAATATTTGGCTTGTCAAACCCATATTCCTGGGAAAACAATCAAAGCTTCAGGTACATTTGGCTACCTGATTGGACATTTAAATATTTATAAGGGATTTCATTCAATTGTCACTTTCAATGCATGTTTTCTGGTTGTATGAAAGCTTTCCCATGCAAGAAGACTGATGTTATAATAGTAGATTATTATGCTGCAGTACATTTTTACATAGTTAAAAAAAGCTGTTTATGGTTCACTGAGGACAATCAACCCCTTCACAATCTAGAACCCAAAGAATGAATCTTCTGAGAACATTAGAGAAAGACTGTCCTTGCCATCCACACTACAGCAAAACTTTGGGACCTTGAACTTTTGGTTTCAGAGATCCCACAACTTTCATAATCTCACAACTGAGGAGGGTCCCTCCACACCCATCGGAACCCTTAAGGTAAAGCTAACCAGGACAGCTTCTCCCAAGAAGACAGCGTCCTTAATGTGAACAGCTTATCCTAAAATCATGGATTAAGACTTCTCTACTATCATGAGACTCTTAACTTTGAATATTTTTTTTCTTGCTTATGCCTCTATGAACAATAGAAGTGAAAAGGGGGTCTGTTATGTGTGTATTATGGGGTATATGTTTATTTGTGAAGGATTTTGCAGCCAGCCTTATACATGGATAATGTTATACTTTGATGGATAAAAGATGAAGGCCCAATGCAGGTGAGAAATTTTAAGGGTTCATATATTGCCTCATAGTCAGTCAGAAACAGAACATTGATTCATTCCTCTTAAGCCACATCATGGGCTAAAGAGAACATTGCCAGGAGGCCTTCACTCTTCTAGCAGGGCATCATTTGTTAGGTCTTTTTTCCATAGTTTGAAGTAAAAGAGGCACTGATTAGAAATGTATCCCTCATGATAGGTTCTATAGCAGATTCTACTGTAAAGCCTATGGTTACACAAAAAACTTTAAATTCTCTTGTGAAAGTTATGCGAAATAATAGAATTGGCCAAACCGAAAAGTATTGGCTAAACAGCTGCTGGCACTTATGATGTATGGAGAAAACATCGGGTATTATAGTGATTCAGTTGTAGGGGATTAATGAAAAAAATCACTTAAGTGAGTAGACTCTTCATGTAGCTCATTCTTTGATCTATTTGATTTTTAGATGGTTTGGTTTGGTTTATGAGGACCCTGGGTAAGGAACATAACCCAAACTCTTAGTATTATTCTCCCAATAGTCCTAATAGTAATCTCCCTGGTATGCTGTATTCTCTCAAAGGTTTTAAATGTTTACAAGCAGCCATCTCCAGAATGTCAAATGGTCTCTCTTCAACTGGAATAACAAGAGCTAAAAGAAATGTGTGACCATCAGGACACCATAACCTATGAATTACATGCTGAGAACAGAAACCCAAAATGATGGTAACTGAGAGTGGCACTGAGGCCCTAGGTTTTGGTCACACTGTCACCTAAGTGAGAACCTGACCAAAAAGGGGGATTTTTTTTTTAAAACGAAATTATGGGAGGCCATTGTTTTGGACTGAGCTCATGCACTAGACTCCAACAGACCAAACCAAACCAAAATGGAGTTGTTCATGCTAAATGTGACAAAGTCAAACTAAGACTTTAAGGAAACACATAGATCCTAGAACAGACCAGGTTTTGTTTTTCTCCTATAAACAGGATGTTCCAGCATAAGGAGGTACCTTCTACTCAGTCCTTGTTGCCACCTTACAGAACCCACTGTTCTACTGTTTCCCAGTGGGTTTAAAGACCATATAAGTACATTTACAATGGTGATAGTGACATCAATGACTAAAGTTTTGGTCAATCTCTCAAAATTGAGAAAATCACCAAAAGGGGGGAATTATTAAAGCAAACTAAATATGATCTGAGAAGGACTCCATACTTCTATATTCAAGTCCTTGTGGATGAACTGTAACCTAGCCTAATAGGCAGACAAGATTGAAAACCTAACTTAGTAGTATGTGCCCGTAACAATAGCTGAGTCTTGGCCAATCCCAGCAGCCATACTCCAACCACTCATAGACTGCTAAGTGTTCAAACTGTGTTCAAATAAGGCAAATGCCAATCCATAACCTATCCAGCTGTTTCTGTACCTCACTGCCAATTTCTATGTGTCACTTTTTTTTTTGTCTATACATTTGCTCTGACCACAAGGCAACCCTGGAGTCTTTCTGAATCTGCTGTAATTCTGGGGGCTGCCCAATTCGCACATTCATTGCTCAATTAAACTCCTTTAAATTTAATTTGGCTGAAGTTTTTCTTTTAACACAAGGCAATTTGTGACTTCACCACTCTCAAGAATCTAGGCACTGTAGGTAAATTTGAGGCACAATGGAAAACGCCGTGTAGTAAAGGAGAGAAATGGGCTTTGATATCAGCTGTGTTTGGACTCAGGGCTTACTGTTCAGTGATTCTGGGCTGAGGACTTAGCCTCTTTAAGCCTCATTTAAGTCACCTGTAAAATAGGCCAGGAAGCTTTTCTGGCAGGGTCATTTTGAGGATTAAAGGAAAGACATTTGTAGAGAGTTTGGCATGGGTAAGTACTTATTAAACATTGTTCTTTTTATTTTCCTTTATCTGAATAAAAATGTTAACAGATTTTTCTAGTAAACAACTGAAATGACTAAATTTTGGTGATACATATACATGTAGTCTAAATCAGAAAACAGAAATTCTGCAAAAACCTACCCAGTTCGGAATGATCTGTTAAATATCCCAATCAAAGAAAGAATTGACAACATAACAGCAAAGACGATCATTCCCAATAAAAGTCCAATGTCTCCTCTGTTGTCTAATGAAAGGAAAGAAAAATAATTTTAACCAAGCATTAGTCTTCATTTGATACCAGAATTACTATTCTCTTTACTCTGCTCAAAGCAAAGGTCTCAAAGGAGAAAGGGTGGGGGGAAGCAAAATTAACCTTTACTTTAGGCCACAGAGTGACTGTTTTTCCAGAGTGCACAACTACCCCAGGAAACAACTTTTTGTTTGAGAAAGTTGGGCTACATGTATCTGATGTCAGTGGGTTTTTAGAAGTGCATCTCTGGCAAATGTGGTCGGCTTGTGCATGCAAATTTCGTATAAATTCTTAGTGGTGAGCTTCATTTGGCTTGTCTGACACAGGTGAGAATTCCCAATTGCTGTAACAATGTCTAAAGCTGGTTACAATCATACTGATTTTTTTTAACTTTTTGTGTGAGATAGAATGTGTGCAATTTGTCATCATTCTTCAAAATCTATTGCTCATGAAATTTTTCCTGCTGAGAAAGGACATCCACTTTACTTAGAGCAATATACGTGATAAGAAAGAAATCATACACTGGCAAGTTAAGATAAAAATAAAAAATAAAAAAGAAATCAAAATTGCCTTTATGCTGCACTCACACTTAGTTAAAAAACAATGCTGGCTGGGCACAGTGACTCACGCCTATAATCCCAGCACTTTGAGAGGCCGAGGTGGGAGGATCACTTGAGCTCAGAAGTTTGAGACCAACCTGGGCAACAAAGTGAGAACTCCATCTCTACAAAAATTACAAAAATTAGCCGGGTGTGGTGGCATGTGCCTGTAGTCCCCGCTACTTGGGAGGCCAAGGTAGGAAGATGGCTTGAGCCTGGGAGGTGGAGGTTGCAGTGAGCTGAGGTCGTGCCGCTGCACTCCAGCCTGGGCGACAGAGCCAGACTGTGTCTCAAAAACAAACAAACAAACAAACAAAACCAATGCTTTTCTTGCATGTCAAAGTTGAGTTAATCTCCTAAAATATTTAAATAATTAATATAATTTATTCAACACATATTACCCACCAGGCTCATCATGCTTTCTCCCTGGTACATGAAAAAGCCCTATTTTCAAATATAGAAGATAGTTGAGGCATTACTTATCACATTGGAATTTGTTCTAGAGCCATGTTGGGTATTGGCTTCCCTTCCATCCTCCTTCCTCACTCCCTCCCTTCCTTCAGCAAATGTTTATTGGGTACTTACCATGTGGCAGACACTGTGTTTGCCCCACCCTAGTTATTTCACATACCGGGGTCTCCAGGCTGCCCAGCCCTCTTCTAAAGCCAATCAGCAGGCAGGAGTCTGAGTAACTCTAGCTCACTGCAAAATCTTGATGGGATATGAAATTAATGTTTTCCCAGGGCTAAAGAGCTATTTCTGACTATTTGAAGCAACTAATTGGGGGTACTGGCTGCCACACACCCTTGGGCATTAATTAGTGCCTGGAAGAGGATAGACAGCCCTCAGGTCAACACAGTGCTCGGCAAAGGGGTCTAAGCAGTAGAGCAGAATGACCAAGAGCGTGGCCTGATATACCTGGGTTTGAATTAAACTCTGCCTCTTATCAGCTCTGTGACCTTGGGGCATAATTATGAACTTGCTGAGTCTCAGGTTTTCTCTTTTGGAAAATAGAGATAATAATACTTATCTAACAGAGCTGCCATGAGTTCCTAACCTCCACTGATCCCACAGAAATATCAAGGTGTAGGTAGGTCTGTGTAGGCATCTATAATTAGGGAACTGTACTGAACCTAAGCACTTGGCTTGCAATTGATTGATAATTCAGAGTGCCCTTACCTTTCTTCATGTTTCTTTTTCTTTTTCTTCTTTTTCCTCTTTTTTTTTTTTTTCCTGAGACAGGGTCTTGCTCTGTTGCCCAGGCGGGAATGCAGTGGAGCTCACTGCAGCCTCTATCTCTGGTGCTCAGTTGATCCTCCCACCTCAGCCTCCCAAGTAGCTGGGACTACAGGTACATGACACCACACCCATCTAATTTTTGTATTTTTTGTAAAAATGGGGTTTTGCCATGTTGTGCAGGCTGGTCTCAAACTCCTGGACTCAAGCAATCTGCCTGCCTTGGCCTCCCAAAGTGCTGGGATTACAAAATGTGAGCCACCATGCCTACCCACTTCATGTTTCTTTACGACACTTCACCACCACCTGACTTTTCTTCTTGTTTTGTTTGCTGTTTTTCTGCCCTGTCTGGCTAGAATAGAAGCTCCATGAAGACAGGGGCTTTGCTCATTGTTTTCACTGCTGATTCCCCAGTACCCAGAACAGTGCCTCGTACACAGGAGTTGCTTAATGAATATTAAATAAATGAAGGTGCAAAGAATAGCAATACAACCTGCAAAAGTTCTTATACTATTCCTGCCTGATTTCTACACAAGGAGATAAATGGTCTGTCAGTGGTCAATGGTGAAATAGTCATGCCTAAAAGTTTTCAACTCGAAATTTCTATTTAGAGTTATGTTCACCCATTGTACAACCAGATCTCAATTTTTTTACGCCTAAAACGTTTAGGCAAGCTCATCAATACGATAATAGTCATGCTAACAACTGAAATGGGAGCTGGTTTGTATAAAAGAAAGACAATAGACTCCAGGACATTGAAAGAAAAGGATTTGAATTTTAGTCTGTCACTTAGCAGCTCTATGACCTTGAAAAGTTTCCTCAACTACTCTAAGTTTCAGTTTCCTCATTATAAAATAGATGCGTAACACTTATCTCATGGGTTGTTTTAAAGATTGAAGAAGATGTCTAGACAAGTCCTAGCACAAGATAGGTAAGTAATTTGTTTTGAAAGAAGTTTTTGGGTCTTGAGCCCTAGCAGCTATTAAAATAAAAATGTGGCCAGGTGCGGTGGCTCACACCTGTAATCCCAGCACTTTGGGAGGCTGAGGTGGGTGGATCACCTGAGGTCAGGAGTTCAAGACCAGTCTGGCTAACATGGTGAAACCCGTCTCTACAAAAATGCAAAAATTAGCTGGGCGTGATGGCGGATGCCTGTAATCCCAGCTACTCAGAAGGCTGAGGCAGCAGAATCGCTTGAACCTGGGAGGCGGAGGTTGCAGTGAGCCGAGATTGCACCATTGCACTCCAGCCTGGGTGACAGAACAAGGCTTCGTCTCAAAAAATAAAATAAAATAAATAAAAATTTTAAAAAATGTATACAATCTATTGCAAAAGCCGGCAAAATCCACCTAAGCCACTTCTTACATTCAGTTTTAAGCAGATCTTTGTACTTTGTCTATTATTTTCCTATGGAAGACATAAGGCATATCTTATTGTCCAGAAACTTAACACCTGATGTGATTTTTTCAGTATGATGGGTTAAAATGGGCAATTACTAAAAGACTACTCAAAAAGCCTAAGTTGTATTTTCTTACCAGAAGTAAGGTGCCCTGTAGAGATGGAAGCAACTGTTAGCCCAGAATTCCATGTGTCATGTTGGAATGCTTTTGATGTGACCTGGGGAACTTAAACCAAAAGGAAAGAGTGTCAGTTTCTTACATTTTGCACTCTGCTTGCCAAATTTCCCAACGGAGTTTCTTCCCTTGTTTAGAGATGACTAAAGTAAACCAATAACTTTAATGGGCTTGAAGGGTGGAATAAAAGCAATAGTCTTCGAGTATGTGTCTTTTCTTCTTCTTTTTATTTAATTGGGTAAATCTCAAAGGAGGAAACACTGCAAGGGCAACTATAATCTACCTAGGTTGTAAAACTTCAAGGTGTGTCCACTAATTTCATGAGGCTTCTAGGCAGCAAATACCAAAGAGCTTTATTTTACTGAGCCAGAAAAAACGCATGATAACTAATCTCTATTTGATTCCTTGCAATTGATGGTGCAATAAGGTTCAGATTTCCTTGAGGGTCCCCAAGATGTGTCACTTTTGCCTTTGCACAATCTTTGGGATGCTGTTCACCTTCTCCTGGCTCCTCATAAGAAACCTAATTTTGGTTAGCAGGCACTTTGGTGTTGTAACACCTGGGTGGGATGTCACCAATGACTTCTCTCTGCTCTTTTCTTTTCCTGGCAGCCTGGTCTAGTTATAAAGGCTGTCAGGAAACTGCTAATGAATGATTCTGACCAGGGTGGGGTGAGCAACCCTGGTACCTAACTTTCAGTCTGAACTCAAAGGGGTCCTGGTGCAGCCTTGCCAGTCTCCTCCTTCCTGATAATTAAAAGCTGACAGAAGTGACTTCAAGGACACAATTCTCCCAACTGGCAGAAGACATTTCTGAAGATGGCTCTAAGCCTTGGATCCCTGAGATTGCTTCAAGCCCTGTGTATTCCGTCACTCTGATTTCAGTGCTCAAATTTTTCTTTTAAAAAAATTACTTTTGGGGGCAGGGAGAAATCACAACTTGAGGCTGAGATATCACAGGCTTGTATAAGGAGTAGTGTGGCCCATGTGACTGTCTTTGAGAAAAGTGTCCTACATTTCCAATGAAAAGGTTTCTACGGGGCTTCAGAAATTTTTGAAAAAGGCTGGTCTGGCCAGACACAGTGGCTCATGCCTGTAATCTCAGCACTTTGGGAAGCCAAGGCAGGTGGATCACTTGAGGCCAGGAGTTGAGACCAGCCTGGGCAACATGGTGAAACCCTGTTTCTACTAAAAATACAAAAATTAGCCAGGTATGGTGGTGCGTGCCTGTAATACCAGCTACTTGGGAGGCTGAGACAGGAGAATCACTTGAACCCGGGAGGTGGAGGCTGCAGTGAGTCTAGATCGTGCCATAGCACTCCGGCCTGGGTGACAGAGGGAGACTCCATTTCACAAAAAAAAAAAAAGAAAAAAGAAAAAAGGCTGCTCTGGGTGCAGGCATAAGCGTGAGGAGGGTAGTTTTCTGAGAACAGTGGGTGAGGGATTTTAGAAGATGAAAACATCAGAAAAGCCAAAAGTTATTTCCCGTGTTTTTTGTCCTGGCTTCTCTACAGCAAGAGGAAAATGTTTCACCCGGAATTGTGACAAATCAGAAATTGTTTTTGGCTTCTCAATGCCTCGCTAAGTCTCTTTTGCTCCATGGGTATATGGTTCCACCAAACTCTGAGGGAACAAGGTTATGCCCTGATGGCCAACAGTCAGGTTTATTCATCTAAAGTGCTATCTTTACAGGCCAATGTTCATTTGCAGGGAGCTCAGGCAGGAGTCTGAATCTCCATTATTTTGAAATTTTAAGAATAAAAATACTGGCCAGTTGCAGTGGCTCATGCCTGTAATCCCAGCACTTTGGGATGCTGAGGAGGGTGTCAGGAGTTCAAGATCAGCCTGGCCAATATGGTGAAACCCCATCTCTACTAAAAATACAAAAATTAGCCAGGCATGGTGGCAGGTGCCTATAGTCCCAGCTACTCGGGAGGCTGAGGCAGGAGAATCACTTGAACCCAGGAGGCAGAGGCTGCAGTGAGCTGAGATCACACCACTGCACTCCAGCCTGGGCAACAGAACAAGACTCCATCTCAAAAAAAAAAAAAAAAAAGAGTAAAAATACTACATTAAAAGGTAACACAATTTTCAATTTAGCAAAATCATGGGCTTATAGCATATGCTGCTGTAGTATTTTTGTTTTCACTTTTATTATTTTAAAATTAGCATTTTTAATTTAAAAGTAATATATGGTGTTGTTGGCTTTTAATACAGGTTAATGTAATTCTGTTGTATAAACTACAGGTAGTTATTGGCAATGAAACTTCATTCAGTTATTAATTTGCATCATATAAAAACAATTTTCATATCTGACTAGGGTTTTATTAGCCCTAACAGGGAATAAATACAATCTTCCTTTAGAGTCTATTTGTTATCATAGTTCCAAATCAAACAGGTGCATTAAATTAAAGTCACTTATAAGAGGTGCTTAATCCTCATAGGGAAATTTCACAAGGAATCAGTTATCTAAAATAAGACAATTTATAAACAAAATTGTCAGAGAAGAAATCAAGCCAATGTTAGACATAGGACTGAAACAAAGCTATGTAGATTACATTCTTCATGGAATACTGCCACCACGTGGCTACGTCATTTCTTTTTAAATTATACTTAACATCTTTGACTGTAAAAGCGATAATTAAAGTACAGAAAAATTTTCAACAGGAGAAATTAAAAGGAGAAAAAAAGAACCATCCCTAATCCCATCCTTTTAATCCACCTGCTATTAGTGCTTTATGGTATTTGCAAGTATTTTAACATACAAAAGCATTAGCAAACACAGAATCTCACACACACACACACACACACACACACACACACACACACACACAGCCTTTATGACTGGAAACTGTTTTTTATATCAGTTCTGTCATCAGTGCATTGCCTAATTTGCTAAAAAAAAAAAAAACCTCATGATATCTTACTGTATTTGGTGTTTGTGGTGTTACGTCCATAATGAGACAGTTCCATCCTTGCAACAGAATATTAACTTATGCCTATTAATCTCACAGGACATACTTGAATATACTAAAAAAAATCCAAATTATCTTTAATTTGGGAAGAATTTTTATATAACTTGTACACACTGGCACCAAACTTTAGTCTTACAAGAAGACAATGTGCCTGTGGGAATTTAGAGTGATCTCAAACGAGAAATATGGTTTCTTATTGTTGGACAAAATTTAAAGCATAACAACTATATTTTTTGGCCTACCAAAACACCAGGCTAGTTTAATCAAATCCACTCAAAAGGACCTGGTTTTAGCAATAACGTATTCCATCTGTATTTTAAGGATGATGCCAAATCATCACCTCAGCTCTTCTTTCTACATCAACCGTACTAGTCTGTTTTCACACTGCTATGAAGACATAATCAAAACCGGATTTTTTTTTTTAAGACAGAATCTCCCTCTGTTGCCCAGGCTGGAGTGCAGTGGCATGATCCTGGCTCACTGCAACTTCTGCCTCCTGGGTTCTAGCAATTCTCCTGTCTCAACCTCCCAAGTAGCTGGGATTACAGGAGCATGCCACCACGCGTGGCTTTTTTTTTTTTTTTTTTTTTTTTGGAATTTTTAGTAGAGACAGGATTTCACCATATTGGTCAGACTGGTCTCGAACTCCTGACCTCAGGTGATCCACCTGCTTCAGCCTCCCAAAATGCTGGGATTACAGGTGTGAGGCACCGCACCTGGACAAAACTGGGAAATTTATAAAGAAGAGAATTTTAATTGACTCACAGTTCCACATGTCTGGGGAGGCCTCAGGAAACTTATAATCATGGTGATCGGGGAAACAGGCATGTCTTACATGACAACAGGCCAGATAAGTGCCAAGCAAAGGGGGAAAAGCCCCTTATAAAACCATCATATCTCATGAGAACTTACTATCACAAGAACAGCATGACTGCAACTGCCCCCACCATTCAATTACCTCCCGCGACTCATGGGGATTATGGGAACTACAATTCAAGATGAGATTTGGGTGGAGACACAGCCAAACCATATCATCAACCATGGGGCAAAGTGTGTTTTGTCATCCTTTTAAAGTGACCATTTAATGAGTATTAATTATGTCACAGGTAACATGCTAAACTTTACATGTTTTCTCTCATTTAATCCTCACAACAACCCAATCACACAGACAATATTATTATCCTCATTATACGGATAAGGAAACAAAAGAGTAGAAAGGATAAATAACTTGCTCAAAGTCACCTAGGTAGAGGGTGAAGAGTGGAAATTCCCATCCAGTTCTGACATGTAGTTTGTGCTGGTCACTGATCTCATTAAATTAATAACCTCACTTCCACAGCAGGATGGCTCAGGGTGGGAGGCAGAGTCAGCCCTGCAAGCAGCCTCTCCCAGGATGAGACTTAGCATTGCTCCACTGAGGACTCGCCATGGTGTGTTGGGGCTGCCTGGCCTTGTGGGGCTCTGGACCCCACAAGCCCTACTGTGCTAACCCATTTAGCACTGATGCTTTAAATCTTCTAGCGTAGAGTTATTTTCTTCTTAAAACCGACTACTTTCCTTTATTACACAAGTAATACATGCTAATTACAGGATGCTTGAAAAGTATAGAAGGGTATGGAGAAGATAATACAATTTTATATTTGTTTGCAAACTAGAAACTATTATTTAAAAAAAATGTTAACAGTCTTTTGTGTATGTTGGTAGCCTAGTGGAGATCATACTCTTTATAAATGTTTTGTCTTGCCTTTTTTATTCAATTTTTTTCTTTTGAGACAGAGTCTCACACCATCACCCAAGCTAGAGTGCAGTGGTGTGATCTTGGCTCACTGTAACCTCTGCCCCCTGGGCTCAAGCTATCCTCCAGCCTCAGCCTCCTGAGTAGCTGGAATTACAGGTGCACACTACCACGCCCAGCTAATTTTTGTACTTTTAGTAGAGATGAGGTCTTGCTGTGTTGGCTAGGCTGGTCTGAAACTCCTGACCTCAGGTGATCTGCCTGCCTCAGCCTCCCAAAGTGCTAGAATTACAGGTGTGAGCCACCACACCCAGCCTTATTCAATATTACTTAATAAAAATTTCCTCATTTTATTAAAAATTGTTCAAAACATCATGCTATGGCTAGTTAATGTTTCATCATGTTTTACTGTATTTATTCAATCTTACCCCTATTGAGAAACTGTATAGCTAGGTGGTTTCAAACACCAACTGCAGACTCAAACGAAACTCAGTCCAAGTCCTGGCTCTACTAGATGGAGTTCCATGGCCCTGGGCAAATTGCTTAACCCCTCAGTGACTCAGTTTCTTCATTTGTAAAATTAGATAAAAGCAGTGAGGTCATGAGGTTTGATGAGACAGTTCATATCAAGCACTTAGTACCATGTTTTACACAAATAAAACCTTAATAAGCACTAATTATTGCTATTGTTGAACTTTTAGACTGGTTCCAAATTCTTACTATTATAATTAGGTTTTGGATGTATATCATTGTACATAAATTTCCTTCCACTGATTATTTCTTAAGGCCAGATCTCTACAAGAGGAATTACTGAGCCAAAGGGTATAGACATCTCTAAGGTTTCTTTATTTACTTTTGCGCTTGCCAATCTTGATGTCAAAGCCACAGTAACCAAGGCCTGCATCATAAAGGCTTTGATTAGAGCAGACACATGGACTTTTCTGGACCTTTCAGGGGTTCTAGATATTCAAGAAAGAGGAGTCATATTAAAGGAGACAAAGGATGTGTTTTTTTTTAAATCATTGGAGATTCGCCCCCACCCTCCCTCCTATTTTTCTCAAAACACAAATACCTCCTTTTGGTTTCTCTCTTTCGCATCTCCTTTTAATAATTCAGCTGTTTCACAGCACTTAAGTGCCATTTCTCCAAGCCAGGCCAGTTTAGCTCTGTGGTCAGAATTCAACATTATCGGGCCAAGGGTAAAGAGTTGAGTATGTCAATTAGCAAGGCAAAACTAATGCCAACATATCAAATAGGCACCAGAAGCCCAGGGCAGGGAAAACGGTGTGTCAGAACAAACTCATTACCACACCTTGAAAAACAAGTCAAGCAATGAATCATTTAGTGGATTATAGTATCAGCGGTGTATATAAGGGTAGCAGGGTACACACAGACATATTCAAGGGTTTATCTTCCTTCTTATATTCCTGGGCTTTAGGTACTTGGTATGTAGGGAGAAGGTAAGAAATCTACATATGGCAGTTACATTGTTAAAAAGAAAGAATAAGAGGAGGAAAAGGCAAAAAGCAGTAGCCACCCAGGAAATTTTCCTAAATGACAAGGACCATACAGAGAAGGTCTGATGTCAAAGTGTAGCAAAACTCTATATGAAAGAATGGACAGCTTCCAAGTCTACACAGTGGCCAACAGATTCCTCAGAAGTACACCCTTGCTCTCCAGGCATAGCATCTTCCAATCTGTATAGTCTAGCAGACATTTGCCATGTTTTATTTGCCCAGCACTAGGATATACTTCTTTGTGGGCATCCTAAAAAAGCTGAGAGGCAGTAGGGCTACAAGCAAATGGCCTAAACCTCACCAACCAGATGCCCCCTCCCCTAACACCCAGGCTGTGAATGTTGAAGGGTTGACATAGGGCTTCCAGAAACCACTTAGAATCCAATGTGGGCACCATAGCTGTATCCAGGGTACAGTGACAGTGGCACCAGGGCAGGCAGTGGCAGTGATCAGCGTCAGCTGCAGGGTCCTCGCCAGACTTTTCCTAGGCTGTGATTTTGGCTGTGGTTCTGGGTCCTGCTCTCACTCGGATCCTGTTCATGCCCATTTTGCCAGGCTTTCTACTGATTTTCAGCTACCTTTCTAATAATTCTCTTTCTGCTTAAGATAACCAGCCTTGATTTATTTTGCTTACACCTAATCATCCTGACTAGTAAAAACTGCAATTGGTGGTAGTGGTTGGGGAGGTAGGGAGATGTAGTAGGACAAATAATGGCATCATAAAGATGTCCGTGTCCTAATCCCTGGAATCTGTGAACAGGTTACTATAATATTACGAAGTACATATTGTGTCTTCATCCTGGTTTTCTGGCATACAAGTCCTAAAATCCTTAGAATGCCCAAAGTGGTAACGGTCATTTTGTATGCTAACGAGCTGACTAGTGGCTGGCCGCCCCTATGTAGTTTCAGGATGGGGGTTGTTCAGAGGAAAGATCAAGGCACGATTAGAAGGTTGGGATTTTTCAACCCATCCCCAACCTCCCAGAGGGGAGAGGGGATGAAGATTAAGTTGATCACCAATGGCCAATGGTTTAATCAATCATGCTTATGTAATGAAGCCTACAAAAAACCCCAAAGGCCTAAGTTCTAGGAGCTTCAGGATAGCTGAACACATGGAGGTTCCTGGCAGGTGATGCACCTGGAAAGCTTATGGAAGCTCCATGCCCCTCCCCACATGCCTTGCCCACTGCATCTCTTCCATCTGGCTGTTCGACTGTATCCTTTGTAATGCTGTTTATCATAAACCAGTAATCATAAGTGTTTTCCCAAGTTCTGTGGGGCATCCTAGCAAATTGATCAAATCTGAAAAAAAGATCAGGAAACAAACTCTAATTTATAGCCAATCAGATGGAAGTATAGGTAACCACCTATTACTTGAGACTGGCATCTGAGGTGGGAGTTGTAGGATCTGACACTATGTCTAGGCAGATAGTGCCAGAATGAATTGACTTGGAGGACACACAGCTGGTGTCCCTCAAAGAATCTGCCAGATAATTTGTTGCTGAGGGGGAGAAATCCCCATACACATGTTGGTAATCAGAGGTCACAGAAGTGACCTGTGTTGTGAAAGTACTATATAGCAAGAGAAATTGAGTATGTTCTTTCTACTCAGTTACCTTATAAGGCAAAAGGGAATTGAGAGGAAGTGGCTATCCTAGATTACATGGGTGGATCTGGTAAAATCACAAGAGTTCTTATAAGCAGAAGGGAGAAGGTTGAGAGTCAGAGAAAGAGATTGGAAGATGCTATGCTTCTGGCTTTGAAAATGAAGGATGGAGCCATGAGCTGAGGAATGTAGGCAGCCTCTAGAATATAGAAAAAGCAATGAAACTGATTCTGTCCTGTAGCCTCCAGAAGGAACATAACCCTATTGACACCCTGATTTCAGCCCAGTGGTTGTGATTTTGGATTTCTCACCTCCAGAACTATAAGATAATAAATTCATGTTGTTTTAAGCTTTCAAGTTTGTGATGATTTGTGACAGTAGTAATAGGAAACTAATATAGAAGATGATGACTTCAAGAAAAAGCATAATCATAGGCCAGGCATGGTGGCTCCTGCCTGTAAGCCCAGCACTTTGGGAGGCCAAGGTGGGCAGAGTTCTTGAGTCCAGGAGTTCAAGACCAACTTGGCAAACATGGTGAAACCCTGTCTCTACAAAAAAAAAAAAAAAGGAAGAAAAAAAATTAGCTGGGTATGGTGGTGCATGCCTGTAGTTCCAGGTACTTGAAAGGCCAAGGTGAGAGGATTGTTTGAGCCCAGATCTTATGAGCTGAGATCACACCACTGCACTCCAGCCTGGGTGACAGAGAGAGACCCTGTCTAAAAAAGAAGGGAGGAAGGAAGGAAGGAAGGAAGGAAGGAAGGAAGGAAGGAAGGAAGGAAAAAGAAAGACAGAAAGAAAGAAGGAAAGAAAGAAAGAAAGAGAGAGAAAGAAAGAAAGAAAGAAAGAAAAGAAAGAAAGAGAGAGACAGAGAAAGAAAGAAAGAAAGAGAAAGAAAGAAAAGAAAGAAAGGAAGAAAGAAAGAAAGAAAGAAAGAAAGAAAGAAAGAAAGAAAGAAAGAAAGAAAGAAAGAAAGAAAGAAAGAAAGAAAGATCTTTGTTCTGTAGTAATAGGTTGCAAACTTCAGGGAGATTATGGAACTCTTCTGAATTGTTTCCTATTCTGCAGAAACTTGGTGGTTTATCAGAGGCAGGACCTGAAGAAAGTTAAACCCAAATGAAAAGTCTAAAGTGATTAGAATTTCAAGAAACACCGTGTCTGTTTAACATGGGTTAGTAACCAATAGAGTCTACAAGTTCAGAACCCATCTCTATGTGGACAATTCACAAATCTCTAATTACACATAATAAAATGTTTGAAAAATACATTCTGTGTGCCATCATCTAATTTGCATTATATTTAATAGCACTGATATTTAGTTCCGTTAACATAATATTTGCTTTTTCCCTTTTAGCCACTTAAAAACCTGAAAAATTAATGAGCATCTTCAAGGAGTCACTGGTAGTGCAACAACCAATACTGTTTTGTGAGAGGAAAGCAAAATGTTGTTTAATATCTTGCTCATACTTGCCTTCCTCTGGAAAACTGTCAAAAAAAAAAAAAGAGTAATATGAGTTCTCTGGGAAACTTTTCTATGGCAAGCAGCAATTCAAGCAAGTGAATTAGTCATCATGAAATGTGACTGCCCTTCCCTTAAGCCTTTAACCTGTTATTAAAGGAATTATAGAACCTGTGTCTTTTCTTCGTTAAAAAGGGATCTATATTACAATGCAGAATTGAAAAAGATTCCTGGCTAGCCATTGTTGTTTCAGCTTTTTTAAGTCAGTAGTAGCAAATTTAGACTACTGACTTATACATTTTCAGTGTTGGTTTTCTACAATGACAAATTGTCTTTTCCCCTTTGGGGCTCTTTCCGCACTGCTGAAAGACCCCAGGATAACAGTGCCTATCAAGGTTGGTGGATCAGAAGCTCTAACTTCAGCAGCTCTCAGCGGTTCTCATAATCTCAGCTGAAACCTCACATCCAGAGACAGGGTGAGTTCTAGGCAGAAGAGGGTCATGTGTGATGTGATGGTTAATTACGACAACAGTCCTATATCCTGTGCTTTGGGGGGTTCCTGTAATGCCCAGGTGGGCTGGGGTGGTCAGTGACTCAGGAGAAATAGGAAACAGAGAGGTGACCAGATAGTACTAGAGATAATGGCCTAAGATTCTCACATGCCCACCCTTTTCTGTCACCCAAACCACTACTACTAAGGCGATGGTGATACAAACAGCAAACAGGAAAATACTGAATAAATGAGGGTGGTTCCCTGGCAGAGGTCCCACCCTCAAGCTTGGAAACCCATAGCCCTAAATAGAAGCAGGCATTCTTGTTTTCGTGCTCAAAAGTTGCCTTTTGGCCTGCTATGCCCCGCTATCCTGTACCCTCATAAACTCCAGACCCCAGGTTCCAGAAGCAGACAGAGAGATAAATAGAAGAGCAGAAGAATGGCAGAATGGCTCGGCAGAGAAGGACAGAAGAAAAGGAGCATCTGAATGCTGAGAGAAGTTCCCCTGGGGACGATCAGAGAGGAGATCGGCCGCTGGACAGCCAACTCCAGGGGAAGATCATCCTCCCACTCTATCCCCCTTCCAGCTCCCTATCTATCCCGCTAAGAGCCACCTCCACCACTCAATAAAACCCCCACATTCATCCTTCAAATCTGTGTGTGACCTGATTCTTCCTGGACACTGGACAAGGACCTGGGTACCAAGAGGGCACTGAGCTGGTTAACAGTTAAGCTGTCTGCAGACAGCAAAGCTAAAATAGTGAACTGTATCACATTCCCACTTGGGCTTTGGGAGTCACAGGCATCCACCCCTAGATGCTACTGTGGGGCTGGAGCCCCAAGGTGCTCACCCCAGCTCCTGCGCACCTGTCCATCTGTGTGCTCCCCCTCCTGTAACGGGTTTGAGCATGTGCCTTGGCAGAATAGATGAGCCACATGATATGCGACAGGAGTCAGGGAACTCTCCCGTTTCAATGGCTTGGGCAATCATATCCACTCTGCCTTTCTGTCCACATTTTCTGTCCATTCCCTATGTTGTCTTTTATGATGACACTTCCTTCTCTTAAAGAGTGTGTCTGACCTCTACAGCAATGGATTTTATGCTTCACTGCAGAAGTATCGCTTGGCAAAGGGCTCAGGAATCTGTACTTTAAGAAGTGCCCAAGCATTCAGGCCAGGCACAGTGGCTCGTGCTTGTAATCCCAGCACTCTGGGAGGCCAAGGCAGGGGGATCATTTGAGGTCAGGAGTTCGAGACCAGCCTGGCCAACATGACGAAACCCTGTCTCTACTAAAAATGCAAAAAAAAATAGCCAGGTGTGGTGGATGTCTGTAGTCCCAGCTACTTGAGAGGCTGAGGCAGGAGAATTGTTTGAACCAGGAGGCGGAGGTTGCAGTGATCTGAGATGGTGCACTACACTCTAGCCTGGGTGACAGAGCGAGACTGTATCAAAAAAAAAAAAAGTGCCCAAGCATTCTTAATGTAGATTGTCCACAGACCCTACTATGAGAAACAGTGCTTTCTAGATAGCCCATAATTAGCTGGTAAAGCACATGATGAATTGCCCATGATGGTCCTGTCTTGGCTAAGGCTGCCTTTTTTACCTATCCTTTATCCTCATCTCAGACTGCCCCTTCCTTACCTATCCTATCAGAAACCTCCTATAGTACTATGGTTTCATTCTCATCATCTACTGCAAATCTGCTTCCACATCTTGTATTCAAGCCAAAGTAGCAGTAGTCAGTAGTATCTTCTGGTTCTTTTCTCATGCGTTTGCATTTCCATAACAAACACTGCATTAGAAATGAAGCTCTGTTGGCATAGTTTTATTACTAGCTAATGTGTAGAGAATGATTTTGTTTCACAGGCGGATGCAGGACCCTCCTAGGTCTCTTAGGAAGGAGACTAGCAGAGCTATAAATAACATGGGTGCTGGAATCCCATAGCCTGAGTTAGACCCTGGCTCTACTGTTTACCAGCCTTGTAATGTTTGACAAAACTGCTTGGGCCATATGGTTTCATCTGTGCAACTGGGATAATAATTACACTCCTTTTATAGAGCTGCAGTGATAAATAAAGAACAATTCATATGTAAAATGCTTATCAAAATGCCCAACACTTAGTAAGCATCCAATAAATGTTAGCTATTATTATTTATTATCCTGAAGTCACCCTGGGATTCAGTCTGTTAATTGGCCTCTTGCTATTATATCAGATAGAATAAATGGGTATTCTGGAGGATTGATTTTCTTTTTCAGTATAAGGCTTTGTTTGTCCTATTAAAGTCTAAATACTCTAAGTAAGAAAAAGAGAATAAGTCATTAAAGTTGATTATAAGTGAGTTGGTTTGGTTCATTTTTGAGACCAGGTTTTTAATGGCCAAGCCAGGCACTATTCAGAGGGAAAGCAACAGAAAAGAATAAGAATGCCGAGGCTGCAGGACAAGCCATACCCACTTCAGGATTTGTCCTCTGGTCTTAGCTGGGCAGAATTTTGCAAACACATTGTATTGAGATGAATCAATTCAGTAATACACATGTCAGAATCTTAGAGACTAATTCAGAAAAGTCCTGCTTGGAAGAGGCATTACTGCCTGGGCTGTGTTTCTTCATAAATAAACCTTTAAGCACTGGAAAAGTTTGGCTGGCCAAAAAACCTCATTATCAAACAAGTTGGTTAAATAAATAATTACAGAAATGATATCATTTTATTTTTTCATTTGTGAGGCAATTCATACTTCAGCTGTGAAGTCTGATTCTTACTGCTTTTATTTACATCTTTATGTATGATGCAATGTAATTTATGTAATTATTATGCTTGATTTTTACTGTGTGTCTTCTCCAGAAGGAAACTTGTCCAAGGCAGGGAATTTTGTCTCCTTTGCTCACTGAGGTTCTGCAAGGATCTAAAAATGCCTGGCACATGGTAGAGGCTAAATGAGTATTTTGTGAATGACTGTCTTTTCATAGGTCCCTTTTTAAAAAGCAATCAATATTAAAGATTCGGTAAAAAGCAGTTCGACAACATACATCAGCATCTTAAAAGGTGCTTAACTCTTGATGCAATAATTCTTCTTTAGAACTAAAGGAATAAAGACCATTTATATACAAAGCTATGCAAAGAAGTTTATTGATAATGGATAAAATGGAAATGACCTAGATGTTATTTAGGTAGGGAAATGCCTAAATAAATTATAGTACATACATAAACGAGAATGCCGTGCAGCCATGAAATCAGTTTTTAAAAACTTAACAGGGTAGATTAAGTAAGAAAATCAGGATATAAAATAGTATATACATCATAGCCCCAAACATTAAAAAAATGCATAGGAAAAACTAGTATTAAATTAAATAAATGTAAATAGTGGATGTTTTTAGGTTGCATACTACAGTAAACTTACATTGCTTTTACACACAGAAAAAAAGGTACATTTTCAAAGAGATTTAACATGAGCACTTTCCCTAACACACTTTTACTGTTTCTCATGTAATGTGTCTTAGAAGGGAATTTGTACCAAGAGAACAGTCTATGGTTTCTCTTAGCTAACATGTTAAACTTTAATAAATCCAAGTTTTCAGGGATACTTAATTTTAATTGGTATTTTTGTCTCTTAAGTGATTTTTCTCCTCAGGAAACAGACCTTAAATTTAAACTGTGGTGTTCCTATTTCCTTCTACCTGAAGCTTAAGACTTTTATCTTTATTTTACTTTATTTATTTATTTATTTAGAGACAGAGTCTCGCTCTGTCACCCAGGCTGGAGTGCAGTGGCAGGATCTTGGCTCACTGCAACCTCCGCCTCTCAAGTTCAAGAGATTCTCCTGCCTCAGCCTCCCTAGTAGCTGGGATTACAGGCACCTGCCACCACACCCAGTTAATTTTTGTATTTTTAGTAGAGACGGGGTTTCACCATGTTGGCCAGGGTGGTCTTAAACTCCTGACCTTAGGTGATCCACTCGCCTTGGCCTCTTAAAGTGCTGGGGTTACAGGCATGAGCCACCACACCTCGCCAAGACTTTTATGTTTAAAGAAGAACATTTGTAGTCCTATACTTAGAATACTTAAGTAAGTTGCTCCTCTGCTTCCCTGAAATTAAAGAATGAAATTGCTGAGGGATGGTGGGGAAAATGCACAGTATTTTCACACTGGGATTAAAAGTCTCATACTCTACCAACTGACCTAGCCAAGCAGTTCAATATTTTGAATAAGAAAAGTTTTGTTATAGTTTAGGTGTCATTACCCACCAGCAATGTACTATTTAGTAAGTCATGCCCAGTTTCCGCTTTTGTAAAGTAGCGCTAATTACACTACCAAATATGGCTGACATCATAATCAAACAAGCTTATACACAGGAGTACTTCGTAAATGATAAATGGTAGTTATCAATTTGCATAATCTTGCTAGGCAGTTATAGAGTTCATTAAAAAAAAGGGTTATCAACTAAATTCTGACTATTATAAAATGGCATCTAAAGTCCACGAATTGTTAACAGTATCAACTTGACAGAATACCTTCAATTAAAAACTAACTTTTAAAAAAGAGAACTGATACTGAAAATAATTCCCTGGCTGGGTGCCATGGCTCACGCCTGTAATCCCAGCACTTTGGGAGGCCAAAGCGGGCGGATCACCTGAGGTCGTGAGTTCGAGACCAGCCTGCCCACCATGGTGAAACCCCGCCTCTATTAAAAATACAAAAATTAGCCAGGCATAGTGGTGGGTGCCTGTAATCCCAGCTACTCGGTAGGCTGAGGCACAAGAATCTCTTGAACCCAGGAGGTGGAGGTTGCAGTGAGCCGAGATCACACCACTGTACCTCAGGCTGGGCAAAAGAGCAAGAGAGCAAGACTGTCAAAAAAAAAAAAAAAAAAAAAAAAAAAAGAAAGAAAGAAAGAAAGAGAAAAGGATTCCCTAATAAGTTGTTTCTTCATTTTAACATTTTTAAATTTAATTTCTATTTATTTTTATTTTTTTTAAATAGAAGCAGAGTCTCACTATATTGCCCAGGCTGGGTTTGAACTCCTAGGCTCAAGCAATCCACCTGCCTCCATTTCCCAATGTGCTGGGATTACAGGCATGAGCCACTGCACCTGGCCAAAGTATTTCTAAGATTTGGGCAGTAGGAGATACCAGAAGAGCTTTGCAGCAAGTCATGCTCTTTGCTCCCTCTACTAATTTGGCAGCCATCAATATTTATAATGTATGTCAAAGTGCCTTGAAAACATAAAACACAATTCCAGAATGTTATAATAATGATGCTATTCATACTGGGATTATAATAAAGTCCTTCAGTTCTGAAAAGAAAATGTTAAATCTAGTGTATAAGGTACCTACAGTAGGGAGACATCTTTAGGTTAATGGGGCCATTAGGAGTATTATTACAATTACAATAGATTCATTTTATTATGTGCTTCAACTGAAGTCTATTTGGCTAAGATGTTATTGAATGGCATGAATAAATGAATATAAAATTAAACTAATAATATTAGAAGCAGGAAAATATCTAAAGATAAACAATAAATCAGCTAAATCCTGTTGAGGAGAAGAGAATTCTGTGTTTAGGAGTTTTAACTTTCTGATTGCTTTACATATAGTAGATAACGTTTATTGATATGATTGTTTTGTGTCTCTTTTAGGAGAATATGTTCTTAATAAAATTTTCTGAGATGGAGTCTCACTCTGTCACCCAGGCTGGAGTGCAGTGGCGCGATCTCGGCTCACTCCAACCTCTGTCTCCTGGGTTCAAGCCATTTTCCTGCCTCAGACTCCTGAATAGCTGGGATTACAGGCATGTACCGCCATGCCCAGCTAATTTTTGTATTTTCAGTAGAGATGGGATTTTGCCACGTTGGCCAGGCTGGTCTCAAGCTCCTGGGCTCAAGTGATCCAACTGCCTCCGCCTCTGAAAGTGCTGGGATTACAGGCTTGAGCCACCACACCCAGATAATATTTTTCAAAACAAGTTCTTAGCTTATTGTATGGCTCACAATTGCCCAGGATGTCACCCAGGCTAGAGTTCAGTGGCATGAACGTGGCTCACTGCATTCTCGACCTCCCAGGTTCAAGTGATCCTCCTGCCTCAGCTAGCATGGTGGACCGCATCTGTAGTCTGAGCCACTTGGGAGGCTGAGGCAGGAGGATTGCTTGAGCCCAGGAGGCAGAGGCTTCAGTGAGCTATGATTGAAGCCTGTTTAGATCAATAATTCTTCCTGTAGTCCCCAAGTAGCTGGGACTATGGGCGTGGGCCACCATGCCTGGGTAATTTTATTTGTATTTTTGGTAGAGATGGGGTCTCCCTATCTTGTCCAGTCTGGTCTTGAACTCCTGGGCTCAAGCAATCTTTCTGCCTTGGTCTCCCAAAGTGCTGGGATTACAGGTGTAAACCAGCGTACCCAGCCTCCCAGATGGTTTTTATACCCAGGAATGTTTGAGAACCATTATATAAATTGTAGTAAGCCTTAAGAAAATCAAAGCAAAATGACAATTTAAATGTTATCATCTGCCCTAGAATAGTTTTGTCAATTTTGGTCAAAGGTAAAGAGAAAAAAAATATCTTGTAGCTTTATTTTGTTTTTAACTTATTTATTATTATTATTTTTATTTTTATTTTTTTTTGAGACCAAGTCTCTCTCTCTTGGCCAGGCTGGAGTGCGGTGGTACAATCTCAGTTCACTGCAACCTCCACTTCTTGGGTTCAAGCAATTTTCCTGCCTCAGCCTTCCGAGTAGCTGAGATTACAGGCACCTGCCACCATGCCCAGCTAATTTTCGTATTTTTAGTAGAGACAGGGTTTCACCATGTCGGCCGAGGAGGTCTTGAAGTCCTGACCTAAGGTAATCCACCCACCTTGGCCTCCCAAAGTGCTGGGATTACAGACATAAGCCACTGCACCTGGCTGTTTTAAACTTTTTAGGAAACAGGGTCTTGGTCTTTCCTCCAGGCTAGAGAGCAGTGGGATGATCATAGCTCACTGCAGCATCAAACTCCCGGGCTCACGCAATCCTACTACCTCAGCTTCCCAAGTAGCTGCGACTACAAATGCATTCTACCACCCAGGCTAATAATAATTATTATTTTTCTGTACAGACTAGGGTCTCACTATGTTGCCCAGGCCAGTCTCAAACTCCTAGGCTCAAGCAATCTTCCTGCCTTGGCCTCTCAAAGTGCTGGAATTATAGGTGTGAGCCACTGTGCTCAGCAGAAAAGATATATAAAGAAAAGCCCAACAGAATAAAATATATAAGTACACTCACCTGTTTCAGGTGTTTTATGAAAAAACAGTGAACTCCAAGGCTGCCAGTACCTTTTGCCTGTTTCTTGACATCTCACTTGAAATACGTACTTAATGTTTGGCTCCAAGTAGAATTCTGACTGTTGCACATATGTAAAATTGGTGTCAAATTCTTTAACCTAAAATGGATGGGTAACAATAATAAAATGTGGTGTGCTTTTAAAACAACTATTTTATTTAGCAGAAATGTATGGAACACCTATTATGTTCCAAGCTGTCTTCTAGACTCTAGGAAAACAAAGTGTTCTTTATATAAAACGTGGCCGTACATAATCAAATACTGTCTCTGAAATACATTAAAACTGAAACACACACTGCTTTTTTTGAGATGGAGTCTCGCTCTATTGCCCAGGCTGGAGTGCGGTGGCTCGATCTCAGTTCACTGCAACCTCCGCCTCCCGGGTTCAAGCGATTCTTCTGCCTCAGCCTCCCAAGTAACTGGGATTACAGTCATGCACTACAACACCTGGCTACTTTTTTGTATTTTTAGTAAAGATGGGGTATCATCATGTTGGCCAGGCTGGTCTTGAATTTTTGACCTCAAGTGATCCGCCCACCTTGGCCTCCCAAAGTGCTGGGATTACAGGTGTGAGCCACCGTGCCCAGCCCATACTGCTTTATGTTTGACAACTGTCTCAAATCTCCAGAAAGTCCAAATGTGATATTATATATATGTGTATATATATTTATTTATGTGTGTATATATATTTATTTATTTATATGTGTGTGTGTGTATATATATATTTTTTATTTTATTTTTTTTCTAGATAGGGTCCCACTCTGTTGCCCAGGCTGGACTGTGGAGTGCAGTGGCTCGATCACAGCTCACTGCAACCTCCACCTCCTCCTGGGCTGAAGTGATCCTCCTGCCTCAGCCTCCCAAGTAGCTGGGACTACAGGCATGCACTACCATGATTGGATAATTTTTAAATTTTTCTGTAGAGATAAGTTCTCATTATATTGCCCAGGCTGGTCTCCTGGGCACAAGTCATCTCTCTGCCTTGGCCTCCCAAAGTGTTGAGATTACAGGAGTGAGCCACCATACCCAGCCTTAATTTTGGAATATATTCTTAATTTTGGAATATATTCTTAATTTTGGAATATACTCTTTTAATGGGGTGGAGAAATGGTAGCTGATAGCAATTGTCTGAATTCCCCTCTCCCCTGCAGCTGGATATTTAGATCAATAATTCTTCCTGAATGATGAAATAATTTTACTCGCTAATGGTGACTTTTAGAAAAAAATACCTATAAGCTAAGCTGTAAGTTGGTCCTCATTGCAGGTTATTGCAGATTCTACAAGGCCCAATAATACATACATATATATATATATACACACACACACACACACACACACACACACACATATGCATATATGTGTATATATGTATATATGTATATGTATGTATATATATATATATGTGTATGTGTCAGAGAAAAATTAAAATATTAAGAAAGTTGAACTGAGAAATCCAATGGAGGATAAAGAAAATAGCTGAGGGATAAACACAAAAATCCTTTTTTCCCTGGAGCACTACACCCTGCTATAAAACGTAATGAAAAATGAGCCCCAAACAAGCTGTTTCAGTTGGCAGAAAGAAACCAAGGCATTTGTACAGCATCTTCAGTATGTTCTAGTAACTGATTTACTGGAAAAAGTGAAGCATGATTGAAAGGCAGACATAAAATATGTCAATATGTCTAGAAATGCATTTATGCAACAACTAGGTGAAAGCAGTTATCAGATACTCATGAAAGAGAAAGTTACAACGATTGAGATTAAAAAAAAAAAAGAATGAGGTATCAACCTCATTCAGGGATGCTTCCATTTAAAACCCAACCTTAACATTAATCCTTAAAACTTGCAATGCACTGAAAATGTAAAATTCATGAAAATATTTGTTTGGGGGATGTCATCTGCCCTAGAATAGTTTTGTCTATTGAGACATGGCTTATGGAAACTCTGAATGATATTTTTCAAACTCTGCATGAAAGATATCTTTCAGAGTTTCCATAAGCCATGTCTCTATTCATGGCCCTGGAAATTTTCTGCAATGTTAATATAACTGGAGAGTGTCTGAGGTCTCCTGGGATCTAGAGAAATTTTACTTACTGTGCCAAAGATTTGACTCTCAAATGCACTCTGCTTCATATTAGTGTCTCTTGTAAGGAAGTTGTTAGTCTCCAATATGTTTGCTGCCATTACATTTATAGATAAGTCCTCTTAAAGGAAAGAAATACCGTAAAGTACAGCCAGAATTCCAAAATAGTAAGAAGAACGTTATGGAACTGTTATCAGTTGTTTAAACCATGAGGCAAACCAGGTGGCTGCTTAGGGCCCTGCAAGTACAACATGATACCTCAGGATGATATCTTTGGAGGCTAAAATGAACATTGAAAGAGCTGGACTTAATTGAGTGCCTCTGTAAATAGTATAATTTCAAGAGTGCAAGAAATTTTGAAGTAAGTCCATTTCTACTTAGAGCCTCAACTCTGAAGGTTAGGGGTCATTGAAACGTAATATTCTTCAGTTTGAGATCTCTCTTTTCTTATGTTAAATATAAGTTCCTGGGAACATCCTTGGGTGGAGGGAAGAAAAAATCTCCAACCTAGTTAGAGTTCTATAATTCCTACCTTCCCCAACTATCAGTATGGGGCATGGCACTGGATGAGAGGGTCCTTGGTAACCCACCAGTGTCTAAACCCTTGGTTTCTCCCTTTACCCTACAACCTCCTCCCCTTTCTGCCCAAGTAATTTTTATCTAGTGTTTGGTAGAGGAGGGAAATGGGGTGGTGATGGGGAAACTTATTTGTGACTAATCATACATTTTTCCACATTTTCTGTCTTATACCAACCTTCAGACTTGGAAATGCCGAAGCCAAGGATTTGTCTTTGCTATCTGTATGCTGTTCTATCAGCCCTTTCAAGAAAAGAATAAATACTTGGTTTTGTGCAGCCTAAGTTAAGAATGGTTTTCTCACTTTTAAATGGTTGAAAGAAATTTTTTTTAAAAAAAGACTATTTCATGATGTATGGAAATTATGTGAAATTCAAATTTCAGTGTCCAAAAATGAAATTTTAATTGGAACAGACTATGCCCATTCATTTACATAATTGTCTGTGACTGCTTTCACGCTACAAACACAGAGTTGAGTAGTTGAGACAGAAATCTTATGTTCTGCAAAGCCTAAAATGTTTACCATTTGGCCCTTGAATAAAAAGTTTGCTGAGACCCTGGTGTAGCTTAATTAGAGAAATGAGTCACCAATAATCCACTTACTTGAACACATAGCTGAGATTTCCCTGCCTCTGTCACTAAAGTTGGACACCATTAGACAAATAATAATAATAATAGTAATAGCTAATGTTTCAAAATATTATCCACATGAACTTGACATTATAAAAATCAATGGAGATGCAAAAAATGATCATGGCACATCTCTGCCTTCCATGAGTTCACAGTTAAAGAGTAGAGAAATAGAAGTGTAAACAGGCAAGTATATACAATGTGGCAAATGCCCTGAAACAGAGTATACGGAAGTAGGTGTGGATTGCCGTTCGCAACTGGGAGCTCAATTTTTGACATGAATTTGAGGGGCCTAGGAGACAGCCCATAAAGATACAAACAAATAGTTAGAAATATAGGTCTGACTTTCATGAGAGTTGGGAGGGCTCCAGTTTCTAGCCTACATACAGGTGTAGCTGAGGCCTTGGGAATAGGTGAAAGGAGTAAGAAAGAGAGGAGACAGTGAGATGGTAGGTATGAAGGGAATGTCAATGTTTAGGGAATTGGCAGAAAAAATAATTTACAAAGGAAAGGGCATCCAGAAATATTGATAGAAGACTAACACATTCTTGAAATGGGAAAACCAAGAGGAGAGACATTTTCAGGACAAGGTGGTCAACAGTGTCAAATGCTAGAGTAGGATGAAGACTGCCAAGGTTCTTGGTCTTTATTGTTTGGAAAGATGCTACCATCTTCCTCTCCTCACACGAACTGGTTCCAGCAGCAGGTGGAGAGCCTTGATGACATTTTGAGGTGGATTGCAATAATGCCCAGGTAATTTCCCAGCCCCATATCCTGGCCCTTTACCATGTAGCTTTGAACGTTCTCCCATTCTGGCTCTGGTTTGTCCATGTAGCTTGCTTTGAGCCAACAGACATTGGTAAGCCTGATATAAGCAGAGGATTGAAAGACACTGGAAAGATTGGGCCTTAGGTACTCTTGCCCTCTGCCATCACCATAAGGACATGCCCAGGCTAGCCTGTTGATGGCAGAAAGAGGACCAGGAGACATGTAGAGGAGAGCTCATGCAAAGACATAGGAGTGAGCCAGCTGAGCTGCAAACACATGCCCAATTCCAGCAAAGCTCACCTTAGACCAGCTGGACCCCACTGACATTGAGAAATAAATGTTTATTGTTATATGTCCCTTCAGCTTTTGTGGCAGTTTGTTACACATTATTGTGTAGCAGGACGAGCCGCAGACAAAACCTCTCAGACACCGAGTTATAGAAGGAAGGGCTTTATTCAGCTGGGAGCATCGGCAATCTACCGCCTTAAAATCCGAGCTCCCCGAATGCACAATTTCTGTCCTTTTAAAGGGCTCACAACACTACAGATTTCACATGAAAGGGTCGTGATTGATTTGAGCAAGCAGGCGGTACGTGACAGAGGCTGCATGCACCAGTGGTCAGAGAGAAACAAAACAGGGCAGGGAGTTTCACAATGTTCTTCTATACAATGTCTGGAATCTATGAATAACATCGCTTTCTAAGTTATGAGTTGATTTTTAACTACTGGGTTTTGGCCAGGCAGGCCCAGTCCTGGTTTCGGGCCTGGTGCTGGGTTGCCTGTCTTTGCTTTTACTTCCTTGTTGTTTTTTCTTAAAACAGGTACTGAGTATAAAAAAATATAAAACAATATGAGAGGGTCTCTCTCTTCCCTCAATCGTAGCAGTAGATAGCCGATATACCAATCCCTCTTATTTCATGTAAATAGGAGTATGTAATAGACTAGAAAAATGTTTAGAAAATAGAAAGGAATTATATTACCAGTGTCTCTGAATAAGTTTTCAGAAACCAACTGTTTTCTGGTTGAAACTCTCATTCTCTGCTCCCCCTGGTGGTGCTACATAGGCCATCTTGGTAACAGGTACATTTGAGCTCACTTTTCAAAACCTTCTCTTTGTCAGAAGTGGCAAATGGAACTGAAAGAATATTTGTTATCTCATATGGTCTTCATAACAATCCTTTGTGACAGGTAGTATTAGCTCCATTATATAAATAGGGAAACAGAGTTTGAAAGAGGTCAAGCCAGATTTTTTTGAACTTATACCATCAGTAACTGAGTGCCTCTCACAGACTCTACATCACTTTAAAGACCACATAAATATTTAGAAAATGAAAAGACAGGTCTCAAACCAACTTTGAAAAGCTAGTTATATTTTGTAATCAAGATTACATAGTAGGTGGTTTTTCTCTGAGATGTTTATTTTCTTTCTTTTTATAGAGATGGGGGTCTCACTGTATTGCCCCGGCTGCAGTGCAGTGGCTATCCCTGGTGGGATCATAGTGCATTACAGCCTCAAAACCCTGGCTCAAGTGATCTTCCTGCCTCAGTCTCTCAGGTAGCTGAATATAGGCTTGTATCACCCCTCCCAGCTGAGATTTATTTTCTTCTTGCTATCTCTGAGCCTTTACTAAAATCTGTATATATTCCAACCTGGTCTAAGCTAGACTTCTAGGGAATTCAGAAGGGAGAGAGGTAAATGAGGTGGGAGCAAGATGTTTGTAAATGTTCTCCCAGAGGCAGCTGTGTCTCCAGAGACAAAATCTGAAGCTTTGACCTGGAACCATCTTTCAAGAGATAACTAGAGTCATGTGTCACTTAACGACAGGGATACATTCTGAGAAATGCATCATTAAGCGATTTCATCATTGTACGAACATCATAGATTGTAATTACACAAACCTGGGTGGTATAGCCTACTACACACCTAGGCTATATGGTATAGCCTGTTGCTTCTAGGCTACAAACCTATAAAGCATGTTACTGTACTGAATCCTGCAGGCAATTGTAATATAAATCACTAGGTGACAGAAATTTTTCAGCTGCATGATAAGTTTATGGGACCACCATCATATATGCCATCCATCATTGCCTGAAACATGGACTGCTGCGTGGCACATATTCTCCTTGCCTCGTCAGCCTAATTCCCTTAGATACTTCACAGTCTGTATGTACCTTAGCTAAAGGGGCTGAAAAGCACCCTCAATACTGTGACTTTCAGTTGGATTCCTTTGCTCTACTATCCCTGCTGCATGGCTCCCCTAGAGGCTAGAGAGTAACATTACTAGCTAGCATTTAGTGAACAATTACACTATTCCAGGCTTGTAGCTAACTTCTTACATCATTGGATCCCCTTTCCCACAACAAACACATGATATAAGGGCTTATCTTATCCCCATGTTATGTATGGGAATAACGAGGCACAGAGAAGATAAGAAACATGCTCAAGATTGCATGACTAGGCCGGGCGCAGTGGCTCGCACCTGTAATCTCAGCATTTTGGGAGGCCGAGATGGGCAGATCACTTGGGATCAGCCTGGCCAACGTGGTGAAACCCCATCTCTACTAAAAATACAAAAAGAAGCCAGACGTGGTGCCCGATGCCTGTAATCCCAGCTACTAGGGAGGCTGAGTCAGGAGAATCGCTTGAACCCGGGAAGCAGAGGTTGCAGTGAGCCAAGATCACGCCACTGCACTCCAGCCTGGGCAACACAGTGAGACTCTGTCTAAAAAGAAAAAAAAAGAAAAAGAAAGATTGCATGACTTAGCCAGGAGCAGTGGCTCGTGCCTGTAATACCAGCACTTTGGGAGGCTGAGGCGGGATGGTTGCTTGAGCTCAGCAGTTAGAGACCTTGACACTAGCCTGGGCAACATGACACAACCCTGTCTCTACAGAAAAATTTTTAAAATTTAGCTGGGCATGGTGGCACTCTCCTGTGGTCAGCTACTTGGGAGACTGAGGCAGGAGGATTGCTTGAGTCCAGGAGGTCAAGGCTGCAGTGAGCTGAGATTGCGCCACTGCGCTCCAGCCTGGGCAGTAGAGCAAGACCCTGTCTCAAAAGGAAAAAAAAAAAAAAGATTGCATGACTAGAAAGTAGCAGAGCCAGGCTTTGAACTCTAGAGCCTGTGCTCTTGGCCACAAGGCTTTCCTGTCGCTTTGAAGTAAACCCCCCACCTCCAGCAATATCTAATGGAGGCAATGCCACCACGGAGCTAAAGTGGTAGAAGAGACCTGTAATCTTTGGTATCCTCCCACTCCTCTTGACTCTGACTTTCCTGTCTTCCTACAGACATGCAGAGACAACACTTCATGCATGACCCAGATGAAATTGACAGTAGCAAATGTAAACAAAGCTTCATTCTGGCTACAGTGACTTGGCTTGAGTGATCTGGATAGAAATGGTAATTCACTTTTTCTGTGTTAGTGGTTGTGTTTAAAGGAAACGTGGTAGATTGACTGAGGGAGTCATGAGTTTAAAAAAACTTTCTGAAAAAAATAATGGTGGAGGAGACAGAAGTGGCTTTGGATTGAAACCTGTCTTTTCATTTTCTAAATATTTATTTGGTCTTTAAAGTGATGTAGAGTCTGTGAGAGGCACTTAGTTACTGACGGTATAAGTTCAAAAAAATCTGGCTTGACTTCTTTCAAACTCTATTTCCCTATTTATATAATGGAGCTAATACTACCTATCACAAAGGATTGTTATGAAGAGCATATGAGATAACAAATATTCTTTCTACTCTATTTGCCACTTCTGATAAAGAGAAGGTTTTGAAAAGTGAGCTCAAATGTACCTGTTACCAAGATGGCCTATGTAGCACCACCAGGGGGAGCAGAGAATAAGAGTTTCAACCAGAAAACAGTTGGCTTCTGAAAACTTATTCAGAGACACTGATAATATAATTCCTTTCTATTTTCTAAACACTTTTTCTAGTCTATTACATACTCCTATTTGCATGAAGTAAGAGGATTTGGTATCCTTTTTTTTTTTTTCCTCTGGAGACAGAGTCACTCTGTCACCCAGGCTGGAGTGCAGTGGCTCCATCTTGGCTCATTGCAACCTCCACCTCCCAGATTCAAGCGATTCTCTTGCCTCAGCCTTCTGAGTAGCTGGGATTACAGGCACACACCACCAGGCTTGGCTAAATTTTTTGTATTTTCAGTAGAGACGGGGTTTTGCCATGATGGCCAGTCTGGTCTTCAATCCCTGAGCTCAGGTGATCCGCCTGCCTTGGCCTCCCAAAGTGCTGGGATTACAGGCATGAGCCACTGCACCCAGCCTAAGAAACTCAGTATTCTTTAATATCATTCTATGACTGTGATACTATACAAGGACCCCAGGTGTCTTATTAGGATAAAACCCCATTAATTCAGAATCTAGGACTTGAGAATTGTATTTGTGTTGTTTTGAAATTTAATCTAAATTCTGCATATGCAAAAGGAATTCAGCAGGATCTTCACTTGATTATCAATCAAATGATGCAGAACGTGGATCCCATTTAAGTGTATGCAAACAACCATAAAGTTCACATTTATGATTTGAGTGAACAAAGGTAAACAAGTTGACGTAAGGAATTTACTTTTAATGAGTAATTTTTAGGGTATATAATAAAATTAGTATAGTTTTGCCCCCATCTTCTTGATACTTTTAAGATATATTACTCTATAGCAAAACCGATACTCAGAATCAGTCTTAAACAGCAAAAGGATTTGGAATCATGCTTAGCACCAAAGAAAAATTAAGTTATGTTTAATGTATTTTAGTGTTAAATACATATCACTTTATTTAACGCGCTGAAAACTGGTAATTTCACAGCTGATACATAACTGTTAATTAAGAAAAGCCAGGCCAGGTGCTGTGGCTCATGCTTGTAATCCTAGCACTTTGGGAGGCTGACGAGAAAGCCAGGGGGAGGATTATTTGAGGCTAGTTCAAGACCGGCCTGGGCAACATGGCAAGAATCTACAAAAAAATAAAAATAAAAATAAATTAGCCAGGCATAGTGATGAGTGACTGTAGTCCCAGCTACTTGGGAGGCTAAGGCAGGAGGATCACTTGAGCCCAAGAGGTTGTGGCTGCAGTGAGCTATGATTGCACCACTGAACTTCAGCCTGGGTGATGAAGTGAGAGTCTATCTCTAAAAAAAAAACCTTAAAAAAGTATCGGAAGGGAAAAAAAAAGGCCAGAAACTATTTCTTAATTATTTGGACTAAATGGCAGTTTGTTACGCTTAAAAATAATCAAATAGCATTTCTTTTAAAATATATCAAAATTGGAACTTCTTCCTAAATCAGGCTAGTGTTCCTCCACAGCTGAAATTACTGAGTTTTATTACGTTGTTCCCAGGTGCTGTTATCTGATGTGACTTTATTAATGAACCTTGCAGCTATGCCTTTCTTAAGACACTAGATAATTTAACCTTGGCATTTAAGGATGGTTAGTTTGTTTCTCTAGACGTTCACTTTTTTAAACTCATTTTTACTCGGATTATCATCATCTTTAAGCTCACCTAAGACTCAGGCCTATACTGGTAATAAATATTACACTCTGAACTATACACTTTTCACTTAAAAAGAAACATTCATACATCTTAGTTCTCCTTTCCGAACAATTTTTGTTTCCCTGGATGCCTGTCAAATTTCAGCACAGAATACTTAAATTTTTTATCCATGATCACTGATATAAATTTCACCCTAGGAGACACTGAATTACAAATAGCTAATTAGATTCCTCTTAGTCGGAGCTTTGTCTATTTAGCAACTAATAAAAGGCAAGTGGATCGTTTGAGGAAACAGTTCTCTGTTTGCAAGCATACAATAATCATTATTAAAGCTAGAGTGGTTTTCCTAAGTGAATTAACACAGGAACAGAAAATCAAATACCACATGTTCTCACTTATGAGTGGGAGCTAAACACTGGGTACTGCATTAGTCTGTTTTCATGCTGTTGATAAAGACACACTGGAGACTGGGAAGAAAAAGAGGTTTAATTGGACTTATAGCTCCATATGGCTGGAGAGGCCTCAGAATGATGATGGGTGGTGAAAGGCACTACTTAACATGGCAGCAGCAAGAGAAAATGAGGAAAAAGCAAAAGCGGAAACCCCTGATAAATGCATCAGATCTCATGAGACTTATTCACTATCATGAGAATAGTATGGGAAAGACGGGCTCCCAGGATTCAATTACCTCCCCTGGCTCCCTCCCACAACATGTGGGAATTCTGGGAGATACAATTCAAGTTGAGATTTGATGGGGGCACAGCAAAACCATGTCATTCCATCCCTGGCCCCTCCAAATTCGTGTCCTCACATTTCAAAACCAACTATGCCTTCCCAATTGTCCCCCAAAGTCATAACTCATTTCAGCATTAACCCAAAAGTCCACAGTCCAAAGTCTCATCTGAGACAAGGCAAGTCCCTTCCACCTATGAGCCTATAAAATCAAAAGCAAGTTAGTTACTTCCTAGATACAATGAGGGTACAGGTATTAGGTAATACAGCCATTCCAAATGGGAGAAATTGGCCAAAACAAAGGGGTTACAGCGCCCATGCAAGTCCAAAATCCAGCAGGGCAACTTTAAAGCTCCCAAATGATCTTCTTTTATTCCATGTCTCTCATCCAGGTTATGCTGATAAAAGAGGTGGGTTCCCATGGTCTTGGGCAGCTCCAACCCTGTGACTTTGCAGGGTACAGTCTCCCTCCCAGCTGCTTTCATGGGCTGGTATTGAGTGTCTGCAACTTTTCCAGGTGCACGGTTCAAGCTGTTGGTGGATCTACCATTCTGGAATCTGGAGGATGGTGGCCCTCTTCTCACAGCTCCACTAGGCAATGCCCCACTAGGGACTCTGTGTGGAGGCTCAGACCCCACATTTTGCTTCCACACTGCCCTACCAGAGGTTCTCCATGAGGGCCCCGTCCCTGCAGCAAACTTTCACCTGGCCATCCAGGCATTTCCATACATCTTCTGAAATCTAGGTGGAGGTTCCCAAACCTCAATTCTGACTTCTGTGTACCCGCAGGCTCAACACCATGTGGAAGCTGTCAAAGCTTGGGGCTTCCACCTTCTGAAGCCACAGCCCAAGCTGGATGTTGGCCCTTTGAGCCATGGTTGGAGCAGCTGGGACACAGGGCACCAAGTCCCTAAGCTGCACACAGCACAGTGACCCTGGTCCCAGCCCATGAAACCACTTTTTTCTCCTGGGCCTCCAAGCCCGTGATGGGAGGGGCTGCTGTAAAGGTCTCTGATGTGGCCTGGAGACATTTTCCCCATGGTCTAGGGAATTAACATTAGGCTCCTTGCTACTTGTGCAAACTTCTGCAGCTGGCTTGAATTTCTCCCCCCCAGAATGGGTTTTTCTTTTCTATTGCATAGTCAGGCCACAAATTTTCTGAACTTTTATGTTCTGTTTCCCTTTTAAAACTGAATGCCTTTAATAGTACCCAAATCACCACTTGAATGCTTTGCTGCGTAGAAATTTCTTCTACCAGACACCCTAAATCATCTTTCGAGTTCAAAGTTCCACAGATCTCTAGGGCAGGGGCAAAATGCTGCCAGTCTCTTTGCTAAAACATAACAAGAGTCACCTTTCCTCCAGTTCCTAACAAGTTCCTCATCTCCATCTGAGACCACCCCAGCCTAGATTTTATTGTCCATATTGCTATCAGCATTTTGGGCAAAGCCATTCAACAAGTCTCCAGGAAGTTCCAAATTTCCCACATTTTCCTGTCTTCTTCTGAGCCCTTCAAACTGTTCCAATTTCTGCCTATTACCCAGTTCCAAAGTTGCTTCCACATTTTCGGGTATCTTTTAAGCAATGCCCCACTCTACTGGTACCAATTTACTGTATTAATCCATTTTCATGCTAATGATAAAGACATACCCAAGACTAGGAAGAAAAAGAGGTTTAATTGGACTTACAGTTCCACATGGCTGGTAAGGCCTCAGAATCATGGTGGGAGGCAAAAGGCTCTTCTTACTTAGTGGTGGCAAGAGAAAATGAGGAAGAAGCAAAAGCGGAAACCTCTGATAAACGCATCAGATCTCGTGAGACTTATTCACTATCACGAGACTAGTGTGGGAAAGACTGGCCTCCATGATTCAATTACCTCCCCCTGGGTCCCTCCCACAACACCTGGGAATTCTGGGAGACACAATTCAAGTTGCGATTTGGTGGGGATGCAGCCAAATCATATCAGGTACTCATGGACATAAAGATGGCAATAATAGACACTGGGGACCACACTAGAGTGTGGAGGAAGGTAGGAAGGCAAGGGTTGAAAAGCAAATTATTGGTAACTATGCTTAGCACCTGGGTGACAGGATCAATCATACCCCAAACCTCAATACCATGCAATATATCCAGGTAACAAACCTGCACATGTGCCCCCGAATCTAAAATAAAAGTTGAAATTATAAAACAAAAACTAAAGTGGCTTGAATATCATGCAAACAATCAGATTAAAAACATGTAAAATAGACATAATAAGTCCACTGTAGCCACTGATGGTTGGCTTTTAAATCATTCATTCACATGCTAAAGCATAATGAAAGTTGAGCTTACATTCCAAGTTTGGTTTGTTGTAGCCTTGTATCTCATTTCACAGGAAACCTTTTCAATTGTTGTTTGACTATCCCAATAAATTATGGTCTTGGGCACTGTAGCATTTATAGTCTCAGCCCTGGAAATGACGGCTGCAGAAGGTATCACTAGAAAAAAAAAAAAAAAAAAAAAGACCTGGCTGTTTAAAACTTGCCTAGGGAGAAACTGGCATCTTTTCGTCAATATCTAGATATGAGAAAGCTCAAAGTAAAAAAAAATAAAATTCATGGTCTAATGAACAATTATGGACATTTTCTTATTTGCTAATTTGTTACATAGAAGAAAACTGCTGTTAAGGAAAATTCTATTCAGCCCATTCCCCATTAAAAAAAAAAAAACTGAACTCTAATAGTCCTGTCTTTCCCCCACCTTTCACTCCCTTACAATCCTAACTAATAAAATTCCAGAGCCTAGCCTTGTTAACAAAAGAGTATAAAAATGAGATAAAGGAGCTATCCCCTCTTCCCTCCATCTGTTCGAGGAGAGATGATATGCACCCAAATTTAGTTCAGATGATCAGATTTGAAAAGATGTTAAATTGAGCCAGGTGTGGTGATGTGTGCCTGAAATTCCAACTACTCAGGAGGCTGAGATGGGAGGGTCACTTGAGCCCAGGAGTTCAAGGTTGCAGTGAGCCATGATGGTGCAACTGTACTCCACCCTGGACGACAGAATGAGAGCTTGTCTCAAAAAAAAGAAAGAAAGGCTGGGCATGGTGGCTCATGTCTGTATTCCCAGCATTTGGGAGGCCGAGGTGGGCAGATCACTTAAGGTCAGGAGTTTGAGACCAGCCTGGTCGTCGTGGCAAAACCCTGTCTCTACTAAAAACAGAAAAAATTAGCCCGGCGTGGTGGTGGTGCGTGCCAATCCCAGCTACTCAGGAGGCTGAGGCAGGAGGATCGCTTGAACCCGGGAGGCAGAGGTTACAGTGAGCTGAGATCATGCCACTGCACTCCAGCCTGGGTGGCGGAGCGAGACTCTGTCAAAAAAGAAAGAAAGGAAGGGAAAGGAGGAAGGAAAAGAGAAAGAAAGGAAGAGACAGAAAGAGCAAGAAAGAAAGAAAGAAAAAAAAAGAGAAAGAAAGAAAGAAAAAGAAAGAAAGAAAGAAAGAAAGAAAGAAAGAAAGAAAGAAAGAAAGAAAGATGGATGTTCAATTCAGATCTTTTATCACAATAATCTTCTCCTTCTCTTGTGTATTAGGGAAACATATGAATATTTATATCTATTGCTAACTTGTTTTGTTCTCCTTTAAAATAAATCTGTCCTTCCTTGAAATTTTATTTGAAGAAAGCAGATCTCATAAGACTCTAAGGCTTTGTAAATTGTTGGCATGTTCTATAATAATAACCTTCACAGAAGGAACTGAAATTCTGATTGGTTATTTTATTAGTTGTTTTGTTATAGTAGGAGGTATATAGTTGGAATCGCTATGTTTCTAAACTGTGTAAATACTTGTAAGTTTGTTTTGTCTGAACAGAATAGAATCATTAACACTTTCCATTTCTCCCCTAAGGAACAATGAAAACCTATGACTTTGATAGCTGTACTATTTAACAAAGAACTCAAGGGCCTGTAGGCGTGGTTTTAGAGACCACTATTACAGGTTAATATTCTCTATGAATTAGTTTATTTTCATTTATTCTAGGTTTATAAAACTTTCTTTAAGAAAATTATTGTTTTACTACAATGACTATTATACTATTATTATCTAAAATTATGTGCAAAGGTAGATGATTTACAGAGAAAAACAAAAATTAAGGATTTGCTGTCTAGTAACACAGTCCTCTAATAAAATTTTGGGGGCTACACCTGGCGTAGAAGTAGCAGTAGCTTTAATTTAGTTAACAAGTTTACTGTACTCAACCTTTATCATCTGAATTCCATAGCTGATTTCCTTTTGCTAGTGCAAGCTTCTTGTAATAAGAATCAGTATTCAGGCTGGACGCAGTGGCTCACACCTGTAATCCCAACACTTTGGGGAGGCCTAGGTGGGCAGATCATTTGAGGTCAGGAGTTCAAGACCAGCCTGGCCAACATAGCGAAACACCTGTCTCTACTAAAAATACAAAACTTAGCCAGGTGTTGTGGCAGACGCCTGTAATCCCAGCTACTTGGGAGGCTGAAGCACAAGAATCACTTGAATCCAAGAAGTAGAGGTTGCAGCGAGCTGAGATCATGCCACTGCACTCCAGCCTGGGTAACAGAGCAAGACTCTGCCCAACCCCAACCCTGGAAAAAAAAAAAAAATCAGTATTGAGATTCTAGAGTCAAGGGCATGGATCCCTGGGGCTCTGAAATTGCTTAGGACCATTTTAAGCACCCTCAAGGCCATAAATTTCTCACCTCCTCCTGTCACCCACCTCCACCTCTGAGTTCGGCTTGGCCACTGTTATAGCAGCACAAGCATTCTAGGACCCTTTTGGCAAAAGAATTATTCTGAGGAGAAAGTAAAAATCTGTTTAGTCTTATGAGAAATGCAGATAGCACAGTAAGAATCACAGCATAAAGCAGGTCAGTGCAATCCAGATTTAAGTCTTTAAGTTTGAATGAGTTCATATTTTTGCAAACTGGCATTTATTATGTAATACATACTTGAATATTTAGTTTGTTACACAAGACTCAGATGTTGAATTTTTATTCTTACTGATTAGGTTTCACATATTTCCACCAGATCTTACATTTTAAAAAAGTATCGGGAGGTCGAGGCGGGCCGATCATGAGGTCAGGAGATCGAGACCATCCTGGCTAACATGGTGAAACCCCATCTCTACTAAAAATACAAAAAATTAGCGGGGCGAGGTGGCTGGCGCCTGTAGTCCCAGCTACTCGGGAGGCTGAGGCAGGAGAATGGCGTGAACCCGGAAGGCGGAGCTTGCAGTGAGCCGAGATCGCGCCACTGCACTCCAGCCTGGGCGACAGAGCGAGACTCCGTCTCAAAAAAAGAAAAAAAAAGTATCAATTTTATTATAGATGTCATATTTTTAAATTCTACTCGTATTGAAATAAAAGCGAGATTATAGCCTTTTAGCATCTTTCCAACACATATTTATCCATATTTATATAATGGGGAGAAGTAATATTCAAAATGGCAGGCAGAAAGCACAGCAATTTCTGTACCCGAATTTATTTCCCTACAAGAGAAGTTAAAAGCATTCCTCTCATATGCTTTTTTGGCAAGTGTTAATGTGCTACTAACTCTGCGCTGCCATTCAGCATAACCTCCCTAATGTCATTAAAGCCCAGCCCGTAGCTGCTATGTGGAAATTGTTCCCAGGACAGTCTTCTGTTCTCAGTGGCATAGAACAGTTCATTTATCTAATTTGCGTTGTCTCATTCTTAAAGTGTTACCCATGAAGACGGCTCATCTGTTAATAATCTGGTGGTTTTGTTGGCTGGGGCCTCCTATACAATTAATCCATATTTTTCAACCTGAGTTTCTGAGTACATTCTGGGATAATGAAAAGGCAAGGAAAGGAATAGAGACAAAAGGGGAGGAAGAGGTGGAGGAGGAGGAGGTGGAGGAAGAGGAGGAGGGAAAGAGAAAGAAGGAGAAGAAGGAAAAGGAACCACAACTCCAAACTCCTAGTTCCCAGTGTGAGAAGTCAGTCTGGAAGTAGAGGCCAGATGGGATTTTTTCCTTTGTGGGAGGTGGGATGGTGGTAAACTATAGCAAGTCAGCATGTCTGGGATGAAATCTGGCTTTCCTCATTACTAGCTAAGTGACTTTGCGCAAATCATTTTATCACTTTCTTCATCTGTAAAATGGGGACAGTAGTATCATGTATGGTTGTTTCCAGAATGAAACGTGATGTGCATGAGAGGTGTCTGGAACACAGAAGGTGCTAAATAAATTGATGCAATGATATTAAGATCAGAATGGTAATAATAATACAAGTATTATTATTATTATTTAGTTCCTAAAAATTGCACTGCTAAAATGATACTGGTCATGATAGCTCTTAAACATCATTAATTTATCTATCGTAAGAAAAGGGTATATTACTGCATTCTACCTCAAAATGTAAATTCACAAAAATGTATAGAGCATAGTCAAGAGAACTGTAACTCCAAGGATATACAATAAAATGGAATAATTGTCCATCATCATATTCAACAGAGTGTGTTTTCAAATCTAATATTCAGGCCGGTCATGGTGGCTCACGCCTGAAATACCAGCATTTTGTGAGGCCAAGGCAGGAGGATCGCTTGAGCCACAGAGTTCGAGACAAGTTTGGGCAACAAAATGAGACTCTGTCTCTAAAAGAGATTTAAAAAAATTAGCCAGGCACTGTGGCCTGTGGCCTGTCGTCCCAGCTACTCGAGAGGCTAAGGCAGGAGGATCCCCTGAATTAAATGTTCCCTACCTCTGTGATCTCAAATTTTTTAATGCCATCAAACCTCAGTTTTCTAATATATAAATTATAATCTCATCTACAAAATAGGGTTGATATGAGGGTTAAATAACGTATGTGAAAAGCTGTTAGCTGGCAGTGGCTCACGCCTGTAATCCTAACACTTTGGGAGGCTGAGGTGGGAGGATTGCCTGAACTCAGGAGTTTGAGACCAGCCTGGCCAACATAGCAAAATCCCATCTCTACTAAAAATACAAAAATCTATATAGCCATGAACAACTTTGTGGCAATATAGATCAGCTGGGCATGGTGGCACACACCTGTAGTCCCAGTTACTAGGGAGGCTGAGGCATGAGAATTGCTTGAAGCCAGGAGGCAGAGGATGCAGTGAGCCGAGATTGTGCAACTGCACTCCAGCCTGGGCCACAGAGTGAGACTCTGCCTCAAAAAAAGAAAAAGTAGTTAGCACATAAGAAAGTGCTCAATAAATGTTAGCTTATTGAAATATCTTTAATTATAACAACAGGAATCATTGGTACTGGGATCTGCAAAGACAGGATGATTCAGACTTGGTGTCATTTGGCTGAATTGTGGTTTTAGGACTTGGATGTAGTTGTAAAAGGCTCAAGGGTAATTACTTTTTGGAATTTATCTTAAGGAAACAATCAAAAACTATGCTAAAATTCAGCCACAAAGTTGTTCATGGCAATATAGTTTATATGGTTAAAAACTGAAAACAGTGTTAATCTCCAACAATAGGGATTAAACTGCTATATATTCAGACAACATTAAAAATAAAACTATAGATTAAATTAATAGAAATGTTTATTACTAATATATAAGTATAAAAAGGCAGGGTATAAAATATCTGAAACAAAAACTATTAATGTTTGTTAAATCTGGCTGATGAACATAGAGAGGTCTACATAATTCTCTGCAATTTTCTATGTATTTTGTAAAACTTTTCAAAATAAAAACAAACAAACAAAAAAACCTTACATAAGTCCCCAAGTAGTGTATAGAGTATAAGAATTTAGCATGCTGTACTTTTCACAACGTAAGACTCAACAAACTTTATCATGATCATAGTGTTTTTTTGTTTTTTTTTTTTTTGCCTTCCCTAGTAGATTGTAAGTTATTTCAGGGCAGGCACCTTGTCTATCTTATTCACTCTAGCCTTTAGAACAATGCTTGAAAATAAGAAGTTTCCAATAAATATTTGTAAAAACACATATATGGATTTTTTTTTTTTTTTTTAGACAAGAGTTTTGCTGTGTCACCCAGGCTGGAGTGCAGTGGCACAATCTTGGCTCACTGCAACCTCTGCCTCCCAGATTCAAGCAATTCTCCTGCCTCAGCCTCCTGAGTAGCTGGGACTACAGGTGCCCGCCACCATGCCTGGCTAATTTTTTTTTTGTACTTTTAGTAGAGACAGGGTTTCACCATGTTAACCAGGCTGGTCTCGAAATCCTGACCTCAAGTGATCGCCCACCTCGACCTCCCAAAATGCTGGGATTACAGGCGTGAGCCACCGGCCCAGCCACATACAACAATTTAGAAATAAGACTGGAAGGATATACAACAAAATGGCAGCAGCACTACTCATCTCTAAGTTGTCTTGGGCAGGTAGAATTATGGGTAATTTCTGTTTCTTTTATCATGCTCTGCAGGAACTTTAGGGGAACTTCTTTCAGATCTAGACCTCATTTGACAAGGTCAGCACAAACTGGTTATTATTAAAGACTTACAGAATTTCTTATTCTTTACCTATATCATCCAGGTGAATTTGCAGTTGTTTTGACTCTTCCATGCCTAGTGCGTTTGCTGCTTGGACCCAAACCAAGTACTTCTTGCCACCTTGTAATGAATCAGTGGAGATGTTAATATAGCTTGAGGTGAGATACTGTTGCTCTTCTTCTGTCTCTAAACTTAAAACAAAAAAAAAAGATGATCATAAATTGTATTTAGTTTGAATTAATTGGCCAGGCATGGTGGCTCACACCTGTAATCCTAGCATTTTGGGAGACCAAGCGGGTTGGATCACCTGAGGTCAGGAGTTCGAGACCAGCCTGGCCAACATGGTGAAACCCTGTCTCTATTAAAAAAATACAATAATTGGTGGCATGTGCCTGTAATCCCAGTTACTTGGGAGGCTGCGAAAGGAGAATTGCTGGAACCCGGGAGGCAGAGCCTGCAGTGAGCCAAGGTCACGCCATTCACTCCAGCCTGGGCAACAGAGTGAGACTCTGTCTCAAAAAAAAAAAAAAGAAAAAAAGTTTGAATTAATTATTCCAGATTTTTAAAATGTTACCTTTTTAAAAAAAATTAGAATTTATGGCTCACGCTTGTAATCCCAGCACTTTGGGAGGCCGAGGCGGGCGGATCACAAGGTCAGGAGATCGAGACTATCCTGGCTAACATGGTGAAACCCTGTCTCTACCAAAAATACAAAAAGAAATTAGCCGGGCGTGGTGGCAGGTGCCTGTAGTCCCAGCTACTGGGGAGGCTGAGGCAGGAGAATGGCGTGAACCCAGGAGGAGGAGCTTGCAGTGAGCCGAGATCACACCACTGCACTCCAGCAGGGGCGACAGAGCGAGACTCCGTCTCAAAAACAAAAACAAAAACAAAAAATTAAAATTTAATTTTCTAAACAGTAGAGACAGGGTCTTGCTGTGTTGCTCAGGCTGGTCTCAAACTCCTGGACTCAAGCAATCCGTGCATTTCAGCCTTCTAAAGTGCTAGGATTACAGGCATGAGCCACTGTGCCTGGACAAAAACGCTAACTTTTTAAGCCTGCTTTCAAATATGCAACCTTTTACTGAAAAATATTTCAAAATTGATTTTATTTTCACAATTTTAAAAAATAAATTCAAATCTGACAAGGGCCACAGTATGATTTCAATGGGCCCTGAACACTTCTGCCTTCATGGACCCTTTCCTCCATTAAAAAAACAATGAGCGTATATATTATATAAATATATAAAATACACAAAAATATACACACATATACATAGATGTATACATATGCATGCCATATACATGCATATACATGAACATAACAGTTATTTTTCTCTTCTGATTTTAAGTAAAATTAAACATTTTCATGGACTCCTAAAATTATTGTGGGCCCTAGCCACTGTGCCTACTGTGCCTGTTAGGGAAGTCGGCACTGGACATAGCTTGGAATAGCCAGAATAGCTGCCTTTGGAAAAGAGCACTGCATTTTGGTTCAGTGCAAGGACTGTGAAGTCAGACATTTCTATCAGGACATAGGGTGAGGATGGAGTGGTGGGGAGGAGTCAGGATGGGGTGAGAGATCGCAATGGGGTAGGGGGAAGGCCAACCTCCTGGACAGAGACAACCAGCATGTTCTGAAACAAATACGTGAAATAACATGACATTTCTGAGAAGGTTCAACAAGTGCAATAGCCTGGATCCTGAAAATGCAAGAAGAAACTTGTAGTGGAGCAGGCCTGTCAGAAGACCTTCCATGAGCTACTGATGGATCAGGACTGTATCATGTAAGTGATAGAAAGTGAGTGCATATAGTGAGATTCACACTATTTTGAGGGTCTCTGGGACTGTCTAGCACCTTTACGGAGGATTTGTGGGAAATGAAAGTGGTGGTAGTGGAAAAATCAAAAGGCTATACAATAATCCAGAATTGGATTATTAGTCTGAAATAGGTGGAAGCCAATGGGGGTGGATATGAAGGATTTTGAGACAGGGTCTGGCTCTGTCACCCAGGCTGGCGTGCAGTGGGGCCATCTTGGCTCACTGCAACCTTGACCTCCTGGGCTCGAGTGATCCTCCCACCCCAGCCTCCTGAGTAGCCGGGACCACAGGCACGTACTACCATGCCCAATTAATTTTTGTATTTTGTGTAGACATGGGGTTTTCCCATGATACCCAGGCTAGTCTCCAACTCTTGAACTCAAGCACTCTGCCCGTCTTGGCCTCCCAAAGTGCTGGGATTATAGGCATGAGCCACCTCGCCCAACCCATGAAGGATTTTGAGTGTAGAACTGACTGGACCTAATGACAGGTTTGATGAGGGGAAAGGGAGTCATGCACTGTGGAAGAGGATGGAAAAGATAAAGAGGAAAGATCTAGTTTAGAACAGGGGAATAGAGAGGGCTATTAAGTATCATTTCAAAGCATATTTATCTAAGTATTTATAATTGAATGAGAATATCCAAGTAGCCCAATAAACTTGGTAGAATTCCGAATGATATCTGTTAATGCCAGAGTTTCAAATTGTTTTCACTGGCTTTGGACAGAATGTTTGAGCCTCTGTTTTTAAATCTCTACCCCTAAATAATCACATGATGTTTTTAGTGGACGAGGGTTGGAGGCGGTGGCGAAAGGAGTGCTGGAGAATGCTTCTTTGCTCCTCTGATTTCTGTGAAGAGATTTGATATTGTTTCCACCCTCATCCTCTCCAAATCTCATGTTGCAAAGTCATCACCAGTGTTGGAGGTGAGGACTTGTGGGGCAGACCCTTCATGAATGGCTTGCTGCCCTCCTGGCAGTAATGAGTGACTTCTCCCTCTGAGTTCAGGCAGATCTGGTCATTTTAAAGAGTGTGGCATATCCCCCCTCCCTCTATCTTGTTCACAATCTTCCTGGACAGCCTGCAGAACTGTGAGCTGAAATAAAACTCTTTTCTTCATAAATTACCGAGCCTCAGGTATTTCTTTTCTTTTCTTTTCTTTTCTTTTCTTTTTTAATGACAGGGTCTCACTCTGTCACCCAGGCTGGAGTGCAGTGGTATGGCCACAGCTCACTGCAGTCTTGACCTCCCAGGCTCAGGAGGTCCTCCCATCTCAGCCTCCTGAGTAGCTGGGACTACAGGCATGCACCACCACTCTCAGCTAATTTTTTGTAGAGACAGGGTTTTGCCACATTGCCCAGGCCAGCCTCGAGCTCTGAGCTCAAGTGATCCTCTTGCCTTGGCCTCCCAAAGTTCAGGGATTACAGGTGTGAGCCACCACACCTGGTCTAGATATTTCTTTATAGCAAGGCAAGAATGGACTAACACAGGAGTGTCCTCAAATCTCCTAGCCTCTTGTCCCACCCCTTGTTCACTCATTCTTCTGCAGAGATGAATAGGGCCCCCCTCAGACTCCAAAACACAACATAATCTGTAATCAGATTCATTTGTAACATGGAAGTATTTTCACTAGAATTTCCTCAGTTCCCATTTCTTGAGCCCCTTGAACTACCTACTCCATTATTTCATGTTCTTAAGCTTCTCAGATTTTCTACCTCCTTAGTAACTACATCCAACTTATTCCCATTTGGTCTTTAGTCCTTTTATTGTGATCTTTGCCTTTACTTTTCCTTGAAACTGCTCTTTTAAAATGGTGTCCTTTACAAGGTGAAGTCCTCTGAATCCTCATTTAAGCATTTATCCCTCTTGATTGGTTATAATTCTCACTTCCTTGCTACCCAAAGCCTGTCTTCTGGGTTAGAGGGCCTTCCTCTCTCACACCTACTTAGTGGCATGTCCCCCTCCAGCCTTCCACCTGGGTTTCTTTCCCTACTCTCTGAGTTCACTCACATTGAAGGTCAGCCCTGGTGTTTGCCTTTTCCCTGACCCCTTTTTCTGGGCTCACTCCCTTCTCAGCTTCACCTGCTATTTCACATGTGTGTCTCACGCATACCTGTGCCCTCACTGGGAGCTTCATTTGGATGTCTGACTGGAACCAGAACTATAGAAAACTGACAACTAAATTATCTTTCCATGCAAATCAGCACTTCTTGCCAGTGTCTTCATTGTTGTCAAAGGCATGCGGTCCACCTTTCTCAGTTTGCCATTTTTAACAATTTTCTCTTCGTCACCTTTAAGAGCCAACCAATTACTAAAGAAGGTTAAGCATTTTTTTAAGCATTAAAATATTATTTTCCTATGTTATCTTTTTTCCCTGTTTTGATAGCTATGGCAATGGTCTAGGTCTTTGTTACCTGTTTGGTTTATGACTTTCAGACTCCTAAGTTAATTGCATTACATCATGAAACTTAACTTGATATAGATATACTACTTTAGAAGGAAAGTAACCTTGAAATCTGAACAATGCTGGAAAGCCAAGTAGCCTACATTCTTATTTTCTTCTATTTTTTAGAGACAGGGTCTCACTCTGTCACCCAGGTTTGAGTGCAGTGGCACAAATCATAACTCACTGCAGCCTTGACTTTCTGGGCTCAAGTGATCCTCCCACCTCAGCCTCCTGAGTAGCTGGGATCGCAGGCATGTGCCACCAGGCCTAACTAATTTTTTTATTTAAAATAATTTTTTTTTAAGAGATGCAGCCTCGCTATGTTGCCCAGGCTGTTCTCAAATTCTTGGCCTCAAGGGATCCTCCCACGTGAGGATTACAAGCATGAGCCACCGTGCTCAGCCATATACATTCTTATTTGTATCAAATGGAAATACTTCACAAATTTGCATGCCGTCCTTGATCAGGGGTCATGCCATCTTCTTTGTCTTGTTCCAATTACACTGTTTGTGCTGTTGAGGCAGACTCTAACCTGATTTTTTAAATCTAATACCATCAACTGCCCTCTCTCTCAGGGGACTGCCTTGATTGGATTTGTGGAGAAGATAAAGCTTAAAAATCACTGTCCCTCCACCAAGGCTCCACCAAGTCCTGTTACTACTATATATCTTTTCAGCAACTCCTAAATTTTTCTAGCCCCAAAATATCCCACCAGGATTAAACTTGCTAGCCACTTACATCTTTTGGAATCCAAGAAACGTGCTTGCTGAGACGCAGAGAAAAGGAACCAGCCTTATGCTATTAATACCAAGCAATAAGCAGATGTGTGCATCTAAGTACTATAGAAATTCTATATTTTATATAATTTATATAAACTTATTGCTACTATCAGAACAAGACAACCTCAGCAAGTGGTCAAGGAATCTCTCTAAGGCTGATAGTCATTGGAGGGGTGAGGAGCAACTCCTCCTATTCAGCTCAGGTTTTTCGGTTCCAGTGCATTTTTTCTGTGTTACCTCTTTCCTCATACCAGCGTGAGATCACTATGAACACCATGAGAGGACGAGGAGGGTATGTCATGGTGACTAAAATCACAGGGCTTGGATTTTAGAGACAGACCTACCTTCAAATCCCAGCTCTGCCCCTTGATAAGTTGTAAGACTTGGAGCAAGTTACTTAAGCTCTATACAGCTCAGTTTACTCATCCTCAGTATAGGAATGATAACGTTGTTGTTATCATGAGTAAATTAAATAAGAAACAGAGTAGATGGCTTCTCACCTAATGAAGGACTCATTAAACAACAATTTTTCTGAATTAAGAGATACTGGCTGAGGCCAGGCATGGTGGCTCACACCTGTAATCCCAGCACTTTGGGAGGCTGAGGCAGGCAGATCACTTGAGGTCAGGAGTTTGAGACTAGCCTGGCCAACGTGGTGAAACCCTGTCTCTACTAAAAATACAAAAATTAGCCAGGTGTGGTGGCAGGCACCTGTCCTCCCAGCTACTCAGGAAGCTGAGGATTGCCTGAGCCCAGGAGATGGAGGCTGCAGTGAGCCAACATTGCACCACTGCACTCCAGCCTGGATGACAGAGTGAGACTATGTGTCCATTTAAATAAAAAAAGAAGATATTTATGATATGTGACTTTGACACATTCTAAAGAATACAAATGAAACTTTTAAAATTGCTATATTTCTTACCAGTAAAATTTCTCTTATATCACTGTATCTTAAGTTAAATTATGCCGTTAAATTGAGATGTTTACATAGTTACCTTATATTCTTTCTGAAATAAGATGAAACGTAAATACCTTAACAGAGAACTTGTTAAAGTATGTTAACCTCATGCTAAGTAAGAATTCAAATGTGAAAACAAGAAAATGGCAACTATGTGTAAATGGTAAGTAGGACATCTTTGAATATTTTCCAGTTAGAGAAAACCACATTATATGTTCTTCATTGGTTTGTGGCTAATTCTTTTACCACACATACTGAGACCACAAGTCAAAATGGAAATGTATTTTCAAACTGACAGTAACCATAGTTACTAAGTAATTTAATTCTGCTTTTAAAGTCTACCCCATATTAGCACCTAGACCACAAAGCACTGTTTTAATTGAAGAATCTGATAATAATGACTAATTACACCTTAGGGTTATTTTTATATAGAACTTGTGATATTGTGACATAATAAGAAATATATATTTGGTTTCTGTCTGGTTCCCAGCACACAGCTCCTAAAACCCTTGGAATCTCCAAAGTGCTAATGAGATGGCTGATGGCTGGGGGCTCCTGGATAGGCTTAGGGTAGGGGCTGGTTGCCAGGGGAACCAACAATGTGATGAGAAGATTGAAACTTTCAGTCCCCCCAACCCCCTTGCCCTTTACCCACCCCCATCTCCTGGGAAGAGAGAAGGGCTGAATGATCCCCAATGGCCAATGATATGATGAACCGTGCTTATGTAATGAAGCCTCCATAAGAACCCAAAAGGACTGGGTTCAGGGAGCTTCCAGATATCTGAACATATGAGGATGCCTGCAGGGTGGTGTTCCCGCATGCTTTGCCCCATGCATCTCTTCCATCTGGCTGTTCATCTGTAGCCTTTGTTATATTCTTTATAATAAATGGATAAATATAAGTAAAGTGTCTTCCTGAGTTCTATGAGACACTCTAGCAAGTTAATCAAACCTGAGGAGTGTATCGTGGAAACCACAATTTTTAGCCGGTTGGTCAAAAGCACAGGTCATGACCTGGGGCTTGTGATTGACATTTAAAACAGGGTTGAGTCTTGTGGGACTGAGCCTTTAGCTGTGGGATCTGATGCTACCTCCAGGTAGACAGAGTCAGAATTGAATTAAATTAGAGGACATCTAGCTGATGTCTGCAGGAGAATTGATTGGTGTGTGGGGAAAATCTTCCCACATTTCGTGTCAGGAGTGCTGTTGAGAGTAGAAAGGAGAACAACACTTTGGTTTTTCCTCTATCTTTTACATAACTGTATATTACAAAGTTTTTGAATATCTTATTTCTATTTCTTTTTTTCATGGGCTAATACATGACAGATGATTTGTGAAGGGAGTTAGTATAATTCATATTTTTCTGATGTTCCCTGAGCACCTAGATATAGTTGTAATTTATAGATTTTCAAAAAACATTGCAGATTTATGTTGATAATGGTAAATAGTGTCTTTCATTCATTTAATCACTCATTCAATAAATATTTATTTAACACTGACTATATTCCAAGTATATTTTTAGATATTGGGGCTACAATGAACAAAACAGATAAAGTCCCAACTGTCATGAAGCACACATTTTGGTGGAAACAAATAAATATAGAATCTGATCTATGTATGGTGAGAAATGTTCAGAAGAAAACTAAAGCGGAGTAAAAAGGTTAGGCAGTTCTGAGAGTAGGGGTGGGTTTTAAGGTTTTTGTTTTTTAGAGAGATGAGGAAAGTCTTATCTGAGAGGGTGACATTAGGGCAATAAGGAAACCCTGTGGCTCTCTGGAGGAAGAGCATTCTAGGTAACATGCAAAGGCCCTGAGGCAGGACCTTGCTTGGCCTGTTCAAAGAGCAGCAAGGAGGTCAGTGAGGTTTTACTAGGAAAGGGATTAAAGACAAAATCAGAGAGTTTTGGAAGAGGGGAAAGTTTAGAAGACTTGCAAGGTCACATAGAGTCCTTGAGGGACTCTGGCTTTGATCTCTGAATGAAATGGGAGGTTCATGAGCAGAAGGGTGACATGGCCTGAGGTGCATGTGAAAAGGATTACTGTGAAAACTCATGAATAAGGGACTCTGGAGGAAGCGAGTGGACCAGTTAGAAGTTCTTATACTCCCAAGTGAGAGATGATCTGGCTTGGATTGCAGTGTAGGTGGTGAGGTCATTTTAAAAGATAGAGCCGGAAGGTTTTGCTGATCAATTAGATGAAGGCCATAATAGAGAGGAATCCAGGAGAATCTACCTGATTTTGACCTGAATAATGCAAAGGATACAGTTGCCATTTACTGAAATGGAAAATGCAAGTCTTGGGAGAGGAAACTGGGTGTTTGGTTTTGAAAATGTTAACTTCAAGATACCTTGAATGACAGGTTAGAAACATGGCAGCTGTATTTGGTGGAGATATTTAGACACAGATATACATTGAGGAATTTTAAACCACAAATTTGAAGGCTATCCTTTAGGTAATGACTGTAAATAGAGATAATAAAAGGTCCTAGGTGTGAAAGTTGCACATACCAGGATGAAATCACTTTTGTCAGACCCAGACAAAATAGGGCAAGAAAGGCCTGAAGGAGAAGAGGCCCATGCTTACATGTCTGAGATAAGAACTGTTCCCAAGGACTTTCTAAAAACCTTTCAGTCATCCCCTGCTTTGATAAGGTTTATCACTAGACATCCTTTAGGACTGCAGTAATCCAGATAAGATGTTTTTGGAAGACCGCTTACCCAGTAATACATCTCCACTTATTAATTGACAATCACTCTGGCTTTGAGCCTCTGGAACTAATGAACTCTGTTCCTAAATAGCTCACATATATTCCTTTTTGGTAATAAAAGCTTCCCTTTATCCTTTCCCTCACCAAATGCACTGCTGGCTTGCCATGTCATGCATTCTGTATTATACTCCTTATTTATATTCTCAAGTAAACCCAACAAATTTGAAGATAATCTTCCCTAGTGTCTTTTTTTAGGCTGACAAAATATAGAGCTCTGGGTCACTATGAATTTATCTGAAATGAAGATGAATCAGCAAAAGAGACTGAGATAAAGTTTCCAGGAAGGTGGGAGGAGCAGCAAAAGGGAGTCCTGTCCTGGAAGCCAAATGGAGGAAGTGAAGAGCTACATTAAATGCTCGGATAGTAAATGTTTCATAAGTAAGATAAAGACTGAGAATAAGCCATTCAATCTGGCAATGGGGAAATCATCAGTGACTTTGACAGGAGCTGTTTCAGTGGAGTGGTGAGGACATAAAACATGACTAAACTAGATAAAAGAGAAGAGAGAAAATAGAGACAGACAGTGCAGACAACTCTTTTGATTTTTTTTCATAAAAAGAAACAGAGAAATTGGGTGGTAGAGGTCAGGAACAAAGGGAGGGTTATATTTTTCAAAAGGGCAAAGGCTACAGCATGCTTAAAAGCCAATGGGAATGATCCAGTAAAGACAGAGACAATGACAATGCAGAAGGAAGAGAGGAAAGTTTTGGAGCAGTGTCCTCCAGTAGGCAGGCAGGATAAGATCTAGTACCCAAGTGGAGAGTTGACCTTAGGGCAATGGTAATTCATCCATAGCAATAGCAGGAAAGATCAACTATATGGGTACAGATGTCAATGCATTAGTCAATGAGGGAGGCTGTGGTATTTCTCATTGCTTCTGTTTTCTCAGGAAAGTAGGAAGCAGGTCTTCAATAGAGAGTGAGGAAGGGAAGATACTAGAGAGGAGAGATGACAGAAAAAGTAATGAAGCAATGACCTGGCTTAGCAAGACAGTGACTTGGCTAGTGAAATGTAGTAGGATTACTGTGTGGCTCTCCGGGCCCAGTTGAGGTTAGTGGTCATGAATATAAAGCAGTATCAGTCAGCAAGGTTCTGTTTGTCTCCAGCCACAATTAGCTCTCTGGGCTCATAATCAGTGAGGAAATGGATTCTAAAATATAAACTACATTTTGAGTCCTAAAGGAATTACTGAAACCTAACGTAGCCTTAAAAATAGTATTTGGAATCACACCTAAGAACTCTTTCTGGTTATTAAAAATATGCATGTAGAGAAGCTGTGGCAAAAACAAACAGGCCTTATGAATTAGCAGAGTAGGCCGCTGAATTTAAGGGCTCTAACATGATACTGCATCTGAAAACATTTGCCTTATTGGTCTTCTACGGTGCGTGAAAATCCCAACATTGATGTTATTCTAAACTGTTTATGAGCTTGTCATGCACAGAGATGATCTCTTTTTTTTAAATATCTACAGTTTAATACAATTCCAGGAAACCATCAAATGCTAAATAAATATTTGCTAAGATGACTTGAATGGAACAGAATGCAGGGCTATCATTCATGCATTTTTATTCAACAAATATTTATGGAGTAGAATACACTGAGCCAGACATTACCAGTGTTTCCAAGATAAATAAAAAATATATTTACATGAAATTGCTGAAGATAGTGGGACTACAGTAGGGAGATGGTTATTAGCACTGGTTTTGTTTTTTTTTTGGTTTTTTTTTTTCCCTATCATTACCCTTTGAAACAGCAAAATACAGGAGGTAAAAGAAGGTATGTGAACAGCCAGGAGGCTCTGTCTGGTGAGGCCACCGCAAAGGAGCTGGGAAGAAAGAAAGCTCTTGAAGCAAAACAGACAAAATTCTACTTTACAACTTCACCCCAACATGAGGAGGCCTGTGATGGCACCTATGTTGCCATAGGGGAAACACTGCCTTTCTGCAACTGGAGAAATGAGTAGGTGGTCTCAGGTAAAAAGCTTCTCTCTACATGTGATTTTACTGGAAAACTGAACCACATGAGTTAGAAGTGAAACCTTGCACATGCTGATCTCTGCCTAGTTACCAATGTGGAAAATACCCTAATAACTGAACGTTTAGAAGAGCTCCTTTAAACATAATACTACCTCGACCACAACATTCATTATAAGTCAGCTTTCTCCTTGAGGGAAAGATTTTTTCTGGTAGTTAGGGAAATTGACTTGCTCTTTTCTTTCTTTTTTTTTGAGACAGGGTCTGGCTAAGTCGCCCAGGCTGGAGTACAGTGGCTCACTGCAACCTCTGCCTCCTGGGTTCAAGCCATCTTCCCAAGTAGCTTGGACTCCAGGCACCCGCCAACACGCCTGGCTAGTTTTTGTATTTTTTGTAGAAATTTTTATATTTTTTGTATTTTTCGCCATGTTGCCCAGGTTGGTCTCAAACTCCTGAGCTCAAGCAATCCACCTGCCTCAGCCTCCCAAAGTGCTGGGATTACAGGCATGAGCCACTGCGCCCAGCCCTCTTCTCTAATTTTTTTCAACTCATTAGTTTGTTTGTAACTAATCATTAGATAAATAGGTGTTTGTTTCCTTTTCTGACCTGTCTATATTTATAAGTTAGTCCTTTGACTTTTCTAGAGGAGAACATTCACTTTTATTCTAACCTTTTATATCTTTTATGTCCTGTTTAGAATGTAATAAAATCCCATTAATCTGGCCTCCATCAATTCAGAACTTGGTTAGGTTTATCAGAGTTTGGTTATAGTTTATTGTTGGATTTTAAGAAAGAAGATGGGAAAAATAATTTATAAAATATATATGACCTTATATTATTACTTAACTAGACAGTGAAGGGGAGATTCAGGAAATGTCTATTTCTAGTTATCAACTAGAATAATTACTCAACAAATATTTATTGAGCATTTACTATGTGTCAGGCCCCATTCTAGATTCAATCAACATAGCAATGAAAAAATCAAACAAAAATTCTTGCCCACATTAAGCCTACATTCTAGTTTGAATGAATAAATGTACTATTGACATACAAAAAATAAGTCTTTCTATTAGAGCACATGCAACATCTCTTTCTAGATTTTTCCAAAATTATTGTATTACTTAAAAATATATGAATAAAATTATCTATAATATCCTATAAATAATAATTTTTATGGCTTTACATTAATATTTCCCTCAATCAAATCGGTCAGGTTTCCCTTAGGCCATAATATTATAATATCCTTTGCTATAGTCTGAATATTAGTGTACCCTCAAAATTTACATGTTGAAACTTAAACCCCAATGTAATAGTATTAAGAGGTGGGGCCTTTAGAAAGTGGTTAAGTCATGAGGGCTTTTCCCTCATGAATCAATTTAGTGCCCCTATAAAAGAGGTTGAAGGGAGCTGCCTGGCCCCTTCTACTATGTGAGAACATATAGAAGTCACCATCTATGAAGAACAGACCTTCAAAATCTGTTGACACTTGATCTGGGACTTCCTAGCCTCCAGAACTGTGAGCAACGAATTTCTGTTTTTTACAAATTACGCAGTCTAGGTGCTTTGTCATAGTCACCTGAAGGGACTAAGACATCATTTTGTGTTGTACTTAATTCTAAGCATTTCCTATATGCAAGTCACTTCCTATAATTTGCTTTTTTATAAGCTTTGTGGCATTAATTATCCTCATTTCACAGGAGGCTGAGGCTCAGCAAGGCTAAATAACTCTTCTAAGATTACACAGCTAGCAACTATGGCAGATACTGTTGGATGACGGTATCCAACTCCATTTACAATGCCCTTCTGCCAGGTTCCCATCCAGACAGAGTAGACATGTGACACTGTTGTGGCCAACTCAGTGTAGGTCGAAGTCCACAGGAGGAACTCCTTTGCTCTTTACCACTTTTCCTGCCTGGAACTTGGATAAGAAGCCTGGAGATACAGCATCTGAAGATTAAGGTCAACACACTGAAGATGGCAGAGTAGAAAGAGGAAAAGAGCCTAGATCCCTGGGGTATTACTGAATTATCATGCCATCTGTTACTACATATAATTATGACCTGATATAAATAAGTCCATGTCTATTTAAGTGACTGCACTTGAGTTTTTTTATTTTTCTTTTATTTTTTTGTTTTTTGAGATGGAGTCTCACTCTGTAGCCCAGGCTGGAGTGCAATGGCATGAACTCAGCTCACTGCAACCTTCACCTCCCAGGTTCAAGCGATTCTCCTGCCTCAGCCTCCCAAGTAGCTGGGATTACATGCCCTGCTAATTTTTGTATTCTTAGTAGAGATGGGGTTTCACCATATTGGCCAGGCTGGTCTTGAACTCCGGACCTCAAGTGATCCATCTGCCTCAGCCTCCCAAAGTGCTGGGATTACAAGCGTGTGCCACTGCGCCTGGCCAGCACTTGAGTTTTCTGATATTTGTATCATAAAAGACACCTGACTGGTAAGTTTCAGAACTGGAAATTAAATCTAAAACTCTAAAGCCCATGCTCTTCCCAATGAATATTTCTGAAAGCATTCTCTTTAGTAAACTCATTCTTAATACTTTCAGAGTGACTTTTTGAGTACTGAGAACAATCTTAGTACTCATAACTACTACAAATATTCCTTACTTTATAAAGTGAATGTGTTCCTCAAAAGTCATGTGTAAATAAATGTAAACATACATAATTTTGAACACATTAAAGGATTTTAAAAGAAATATATAATACATAGTCATATAAAATATTCAGAAAATATTTTTATGATACTAAATAGGAAATTAGGTGGGGGTTAGCAAGTTTAAAATTGTATCCAACAAATATATTTTTTCAAATTGTGGTTCATCTGTCTGGAATTTGCAATGCAGTTTTACTATCAGGAACCTCAGAAGGCAGGTAAGTCAGGCTTGAAAGAATTAACCTGCATCCACTAGGATGGCAATAACCAAGATAAAAACAAAGGTTGGCAAGAATGTGGAGATACTGGAACCCTTATACACTGTTGTTGGGAATGTAAAATGGTGTGGCTGCTTTGGAAAACATTATGGCAGTTGAACAAAAGATTAAACATAGAGTTACCAAGAGACCCAGGAATTCTATTCCTAAATATATGCCCAAGAGAAATAAAAATATGTCTACACAAAACGTGTACACAAATATTAATAGAAGAATAATTCATAATAGCTGAAAAGTGGAAACAACCAAAAAGTTCATCAACCAAGGAATAAATAAATAAAATGTGTTCCAAATAATGGAACATTATTAAAAAAAGGAATAAAGGGCCAGGCGCGTTGGCTTATGCCTGTAATCCTAGCACTTTGGGAGGCCAAGGCAGGAGGGTTGCCTGAGCTCAGGAGTTCCATACCAGCCTGGGCAACATGGTGAAACCCAGTCTCTACTAAAATACAAAAAAAATCAGCTGGGCGTGGTGGCGTGCACCTGTAATCCCAGCTACTCAGGAGGCTGAGACAGGAGAATCACTTGAACCCAGGAGGCAGAGGTTGTAGTGAGCCGAGATCACACCATTGCACTCCAGCCTGATACATGTTACACCATAGATAACCTTGAAGACATTATACTAAATGAAAGAAGCCAGTCACAAAAGACCACATATTATATGATTCCTTTTACATGAAGTGTCCAGTGTAGGCAAATCAACAGAAACGGAAAGCAAATAGTGGCTGCCATAGACTGGGAAGATTGAGGGGAAATAGGAAGTGACTGCTCATGGATGTGATTTTTTTTTTGGCATGATGAAAATGTTCAATATTGATTGTAGTGATGGGTGCTAAAACTCAAGGAATGATATACTTTAAATAAGGTGAATTGTATGGTAGATGAATTATACTTAATAAAGGGTTATATTAAAAATAAAAGAAAGAATGAATTAACCAAACAACCAGGATAAGCAGTTCAGGAGATCCTTCCAGGTTCTGGGAGATAGTGAAGATCCTCAAGACACTAGGCTATCTCTGTCAATCTGGCACTGCCTGGTTTTTCTGTGTGCTTGAAGTGCAAAGTTTGCTGCCATACTGCCCTCACCTTCACATTCCTAAAGTTGACTTAGCAATGAGACTCTAGTTGTCTTGCTCTCATGGCTTTTCTACTTTACCCTATAGGCAAGGGGTAGAGGTTTAGTCTCCAGTGGTGTAGCCAGAGAAATCCCTGTTAGAATCCCTGCTCCTTTACTTCTTAGTCAAGTGACTTTGGAGAGGTAATGTGAGCTCCCCACGCCATCTGTAAAATGGGAACAATAACGATAGTTCCCTCACAAGGTTAAGTTGAGAATTGAAGATGTCATGCACATGAAGTACAGAGCACAGTACTTAGCATATTGCATCTCTTCAATCAATTCCACCCATCCCTGATATCAGAGTTTTCATCACCTCTTTGGTACCAGAATATGCCTCTGTTTAACTCCTGTTCAGAATGAAAGGTGTACGCCTCTTGCCAATGGCATGTAGCTGGTAACTCTAGGCCTGGCAATGTGTTCATAAAATCTGTCTAGTTTCTACGTGGACTTTCTTGACTGATGAGGTGTTTCTTTTTAGGTTTCACTTAATCAAAATTATTCTGAGTATCCAAAAAGTGGAGAGAGAGAGCAAGATTAGGTTATTCTCTTCCATAGAGATCAGGCTTGGTGGCTGGGAGAATTGCTTGAAACCCAGGAGGCAGAGGTTGCAGTGAGCTGAGATTGTGCCACTGCACTCCAGCCTGGGCGACAGAGACCGTGGCTCAAAAACAAAAACAAAAACGAAAACAAAACAAAACAAAAACCCTATAAATAAATAAAAAGATTTTTTTTAAAAAGAAGGTTATTCCCTTCCATAATGATGAGAACTGAGTAGAATATCTTAAATATGCCCTGCGATCTGGTCCTCCACACACCTTCAGCAGAAAATAAGTTGAGAAGACAGTCAGGCAACCTATGTTCAAATTCCACCTCTCCTTCTCTGCAGCTGTGTGGTCCTGGATACATTCATTACCTGACCTCACTAAGTCTCAGTTCCCTTGTCTATACAAATGGGAAAAATAATTGTATGCAGCTGTCTTAGTCTCTTTGAGCTGCCATACAAATACCTTAGACTAGGCAATTTATAAACAACAGAAATTTATTGTTTACAGTTCTGGAGGCTTGGAAGTCCAAGATCAAGGCATCAGCAGATTCAGTGTCTGGTGAGGGCTCACTCTCTGCTTTACAGACAGCACCTTCTGGTTGTGTCCTCACAGGGTAGAAGGGCAAACAAGCTCTCTTTCAGGCCTCTTATGGAAGGGCAATAATTCCATCCATGAGGGCTTTACCCTCATGACCTAATCTCACTTCAAAGGCCCCAACTCTTGTTACTATTGCATTGGGGGTTTGTTTCAACATATGAATTTTAGGAGGATATAAGCATTTGTATGATCCCAGGGCTTCACATGGTTGTATAGGGTATTAAATGAGGCAGCATTTATAAAGCTCTTGGCCCAGTGCTTGGCAAACAGTAAGGGTCCAATAAATGCTTTACAAAATGGTTTGTGAAATTTTTAAGAATTAGTGACAGAAAAAAAAAAGCATACTTCAACAACACCACAGAAGGCTTATTTTATTTTATTTTATTTTATTTTATTTTATTTTATTTTATTTTATTTATTTTATTTTATTTATTTTTTGAGACAGAGTTTCCCTCTTGTTGCCCAGGCTGGAGTGCAATGGCACGATCTTGGCTCACTGCAAGCTCCTGTCTCCTGAGTTCAAGCAATTCTCCTGTCTCGGCCTCCCCAGTAGCTGGGATTACAAGTGTGTGCCACCACACCTGGCTAATTTTTGCATTTTTAGTAGAGACGGGGTTTCACCATGTTGGCCAGGCTCATTTCAAATTCCTGATCTCAGGTGATGCACCCACCTCAGCCTCCCAAAGTGCTGGGATTACAGGCGGGAGCCACCGCGCCCAGCCGGCATCTTATTTTATTTATTATTATTTTTGAGATGGAGTCTCGCTCTTTCGCCCAGGCTGGAGTGCAGTGGCGTGATCTCAGCTCACTGCAACCTCTGCCTCCTGGGTTCAAGCAATTCTCCCTGCTTCAGCCTCCTGAGTAGCTGGGATTACAGGCGCCCACCACCACGCCCAGCTAATTTTTGTATTTTTAGTAGAGATGGGGTTTCACCATGTTGGCCAGGCTGATCTTGAACTCCTGACCTCGGGTGATCCACCAGCCTCAGTCTCCCAAAGTGCTGGGATTACAGGCATGAGCCACTATGCCTGGCCTGGAATTTTATTTTTTAATAAACTAAACAAAACAAGAAACACGGATAAGGTAAGCAACTTGTCCTAGTTTGCCCACAACTTTCCAGGTTTTAAAACTGAAAATCCTTTGTCCTGAAAACCCCCTTAGTATAAGGCAAACAGGAAAGTTGATCAGCTATGTAGACACTAAATTTAAGATCTGAGGGTCATTATTAACAATAGCTTCCATGAATTTAGTGGTAATATGGCATAATTATATACACTTTAAAAGCCAAATTCCACATAATTAATTAGAACAAACCTGTGTGTTATGTTTTATTTTTAGGCCCATTTAAAGATTAAAAATAATAGCAATTCGGGGAAATTAAGTTGTTGAAACCCTAGAAGAAGAATAGAGCAGGGATTTAAGCAATAATTTATTATTTTATTTTATTTTTTGAGATGGAGTCTTGTTCTGTCGCCCAGGCTAGAGTGCAGTGGCACAGTCTCGGCTCACTGCAACCTCTGCCTCCTGGGTTCAAGCAATTCTCCTGCCTCAGCCTCCTGAGCAGCTGGAATTACAGATGCCTGCCACAATGCCTGGCTAATTTTTGTATTTTCAGTAGAAACCAGGTTTCACCATGTTGGCCAGGCTGGTCTCAAACTCCTGACCTCAGGTTATTCACCCACCTTGGCCTCCCAAAGTGTGGGATTACAGGTGTGAGCCACTGTGCCCGTCCTAAGCAATGGCTTAAAACTGTGCTAGGCTGTACCACCATTAGGAGCCTGCTACCAGTTACCTACTAATGAATAAAAAGGACAGAAAGATCATAGAGCACTTTGCCTGCCAGAGTGAAAATATTAATGGCTTGAAAAGGGCTTTGGTAGTTTCACTGATCATAAGTAGGAAATAAGGGATAAATCAGGGTATATATTTAATGTTTGAGGCTGATTTCTTGGATCTCTGCTGGAGGCAGAGCTCTGGCTGAACTGGGGTGGAACTGCTTATATGAAGCCGTGAGGAAGTGACCTACCTCTTCACATGTACCACGTATTTTGTGTCTATGTAGGTGAGCTTCCCAGCATTCCAGGTGCAAGTCATGTTGCCTGAATATTCATAAATGACACAGGTTACTTCATCAGGAATATCTGGCGGATCTGCAACAAAACATAACACTTAGGAGGTGCTGTAAGAAATACGAAGTTCTCTGGTCCCAAGCCAAGATGGCTGAATAGGAACAGCTCCAGTCTACAGCTCCCAGCGTGAATGATGCAGAAGACGAACGATTTCTTCATTTCCAACTGAGGTACCGGGTTCATCTCACTGGGGTTTATCAGACAGTGGGTGCGGGACAGTGGGTGCAGTGCACAGAGTGTGAGCCGAAGCAGGGCGAGGCATTGCCTCACCCGGGAAGTGCAAGGGGTCAGGGAATTCCCTTTCCTAGCCAAGGAAAGGGGTGACAGATGGCACCTGGAAAATAGGGTCACTCCCACCCTAATACTGCACTTTTCCGACAGTCTCAGCAAATGGCACACCAGGAGCTTATATCCCATGCCTGGCTCAGAGGGTCCTATGCCCATCAAGCCTCACTCATTGCTAGCACAGCAGTCTGAGATCAAACTGCAAGGTGGCAGCGAGGCTGGGAGAGGGGTGCCCGCCATTGCTGAGGCTTGAGTAGGTAAACAAAGTGGCTGGGAAGCTCGAACTGGGTGGAGCCCACTGCAGCTCAAGGAGGCCTGACTGCCTGCCTCTGTAGACTCCACCTCCGGGGGCAGGGCATAGCTAAACAAAAGGCAGCAGAAACCTCTGCAGACTTAAATGTCCCCGTCTGACAGCTTTGAAGAGAGTAGTGGTTCTCCCAGCACACAGCTTGAGATCTGAGAATGGACAGACTGCCTCCTCAAGTGGGTCCCTGACCTCTGAGTAGCCTAACTGGGAGGCACCCCCCAGTAGGGGCAGACTGACACGTCACATGGCCAGGTACTCCTCTGAGACAAAACTTCCAGAGGAACAATCAGGCAGCAACATTTGCTGTTCACCAATATTCGCTGTTCTGCAGCCTCCACTGCTGATACCCAGGCAAACAGGGCTGGAATGGACCTCCAGCAAACTCCAACAGACCTGCAGCTGAGGTTCCTGACTGTTAGAAGGAAAACTAACAAACAGAAAGGACATCCACACCAAAACCCCATCTGTACATCACCATCATCAAAGACCAAAGATAGATAAAACCACAAAGATGGGGAAAGAACAGAGCAGAAAAACTGAAAATTCTAAAAATCAGAGCGCCTCTCCTCCTCCAAAGGAATGCAGCTCCTCACCAGCAATGGAACAAAGCTGGATGGAGAATGACTTTGACAAGTTGAGAGAAGAAGGCTTCAGAAGATCAAACTTCTCCGAGCTAAAGGAGGAAGTTTGAACCCATGGCAAAGAAGTTAAAAACCTTGAAAAAAGATTAGACGGATGGCTAACTAGAATAACCAATGCAGAGAAGTCCTTAAAGGACCTGATGGAGCTGAAAACCATGGCACGAGAACTACATGATGAATGCACAAGCCTCAGCAGCCAATTCGATCAACTGGAAGACAGGGTATCAGTGATGGAATATCAAATGAATGAAATGAAGTGAGAAGAGAAGTTTAGAGGAAAAAGAATAAAAAGAAATGAACAAAGCCTCCAAGAAATACGGGACTATGTGAAAAGACCAAATCTATGTCTGATTGGTGTACCTGAAAGTGACAGGGAGAATGGAACCAAGCTGGAAAACACTCTGCAGGATACTTCCCCAGAGTAGGATCCAGGAGAACTTCCCAAATCTAGCAAGGCAGGCCAACATTCAGATTCAGGAAATACAGAGAACGCCACAAAGATACTCCTCGAGAAGACCAACTCCAAGACACATGATTGTCAGATTCACCAAAGTTGAAATGAAGGAAAAAATGTTAAGCACAGCCAGAGAGAAAGGTCGGGTTACCCACAAAGGGAAGCCCATCAGACTAACAGCGGATCTCTCAGCAGAAACTCTAAAAGCCAGAAGAGAGTGGAGGTCAATATTCAGCATTCTTAAAGAAAAGAATTTTCAACTCAGATTTTCATATCCAGCCAAACTAAGCTTCATAAGTGAAGGAGAAATAAAATACTTTACAGACAAGCAAATGCTGAGAGATTTTGTCACCACCAGGCCTGCCCTAAAAGAGCTCCTGAAGGAAGCAATAAACATGGAAAGGAAAAACCAGTACCAGCCACTGCAAAAACGTGCCAAATTGTAAAGACCATCGAGGCTAGGAAGAAACTGTATCAACTAATGAGCAAAATAACCAGCTAACATCATAATGACAGGATCAAATTCACACATAACAATATTAACCTTAAATGTAAATGGGCTAAATGCTCCAATTGAAAGACACAGACTGGCAAATTGGATAAAGAGTCAAGACCCATCAGCGTGCTGTATTCAGGAAACCCATCTCACGTGCAGAGACACACATAGGCTCAAAATAAAGGGATGGAGGAAGATCTACCAAGCAAATGGAAAACAAAAAAAGGCAGGGGTTGCAATCCTAGTCTCTGATAAAACAGACTTTAAACCAACAAAGATCAAAAGAGACAAAAAAGGCCATTACATAATGGTAAAGGGATCAATTCAACAAGAAGAGCTAACTATCCTAAATATATATGCACCCAATACAGGAGCACCCAGATTCATAAAGCAAGTCCTTAGAGACCTACAAAGAGACTTAGACTCCCCACACAATAATAATGGGAGACTTTAACACCCCACTGTCAACATTAGACAGATCAACGAGACAGAAAGTTAACAATGATATCCAGGAATTGAACTCAGCTCTGCACCAAGCAGACCTAATAGACATCTACAGAACTCTCCACCCTAAATCCACAGAATATATATTCTTCTCAGCACCACACCACACCTCTTCCAAATTGACCACATAGTCGGAAGTAAAGTACTCCTCAGCAAATGTAAAAAAACAGAAATTCTAACAAACTGTCTCTCAGACCACAGTGCAATCAAACTAGGACTCAGGATTAAGAAACTCACTCAAAACTGCTCAACTACATGGAAACTGAACAACCTGCTCCTGAATGACTACTAGGTACATAACGAAATGAAGGCAGAAATAAAGATGTTCTTTGAAACCAACGAGAACAAAGACACAACATACCCGAATCTCTGGGACACATTTAAAGCAGTGTGTAGAGGGAAATTTATAGCACTAAATGCCCACAAGAGAAAGCAGGAAAGATCTAAAATTGACAACCTAACATCACAATTAAAAGAACTGGAGAAGCAAGATCAAACACATTCAAAAGCTAGCAGAAGGCAAGAAATAACTAAGATCAGAGCAGAACTGAAGGAAATAGAGACACAAAAAACCCTTCAAAAAATCAATGAATCCAGGAGCTGTTTTTTTTGAAAAAATCAACAAAATTGATAGACCACTAGCAAGACTAATAAAGAAGAAAAGAGAGAAGCATCAAACAGATGCAATAAAAAATGATACAGGGGATATCACCACCGATCCCACAGAAATACAAACTACCATCAGAGAATACTATAAACACCTTGATGCAAATAAACTAGAAAGTCTAGAAGAAATGGATAAATTCCTGGACGCATACACCCTCCCAAGACTAAACCAGGAAGAAGTTGAATCTCTGAATAGGCCAATAATAGGCTCTGAAATTGAGGCAATAATTAATAGCCTACCAACCAAAAAAAGTCCAGGACCAGATGGATTCACAGACAAATTCTACCAGAGGTACAAGAAGAAGCTGGTACCATTCCTTCTGAAACTATTCCAATCAATAGAAAAAGAGGGAATCCTCCCTAACTCATTTTATGAGGCCAGCATCTTCCTGATACCAAAGCCTGGCAGAGACACAACCAAAAAAGAGAATTTTAGACCAATATCTCTGATGAACATCGATGCAAAAATCCTCAATAAAATACTGGCAAACCGAATCCAACAGCACATCAAAAAGCTTATCCACCATGATCAAGTGGGCTTCCTCCCTGGGAGGCAAGGCTGGTTCAACATATGCAAATCAATAAACGTAATCCAGCATATCAACAGAACCAATGACAAAAACCACATGATTGTCTCAATAGCTGCAGAAAAGGCCTTTGACAAAATTCAACAAGCTTCATGCTAAAAACTCTCAATAAATTAGGTATTAGTGGGACGTATCTCAAAATAATAAGAGCTATCTATGACAAACCCACAGCCAATATCATCTGAATGGGCAAAAACTGGAAGCATTCCCTTTGAAAACTGGCACAAGATGGGGATGCCCTCTCTCACCACTCCTATTCAACATAGTGTTGGAAGTTCTGGCCAGGGCAATCAGGCAGGTGAAGGAAATAAAGGGTATTCAATTAGGAAAAGAGGAAGTCAAATTGTCCCTGTTTGCAGATGACATGATTGTATATCTAGAAAACCCCATCGTCTCAGCCCAAAATCTCCTTAAGCTGATAGGCAACTTTAGCAAAGTCTCAGGATACAAAATCAATGTGCAAAAATCACAAGCATTCTTATACACCAATAACAGACAAATGGAGAGCCAAATCAAAAGTGAACTCCCATTCACAATTGCTTCAAAGAGAATAAAATACCTAGGAATCCAACTTACAAGGGATGTGAAGGACCTCTTCAAAGAGAACTACAAACCACTGTACAATGAAATAAAAGAGGACACAAACAAATGGAAGAACATTCCATGCTCATGGGGAGGAAGAATCAATATCGTGAAAATGGCCATACTGCCCAAGGTAATTTATAGATTCAATGCCATCCCCATCAAGCTACCAATGACTTTCTTCACAGAATTGGAAAAAACTAGTTTAAAGGTCATATGGAACCAAACACAAGCCTGCATCGCCAAGTCAATCCTAAGCCAAAAGGACAAAGCCGGAGGCATCATGCTACCTGACTTCAAACTATACTACAAGGCTACAGTAACAAAAACAGCAGGATACTGGTACCAAAACAGATATATAGACCAATGGAACAGAACAGAGACCTCAGAAATAACACCACACATCTACAACCATCTGATCTTTGACAAACCTGACAAAAACGAGCAATAGGGAAAGGATTCCCTATTTAATAAATTGTGTTGGGAAACTGGCTAGCCATATGCATAAGGCTGAAACTGGATCCCTTCCTTGCACCTTATACAAAAATTAACTCAAGATGGATTCAATACTTAAACATAAGACCTAAAACCATAAAAACCCTAGAAGAATACCTAGATAATACCATTCAGGACATAGGCATGGGCAAAGACTTCATGATGAAAACACTAAAAACAATGGCAACAAAAGCCAAAATTGACAAATGGGATCTAATTAAACTAAAGAGCTTCTGCACAGCAAAAGAAACTACCATCAGAGTGAACAGGCAACCTACAGAATGGGAGAAAATTTTTGCAATCTACTCATCTGACAAAGGGCTAATATCCAGAATCTACAAAGAACTCAAACAAATTTACAAGAAAAAAACAAACAACCCCATCAAAAAGTGGGCAACAGATATGAACAGACACTTCTCAAAAGAAGACATTTATGCAGCCAACAGACACATGAAAAAATGCTCATCATCACTGGCCATCAGAGAAATGCAAATCAAAACCACAATGAGATACCATCTCACACCAGGTAGAATGGTGATCATTAAAAAGTCAGGAAACAACAGGTGCTGGAGAGGATGTGGAGAAATAGGAACACTTTTACACTGTTGGTGGGACTGTAAACTAGTTCAACCATTGTGGAAGTCAGTGTGGCGATTCCTCAGGGATCTAGAACTAGAAATACCATTTGACTGAGCCATCCCACTACTGAGTATATACCCAAAGGATTATAAATCATGCTGCTGTAAAGACACATGCACACGTATGTTTATTGTGGCACTATTCACAATAGCAAAGACTTGGAACCAACCCAAATGTCCAACAATGATAGAGTGGATTAAAAAAATGTGGCACATATATAGCATGGAATACTATGCAGCCATAAAAAATGATGAGTTCATGTCCTTTGTAGGGACATGGATGAAGCTGGAAACCATCATTCTCAGCAAACTATCACACCACATGTTCTCACTCATAGGTGGGAACTGAACAATGAGAACACATGGACACAGGAAGGGGAACATCACACACCGGGGCCAGTTGTGTGGTGGGAGGAGGGGGGAGGGATAGCATTAGGAGATATACCTAATGTTAAATGATCAGTTAATGGGTGCAGCACACCAACATGGCACATGTATATGTATGAAACAAGCCTGCACGTTGTGCACATGTACCCTAAAACTTCAAGTATAATTTAAAAAAATTAAATAGATAAATAAAAAGTCACTGGCCAGAAAAGTTGTGATGCAATTATAAACATTGATTGCTTACCTAATCATTAGCTTTACCTGATTAAACTTATCAACTTTTCACTGAAAAGGGAATTTATTTTAAATTAGTATGTCTCAACTTGTCTGAAAAGATAATAAATTTGTAATGGAAGAATAAAAAAAAAAGAAATATGAAGTTCTCTATAGTCCGTTGAGAAACTGACAATTTTATTTGAGAAGTCAGGCCAATCAGTACTCAGCACCTCCCTGCTCCTCATTCCATCCCTACTACCTTACCTTGCAACCCACTTTACCATCAAATATCCATTCCTCTTCTTCTTATACTTGACTATATTATCCTAAATTCAGTCTCCCCCAGCTACTCCTGTATCTTTCTTTTTTTCTTAACAGCTAAACACTTTTAAAGAGCCTATTATTCTTCATTTCCCATATGCATTTAAACCCAAAACAATCAGGATTCAGCCTCCACAATTCCACCAAAACCATTGTTGCTAAGGTCATTGATGACTTTCTCTTCAACAGACCCCATCTCTGGTCATTTGTCATTGAGTTTGAGTTTGATGTCATTGAGCAGCATTTGATATTTTGCTCACTCCCTCCTTGAAAGCTCTCTGTTTTAAAGCTGGGTGTGGTGGCTCATATCTGTAGTCTCAGCTACTTGGGAGGCTGAGGCTGGAAGGATTCCTGGAGCCTAGGAGTTTGAGGCTGCAGTGAGCTATGACCAAGACACTGCACTCCAGCCTGGGTGACACAGTGAGACCTTGTCTCAAAAACGAGACAAGAAAAGAAACCTCTTTGCCTTTGGCTCTTGCGAATGGGTTCTTTGTAGTTTTCTTCTACTACTCTGGCAGACTATCTTCTTCTCTTGCACATTTTCCACTACTCATTTTAAAAGTTGGGTGTTCATACATGCAATAAGATATTACTCAGCCTTAAAAAGGAAGGAAATTTTAACACATGCTACAATGTGGATGAAACTTGAAGACATTATATTAAGCGAAGTAAGACAGACCCTAAAGGAAAAACATTGCATGACCCCTTACACAAGGTATCTGGAAGAGTCAAACTTGTAGAAAGTAGAATGGCAGTTGCTGGGGCTTGGAGGAGAGGGAAGTGGATATTTGTTTAAAGGCTGCAGACTTTCCATTTGCAATAAGAGGGTTCTGGAGATAAATGGTGGTGATGGTTGTACAACAGTGTAAGTGTACTTAGTGCCACTGAACTGCACACTTAACCATGGTAAAAATGGTACATTTTATGTTATGTATTTTACCACCAACACAACAAGGTTTTTTTAAAGTTTGGTATTCATGCAACTCTATTTCAAGGCTCTTTTCCTGTCACTCCACTCAACTCATCCCACCCCCATTCCTGCCCAGCTCTTTCTCCAGGTGGCCATGTTATGGCAAACATTTTTATTTTTCATTGGCTAGCGTCTTTCCCTCTTGAGAACTGACATCCCCTCCAGCCCCTCACTCCAATCTCACCCCCACCCCAACCCCAAGACCTGTCAATCAAGAGGCTCTCCACAGAAGTGTGCCTCTGAGGTAGGCCGACTAATAGGAGTGTGCCTTTGGGAATGAACATATGACTCAAGATGAACCAATCAGAATTCTCCAAGGCACTTTTTCTAAACCACTGTAAAAGAAGCACACTCTTTCCTCCTGAAACTGCTATCTCTGAGTAGCATGTGAGCTGTAAGTTGCTGGTGGCCATCTTGCTGTCATTGTGAAACAGGCTTTTTCACAGTCTTTAGTCTATTTAAGAATGAAGCCAACACAGGGGAAAACAATACCTAGCAGACTGGAAAAGATGAGAGAGTTCTGATGACATTGAGTTTTGGGGGCCTCTAAAGCCTATGAAACCCCAACAACTATAGAATGACACCTAGAATTTTCAGTTATATCATTCAATAGTGAATAAGATTAAGATTTTTTTAAGTATAGAAATATTGAGTGTTTGTTAAATATTCACTTTTCAGGTGTGGCTCTCTTAGTTCATCCCTACGTGTGAAATACTGCTGGGACACTTGACTGCTCAGAGAATGACAAGACAAATGGAAGGATAGGGGCTCATAAAGAATGAAAATACAGACATTTATGCGTCTGAAGTTACATCCAAAGATTTATCTTAAGTACATATATGCTTTCACTTCACCTGCAAATTGCTTACCAAAAATATTGCTTGTAGAACAATAAACAAATATATTAAAAATTTTATTCTCACTGCAAATCAAGGCAATACTAGATGTCATTCAAGCCTATCAAATTAGCAAGGATTTTGAAAAATGATAGTACACAGTGTTGGAGTGGACTCATGGAAATCCTCTAACACACTTCTGGTGGAAGTACAAATTGGTACAGCCTTTATGGAGAGCACTTTACATATCACAATCTGTAAAAGCAGGTGTAATATTTTGCAACTCAGCAATTATACATCTAAGAATGCATCCTTATTGAAATGTTCATAGATATATAAAATATTTGGCTTAAAGGATGTTCCCTTATTGTTCATAACAATGAAAAAATTGTAAACAAACTTAATTTTCCAAAATAAGGTTAAATAAACTATAATACAGTCCTAAACACATCCAAAAGCAATGTTGAAGAAGACAGTTTAAGTACTTGGCCTTTGGAAGGAATTAAAAGTATATGTAGTGAAGTCATGATCATATGGCAAAGTGAAAAAAGCAGGTTGCAAAATGGTTCAATTAGTGGTTTCATTTAAGTGAGAGACTGAGAAAGAGAGGGTCTGAAATTTCAAAGACATATTCCAAATTATTAAAGAGGGATTATGGTTACTAGTAAAGTTATGGTTTTATGGGAATGATAGGTATTTCTTTTTTGCTGGTCTACATTTTAAAAACTCTCTATATTCAATGCAATTTGATTTTATAATTAAAAAACTATTTTCATATATCGAAGGTCTAATATCCTTTTAAAAAAACCTATATTCAAACAGTAAGAACACACTAAAAAGTACTTTACAACATTTTGGCGACTTGTAGCATTGAGTTACAATGGAGAGAAACTGGGCTCCAAGTAGGGTAAAATAAATCTTTGTTTTAATTGAGCCTTAAATGAAGTAGGTGTGGAAACATAAATTTAAATCATTTTGGAGTTTGAGTTGTGGTCCCTCATTGATTACAATGATTTGTGCTGAAGTTATTTTTTCCTCTGGTTTCAGATACAGAGTGCCATTGATTTGGCTATCAGATTGTTTGGGCTGTGTTACTCCACGGCATCTACATGAAGTGAATTCTTGGGGTTACAAATGTCTGGTGGTCAATTAACTTTGCAAAAGATCAAAAAGATGACTATACACACACATGCAAATAAGTGTTTGTTAACATGAAGCAATGTAAAGATGGGCCTGTGAGTATGCTTATGATAATAACATCAAGTTGTTGTTAGGCCTCATTGCCAGGTTATTCAATATCCAAGAACAAAACCTGGCTATACAACTAGATACTAGAGAATACTCTGAGGTATACAAAAGGGGGCTTATGTTTTTGCTCTTTCTTGCCAATCCCACCCCTCCCCTATTATTGGGACACTCAGGAATCACAGGCCAGGTTTCTTGTTAATTCAGAGTCTAGCCAAGGATCCCTTTCTACTGAGAACTTCTTGAAAACAGTCCGTGATTTCCTCTTCTTTGTACTTCTAGCATTTAACACATTTTTGGTGCATAGTAACCACTCAATAAAGTTTATTCCATGAATTGATTGGCTTGATTAAGATAATAACATGAAGGATTAAAATGGAGAGAGATGCAATGCTTCTGGCAAAGATCACTCTATAATTTCTTACTCAAGCAGGGCACAGGCCAGCCTAATTGTTCCGTAATCATACTTAATAGCAATGTTAGAAACAAATATTCAGAGGCTTTTATTGAATAACAAATGTGCTTTCATCATTGTAAATAAAGTCCAAAAGTTAAAATTTAAAAAGTCAAAGATATTTAAAATTTTAAACAAATGATTAAGTGGAAACATGACTGTGCATGGTTTAATTTGGTATTTTTAAATGAATAAAGACATCTTGTATTTTATCCCATGATTGGTGTGGCCTGATTAGAACAAATTTCCCATAATATGTGTGCATTTAGTCTTAGATAAGAATCTAAGAAGTGTCTAGGATTGTGGCTAAAAATGGAAATTGTGATAATATGGTTTATATTTCACAAATTATACATTAAAGCACAGCACTTTAAAATATATTTGGATAGCTTTTCAAGGAAAGCAATGACTCATTTATCTTGTCTTTTACAATTTGTCTCTAGTCTAAAAAAATACATATAATCATTTTGTTCAAAGCAGTGATGATAAGTTGACATAATAAATCTCACATGACAAATATCCTGTGATCAAAGTGGTCCAGTGAAAGCAATGTGATTTCTAGAATGCCACAAAACCCTCAAAAACCCTTTTTTGACCTACTTAAATAGGAAGTTTTGTTTGCTAAGAATGTAGAGCTCAAGAAGACATTCAGCTTGAATCCAGGGGTTTGAGTAAATTCTCACCTGGCAGTTACATTTTTACACTCATAACCAGAGGCCTATGTAAGGAGTTACAATTCACAAACTCAAAAGTTAAATAAGTGGAAAGAGTGATGTTCTTTCTAAGCAGCCATCGGCAGAGAATGTATTTCTATTAGGCTGTCCTGGAAGAGGAACAAAGTCCATTCTCTTACCTTCTACATTGCCTGGTGTTGGGTTTGGGGACAGAGGCCCCCCAGCCAACACTTGGGAGGGCTTTTGGGAGTAATCAGTTATACAAACTGCAACACACGGAAGGTGGTGTTAAATAAAATGTATAGGAGACCATTGTTTTGGACTGAGCTCCTGCACTAGGCCCCCACATACCAAACCAAAATGAAGTCACTCCTGTTAAGTGACATATAACCAAGCTGAAACTTTAAGGAAGCAGGTAAAACTCCCACAGACTAGTTTTTCCTGAAAACAGAAAATTCACAGCAACCACGTAGAAAGAGCCCAGTCAACCTGAGCAGGGATGATAAGGAAATCCCCTCTGCTTTAACCATTACAAGGAAAATAACCTGAAGTAACAATGTTAACCAATCTGGTAGTTTTTATAAAAATTTCTATTTCTTGTTCCTACCTTACAAAAACCAACTGTTCTGTTAGAATAGTAGAGCCAAAACTAAGTATATAATTATACAAGCCAGCCCATATCACTATAGTAACTTAAACACCTCCAGGACACTCAGAGCACATATCAGTTTTTTAGAAAGAGATGCTGCCGATTCATGAATCACACATAAAAACCTATCAGATCTAAAAACTAAATTTGCTGAAATTTTGTTTTTTAACAGAGACAATGTTTATTTTGCTTCCTTTTTTTTCCTCTGGCTTAAATTAACAACTAAGCTTTTTCTGTAACTGTGAAAGTTGCTTATTTGCCCTCCAAAGAAATTGTATAGTCTCTCTACCCAACTCCCACCCCCAAAGGATAAATAGTAAAGTATTTGGGCATTGAGGTTTGGTTATGTTTCCTGAGGATGTGGACAAGCTAAGAAGATTTCTTACATCAGATAAGATGTCTGCCTGCGGTTTAATTTCCACAATTTAGGGCAAGTTTAGCAGCTTTAAGGCATCAGTTTAAGGTAGATTTATTCTTTGACTCCAAAACCTATGACTTTCCTTCCTCAACTCACCTCTACAACTTTCTATAGTTCCTTCTCTTGAAAAGCTTGCAAGATCAGCTGCTCAGAGTTAAGTAGGACAATGGCCTCATTATAGAGCAAGGAAGCCTCTTACTTTCCAAGCAGCCACAATGGGGTCAGGTGGTAGTGGTGATATGGGTCTGCCCCCCAGCTAAGTTGTAAAGGTGAAGAAGAAGCAAGAACTGAGGCTTGATTCTCAAAAATGTGGAGGACGGGAACATGGCAAAGACACAAATTCCTTTATTTTTTTACTGAAAATGGGTTCAAGTGCTATAGAGAATGAATATCTGAGTTAAAACAGTGCTGAACTTATTGATTTACACCCTTCATAATAGTAGAACCCAAACTAGGTATATAATTATACGAGCCAGCCCATATCACTATAGTGATTTAAACACCTCCAGGACACTCAGAGCACACATTGAATTTAGCGTATATTTTTAAGATTGACTTGACTAAGCTTTTAAATAAATTAATAATTATTCCCTTCAAGGTGGGTTTTAAGAAAAAGAAAAAAATTAATAGTTACAATAACAAACACAGTGATTCTAAATTGGAATAGTGAGATTAGGAACAGAGGACTGTAGGAGACTCTCCCTATGTTTTATCAAAAGGATGCATTTTTAAGGATTTGGGTACTGATGTACTTTAAACTTTATCATATGCTTCCAAATAAATTATTGAAATTAAGTGCATAACACAGCCTGTATAATTAGCCTCCTTTTACAGGCGAGGAATTGAGGCTTAAGCAACTTGTCCAAGGTCACAAACCTAGCAGTACAGTGGGAGCACAAAACTAGTTTTGCAACTCTCCCTAAACCTTGGCCTCAAAATTTCTCAATGGGATCTGCTTCAAGGTTAATTATATTATATTAGTTTAGAAAAATAAACAAGAAGATTAAAAGAGCAACATTTTAAATCTAACGGGGCTGGCCCTCACATATGCAGTGTTCGTTCAGGGTAGAGGTGAAAAATTGTTTTTTGAATGTATTGGCAACATTTTAAAATTTAGAGAGTACACATTAAAATTTTATGTTTCTGTCTTCCTTTGAAAAGCCAAAAGATGTAGGAATACCGGGCACCTGTGATTACTGGATCTGGGCAGTGGCTACAGTTCATATAGTTCACCAACCTGGCCCTGGAGACATTTGAGTTTGCAGCTCCTGTATGAAACTAATCTAAAAACTGAACTATATTATTTTGTCCCTATTTTTAGACTAGTGTGGTAATGACCAGTTAATTGTTAAACTAGCTTTTGTTTGCATTTCAAATGTGCCCCAACACTTACATCCAGAAGAAATGTCTTTTCCACATATCAGTGTCTCTTGAAAATGTTTGGGACATTCAGCAGTGCAGTACATAGAAGCATGTGGTTCCAGAAAGTTTTTATACCAAAGCCGAGCTGTTGTTTTATTAATCCTTGTGATTTGAAATCTTTCTTTGATGCCATTTTTATAAAAATGAAGTTTCCTTGGTTGGCAGTTCTTAATTGCTGCTTGGCAATATATAGAGATATTCATACCCATCTTAAAAATTGTGGCTGGTTCTACCCAGATGTGGCCAGAGCAGTTTATATTTGTAATTCCTAGAAATAAATGGAAAAATAATAAATTACACGTAAAACATTAAATCAAGAGATTCAGAAGAATATGCTATTGCATTTTAAATTTATCATTTCTATTAACTAAATGATTCCATTGAAAACAGTTTTAGGACTAGATGTATCTTTTCATAAACTAGCCTATTACAGTGTGTTTCTGTTAGGCTTTTTTTTTTTTTTTTTTTTTTGAGACAGTCTCATTCTGTCACCCAGGCTGCAGTGCAGTGTTGCGATCTCGGCTCACTGCAACATCCGCCTTCCAGGTTCAAGCGATTCTCCTGCCTTAGCCTCCTGAGTAGCTGGGATTACAGGTGAGCACCACCACGCCCGGCTAATATGGCGTTTCACCATGTTGGCCAGGCTGATCTTGAACTCCTGACCTCAGGTGATCCACCCGCCTCGGCCTCCCAAAGTGCTGGGATTACAGGCATTAGCCACCTCGTCTGGCCTCTGTTATGCTTTTATTGATGTTCAGCACCATGACACAAGACTAGAGTCAGCCTGGAAGCTTCTCTAAGTGTCTAAAGAGCAAATATAATTAGCTCTCCTACTTTAAAGTAGAGAACCGAGAGATTATAAAGCTACAGTATTTTTCAAAGGTAAGATTAGAAATAACACTAGGCACTGTAGAATCTGAACCCCATTCTCTAGCTACTCAACCAATCTTTTGTTCTTTTTTAGATAAAGCCTACTTTTTTCAGTAAAGTTTGAATATAATGAATAAAATCATACTCTTGCCAATGGCCCACATAGTTACTATGTGCCCGGCACAAAGTAACTATCAACAAGTGGTTTGTGAAATAGAATTGCATCCAAATGTTTGACAGGTAATTATATAACAGTTATAATAGTTTGACAATAGAACATGCCAACTCAAACTAATAAGCTCCTTTGTGGAAATATCCACATGTGAGTAAGAGGGCTGTCTAGAAGGGAAATTTGAGAAAGAAATCCTGCATTTGGAAGGAGATTGGGCCATTTTTATTTCATTCTATGTAATTTTTATGCACACATTTTTTCTAGTCTAATAATATTTGTATTCTTCAGAGATTCTAACATAAAACCATGAAAATGATAATCACTCAATATTCCATTTGTTGAATGAAAGATAGCAATAGATACATAAAACACCATACCTCCATGACACCAGCTGAAGAGTATGTAAAGGGCTATTACTGCATCCCATTGAATAGTGACCTGATTCATGTCTGGAAGCAGGAAAAGACTGTTTCCCTCTGGAAAAAAAATATGAAAAATGTTTAAATTGTAGTATTTTAGTAAAATAATAAAAAGCATAACATTTTTCCCTAAGAATTATTGTATTTGATGGGAACCTTTGATTAGGGAGGAAGAAGGAAAGAAGGAAGGAAGAAAGGAAGGAAGGAAACAGAGCAAAGAAATGTTACTGGTATATTTAGGAGATATAACAAGAGATGGAGAAGTAAAGCAAATAAATGGAATTTTATACTCTTCAAAAGTCACTATGAATTAACTCAGTAGGGCATTTGATCCATTACAGTGCCTCCTAATCTAGCCTTTCTCATCAGAAACCTCCTCCTCTGAGTTAACTTCTTTTTTTATTTTATGTTTTAAATTTTTTTAGAGACAAGGGCCAGGCTCTGTAGCCCAGGCTGGAGTGCAGCGGCATTATCATAGCTCACTGTAACCTCAAACTCCTGGGCTCAAGCGGTCCTCCCAACTCAACCTCCCAAAGTGCTAGGATTACAGGCATGAACCATGGTGCCTGGGCTGAGCTAACTTCTGGTGATGAATTCTTCTCCCTGCCAAAGTTACATACTTATCACACTCCAGAAATACTAGTCTTTGATGAGCTAAACTTGGGAAGAGCCAAAAATTTCAGAACTCCCAGAGAAAATGGATTCAAAATTAAGAAAAGTGAAGTGAGATTAAGCAATATGTGCTCTCACCAGTGAGACTCTAAAAAGCGTTTCATCTGGGGAGGCGTGGTGGCTCATGCCTGTAATCCCAGCACTTTGGGAGGCAGAGGCCGGTGGATTGCTTGAGCCCAGGAGTTCGAGATCAGGCTGGGCAACAGGGTGAAACCCTGTCCCTACTAAAAATACAAAAATTAGCCCAGTGTGGTGGCATGTGACGGTCATCCCAGCTACCCGGGAGGTGAAGGTTGCAGTGAACCATGATCACACCATTGCACTCCAGCCTGGGCGACAGAGTGAGACCTTGTCCCCCGCACCCCCTAAAAAAGAGGAAAAAGCCTTTCATCTGTAGAGAACGCGAAAGGAACACGTTATAGAAATTCCTAATAATACCGTTGTTAGTTTACAACTAGAGTTACACTATTTGATTAATCAGTTACATGAATTAACTCATTTACTCAATGATCAACATTATTCAGTTATTTTATCTGTTTAATAAAACCTGAGCTTTTTCTATAAAACTACAAGAGAACGCAATGCATGGCTCATCATATCGCATAAAATATCTAGTAACATTTAAAAAAACTGGGGTCCCCTTGGCTCAGAAATATAGGGATCCCTTTCATTATTTGTTAGCAATAGTAATTCTTCTCTTCATAAGAAGCAACAGAAGCCCTAAAAATGTTCCTAGTTAGAAGTTAACTGATGGAAATATGCAATAATTATTATTTAAAGTAATGTGATGCCATATAATATTATAGATTCCCTTTTCATCAGTAACCACTGCATGGAATATCATGAGAACTTGCAAGAGAAAACAACTTGGCCCATGTATTTCCAAAAGGAAATATAGCTGTCTTTAAGTATTTGGATGATCGCTGCCTATTTACCTTTCAACCTGTTTGAAGCACATAATTCCACTTCAGAGCCAGGCTGCCACCCTTGTTGGCTGTGTCATGTCTTCTTTCCTCACTGCCTGCCTGTCAGCACTCACTTTAGATTTTCACTTCTGAGGTCAATGGAAATGTCAGCAGAGCCCTGACCTACATTGCAGACTCTTGAAGAGGAACTCAAACTGTCCAATTCGAAATGACTGGCTCTCGTGTCACTATTTGGGGAAATCCAGATTACTGAAAGTGAACTGTTTTGTCGGTACTTTTTTTTTACAGCTTAATTTAAAATGGTCTCATCCAAGAGGCAGAACACTTATACATGTTTTCTTAAAAATGTCAAACATTTTGACACCAAAAATATGACGCTTAGTTTTAATTTACAACCAGCATTGTTATTAATTATACACTTGTTTCTTTTTTTAGTTTTCCAGCTTTGTTGAAATATAATTGATGAATAAAATTCTACAATTTGATGATATACAACATGATGATTTGATACATACATATTTTGTGAAGTTATTATACAATCAAGTTAGTTAATACATCTCTCATCTTATTTAGTTACTCTTTATTTTGCAGAGAGAACATTCAAGCAAATTTCAAGTATGCTGTATAATTCAGTATTGTTAACTATGGTCACCATACTGTATATCAGATCTCCTGAACTTACTCATCTTATAACTGCAAGTTTATGCCCTTCGACCAATAGCTTCCTTTCCCTCCACCACCCTCTAACCTTGGTAACCACCATTCTATCATCTGTTTTTATGGGTTCAACTATTTCAGATTCTGCATATAAGTGAGATCACGCAGTATTTGTCTTTCTCTGTCTGGCTTATTTCAGTTAGCATAATGCCCTCAAGTTGCATCTATGTTACCGCAATGGCAGAATTTCCTTCCTTTTTATGGCTGCATAATATTCCTGTATAGCCTACAGATTCTTTACCAATTATTCCACTGATAGGCACTTAAAATGTTATTTCCATGTTTGGGCTATTTTGACTAACGCTTCATGAACATGGGAAGGCAGATATCTCTCATGGTGCTGATTTCATTCTGTGGGGGGACTATAGATCCAGAAGAGGGATTGCTGGATCCTAAGGTAGGTCTATTTTAATTTTTTAAATAAAATTGTTTTTATTTCACACTGTTTTCCATGATAACTGTACCAATTTACATTCCTAACAGCAGTGTACAAGGCTGCCCTTTCTCTGTACCCTCAGCAATACTTATATCTTGTCTTTTTATCATAGGCACCCCAAAAGGTGGGAAGTGATATCTAATTGTAGTTTTGTTTTTTGGTTTTGGTTGTTGTTTTTGTTTTTGTTTTGAGACAGAGTCTTGCTCTGTCACACAGGCTGGAGTGCAGCGGCGTGATTACGGCTCACTGCAACCTCTGCCTCCTGGGCTCAGGTGATCCTCCCATTTCAGCTTCCTGAGTAGCTAGCACCACAGGCACATGCCATCACACTCAGCTAATTTTTTGTAGTTTTGGTAGAGATGGGTTCTCACCATGTTGCCCAAGCTAGTCTTGAACTCCTGAACTCAAGCAATCTGCCAGTCTTGGCATCCCAAAGTCCTGGGATTACAGGAGTGAGCCACCACGCCCAGCTCATTGTAGTTTTGATTTGTATTTATGTGATAATCAGTAATGTTGAGTACCTCTTCATATACTTATTGGCCATTTATCCGTCTTCCTTGAAAAAAAAATCTATTCAGGTCCAGAATCGCCTGATGACACATTTCTTAGAAGGTATCCCAGTCATTAAGCAACATATGACTCCAACACTGTGTGGAGAATTGATTGAAGATGAAGAGCCCAGTTAGGAGGCTATGGAAAATCAAGAGCTGATTTTTGTTTTATTTTATTTTATTTTATTTTATTTTATTTTATTTTATTTTATTTTGTGACAGAGTTTTGCTCTGTTGCCCAGGCTGGAGTGCAATGGCACAATCTCGGCTCACTGCAACCTCTGCCTCCTGGGTTCAAGTGATTCTCCTGCCTCAGCCTCCCAAGTAGCTGGGATTACACATGTGCCACCATGCCCCGGTAATTTTTTTTGTATTTAGTAGAGACGGGGTTTCACCATGTTGGTCAGGCTAGTCTTGAACTCCTGACCTCAGGTGATCCTCCTGCCTTGGCCTCCCAAAGTGCTAGGATTACAGGCGTGAGACGCCTCACCCGGTCTGGTTTTTTGTATTTGTTGTAGAGATAGGGTTTCACCATGTTGGCCAGGCTGGTCTCGAATTCCTGACCTCAAGTGATCTGCCCATCTCAGCCTCCCAAAGTGCTGGGATTACAGGCGTGAGTCACCGTGCTCTGCCCAAGAGCTGATTTTTAAATCAGATTTTCTGGCCTTTATTGTTTTTGTTTTTGCTATTGAGTCATTTGAGTTCCTTATGTATTTTGGATATTAACCTTTTATCAGATAAATGATTTGCAAATATTTTTTTCCCTTCTGTAGGTTGTCTTTTTATTTTGTTGGTTGTTTTCTTTGCTGAGCTTTTTAGTTTGATATAGTCCCACTTATTTATTTTTGCTTTTGTTGCTTGTTTTTTCAGTGTCATATCTAAAAATATTTTTACCCAGACCAGTGTCAAAGAGGTTTTTCCCTATGTTTTATTCTAGGAGTGTATTAGACTGTTCTTGTGTTACCATACAGGAATAACTGAGACTTGGTAATTTATAAAGAAAAGAGGCTTAATTGGCTCACAGTTCTATAGCCGGTGCAAGCATGGCACCAACATCCGCCTGGCTTCTGGTGAGGCCTCAGTAAGTTTACAATTATGGCAGAAGGCAAAGCAGGAGCAGGTGCATCACATGGAGAGAGCAGGAGCAAGAGGAGCAGGGGGAGGTGCCACACACTTTTAAACAACCAGATCTCACCTGAACTCTGAACGAGAACTCGCTCTCATCATCAAGAGGATGGCACTAAGCCATTCATGCAGGATCCGCCCACATGATCCAAACACCTCCCACTAGGCCTAACCTCCAGCACTGGGGATTACATTTCTTTTCTTTTTTCTTTTCTTTTCTGTCTTTTTTTTTTTTTTTTTTTTTTTTTTTTTTGAGACAGGGTCTTGCTCTGTGGCCCAGGCTGGAGTGCAGTGGCATGATCTCTGGTCACTGCAACCTCTGCCTCCTGGGTTCAAGTGATCTTCCTGACTCAGCCTCCCAAGTAGCTGGGACTACACACACCTGCCAACACGCCTGGCTAATTTTTGTATATTTTGTAGAGATGGTGTTTCATCATGTTGGCCAGGCTGGTCTCAAACTCCTAATCTCAAGTGATCTGCTCACTTTGGCCTCCCAAAGTGCTGGGATTACAGGCATGAGTCACCACACCTGGCCACATACATCTTTTGACTCATCCAAATGATGGTATCTGTAGCAGCTGCTCTTTTCTTCTCAGTGTCCAGCACCTCATGGCTCATTCAGCTTTGTTGGAGAAAAAAGATTGAATCATCACCATTTCCTGTGAGGTGTGCATTAAAAGCCAATGTTGACTTATTTCCTAAGAGCTTCTTAGAGACTTTACAACGCCAGTAAGTGAAGGTAAATTCAAAACCTTCAACATACAACTCTAGCTCTTGAAGACTGCGTGCACACCTTTAAGGAGGTCAGTTTTCAGATTCTCAAATTCCATATGTGCTCTTTCCTAAATCTGATTTCCTTGAAAATGAGCCGGGGTTCACAGTAATCATTCTCTAAATTCATAGTGAATAGCATCCCTCCATCTCAAATCTCATGTAGTGCATTGCCTTGGGTGTAAATAGCTCCAGAATATCAAACAAATGGATAAATGGAAATACTGGTTTTAGGGAGGGCTCCTTGGATAATTAATCAAGGTATTTTAAACATCCAAGACTTTAAGCCTTTTCCTGTCATATAGATATATGTGAAGCTCACTAAAATATTTCTATTTCAGCCCATGCTGGGATACTCAGAATTTTAGCCAATTCAGGGATATTTGAGCCCATTTTGGATCTCTGAATCTAGGATATCGAAGGAATATGGGAGACTTATGGCTATCCTCTTGAACATAAATGGGATTTTTTTTTCTTTCTCTGTCTCCCAGGCTGGAGTGCAGTGGCGCGATCTCGGCTCACTGCAAACTCCACCTCCCAGGTTCAAGCAATTCTCCTGCCTCAGCCTCCTGAGTAGCTGGGACTACAGGCTACATGTGCCACCATGGTGCCACATGTGCCACCATGCCCAGCTAATTTTTTATATTTTTAGTAGAGATGGGTTTCACCGTGTTAGCCAGGATGGTCTCAATCTCCTGACTTCGTGATCCGTCTGCCTCGGCCTCCCAAAGTGCTGGGATTACAGGAGTGAGCCATCGTGCCAGGCCATAAATGGGATTTTTGATGAACCATTACTTTTTTTTTTTTAAACATTGGATAAAATTTATATGTAAAATTTTACTTGATTTCTTTCAGATTTGGTTAACTTTATTCAATAAGATAGTAAAAGGCTATTTTATCAAATCATATCATGGCATATCTGTGTCTTTAACAGCCTCGTCTTAGTTTTTTCGTCTTTGAAATGTTCAATCACTCTATTATATTTAAAAGAAAGTAAGTTTATTTAGAGCTTTAAAAATATTTTGGGCCTGGAATGGTGGCTCACGCCTGTAATCCCAGCACTTTTGTTGGCCGAGGCAGGTGGATCGCAAGGTCAGGAAATCGAGACCATCCTGGCCAACATGGTGAAACTCCATCTCTACTAAAAATACAAAAATTAGCCAGGCGTGTTGGCTCATGTCTGTAATCCCAGCTACTTAGGAGGCTGAGGCAAACGAATCGCTTGAACCAGGGAGTCGGAGTTTGCAGTGAGCCGAGATCGCGCCACAGCACTCCAGCCTGGCGACAGAGTGAGACTCCATCTCAAAAAAACAAAAACAAAAACAAATATATATATATATAGTATTTTAATTCTAAAATATGCAAGGGAGTACGTAGTTTGAAAATCTTCTTTTAAGAAGACTCAAGGAAAACATTTGAAAGACCACTGCATTGAAGCTCAACTTTATAAGCCAAACAAAAACTATATGTAGAAAAAAATACAACAAGCTATCAATAGTAGTTTTCTTTGGATTATGGAATTATGATTTTTTTCTTCCTTTTGCTTTTCTATAACTTCCTATTTTTAGGAGGAGTATATTATATGTGATAATTTGTAAATAATTTATAAAATACTGAACACATTAAAGACAAGAAAAACTTCAAGGAAAGGAACGTAAATAGAGGATTCTTCCTAGTCAATTCTAGAATATGAGATAGCTGCAGGGAATTACTGACTGGCCTACTGATGTACGATTTCACTTAGGCAAATTCAACTATGAGTGGAAGGGGAGAGAAAGATTTTATCCCATTAACTTCCCCTTCCCGCTTGTTCTGTCTGCTTCAAAATTGACCTAGAGCCTCAGTGACTGTAAGTAAAAAAGGCCATTTCAGAAATGCAATGATAATAGTTATTGTTAACAGTGACACATTATTATTACTTATTAGTATTATTGTTTGGATGGAAAATTGGTATCAATTGCTATAAACAATAGCTGATGATAAGGTAAATAAGGTTTTATTGATTCACTCTTGCCAATCAATAAGAAAAAATCTTATGAAGTCTTTCATAATGTCCTAAATACTTTTAGAGAATTTTTCAGATAAAGAATAGAGCTCTGCTAGCTGGGCATGGTGGCACATACCTGTAGTCTTAGCTGCTTCTCAGGAGGCTGAGGCAGGAGTATTGCTTGAACCCAAGAGATAAAGGCTGCAGTGAGCTATGATCATGCCACTGCACTCCAGCCTAGGTGACAGAGCAAGACCTTGTCTCTTAAAAAAAAGGGGAACAAAAAAGAATAGAGTTCACATGATCAAGGTGCACACCCATCATTCTGTTTTGCAGATCTTCTCATTCACTTGGCCTTCACATATAATGTAAGTGTGCATTCTAATAGTGATTGTAAGTTGTCCAAATTAACAAAGATATCAATAAGATAGTCTGGTTTGCAAATCTATTCATACAAACAATTCTAAAACATGAGGATTTTCTCCAGAAAGATTTAGGGTGCCATCTATTCAAATGAAAGAGTGAGGACCCATCTGCATAGAAGCCAATGGTCTTCAGTGGTTTTTACAATTCAATTGGCAATTTGAAAAGTACCATTTAAACACTTCTCTCCAAACTTCAAGTGCATTCTCAGGTATTTTCTGTTTTTGTTTTTTGCTGGTGTATACAACAGTGACTAGATTGTGTTTTCAAGCAATCATTTTAATACTTCAGTACTCAACAATTGTCAGCTTCTCAAAGTCATATTTCAATTTAGTGCTGAAAATAATGCAGGAATGAGCTTGAAAATTCAGTTCATGAGAACGTACCAGGCTGGGCGCGGTGGCTCATGCCTGTAATCCCAACACTTTTGGAGGTCAAGGTGGGTGGATTGCTTGAGTCCAGGAATTTGAGACCAGCCTGGGCAACATGGTGAAACCTCATCTGTATTTTTTAAAAATAAATAAATAAATATTAAAAATTTAAAAACATACTAGTGAATAGCATCATCCAAGTTATACATTCTTATGAACAGTTACAGGAGAAAATTCAGTCCCTGCAGGTGTATAACAATCATGGGCAGGTCTGAGTCTTCTTCTGTAATTAATGCGTCGTACAGATTACTACAGCTCTACCTGCTTTAGCCTCATCCTAATAAGTCATATCCAGAAAATCACATTTGTGATATGCTGTTTTATTTTTCCTGATACACATTAAAATAAGCATATGGCTATTAAATAAGAATGTTTATGTAGCATCTATCACAGACACTATCATAGCATGCTACAGCCTCAAACTCCTGGCCTCAAGGGATCCTCCAGCCTCAGCCTCCCAAGTAGGGACCACAAGCATGCACCACTGCATGAGAATTATTATTTATCATTTTGGTCCATCCATCTTTGTCCTGACTTATATACTTGTATTAGTTTGTTCTCACACTGTTATAAAGAACTACCTGAGACTGAGTAATTTATGAAGAAAAGAGGCTTAATTGACTCACAGTTCTGCAGGTTTAATTGCAGAGGTTTAATTGACTCACAGTTCTGACTCACAAGAAGCATGACTAGGAGGCCTCAGAAAACTTACAATCATGATGGAAGACGAAGGGGAAGCAAACACCTTTTTCACATGGTGGCAGGAGAGAGAGCGAGCAGGGGAAAGTGCCACACACTTTTAAACAATTAGATCTTCTGAGAACTCACTCATTATCACTGATAGTGATAGTCTCACTATCAATCACTGATAGTGATAGTCTCACTATCAATCACTGATAGTGATAGTCTCACTATCAATCACTGATAGTGATAGTCTCACTATCAATCACTGATAGTGATAGTCTCACTATCAATCACTGATAGTGATAGTCTCACTATCAATCACTGATAGTGATAGTCTCACTATCAATCACTGATAGTGATAGTCTCACTATCAATCACTGATAGTGATAGTCTCACTATCAATCACTGATGATAGTGATAGTCTCACTATCAATCACTGATGATAGTGATAGTCTCACTATCAATCACTGATAGTGATAGTCTCACTATCAATCACTGATAGTGATAGTCTCACTATCAATCACTGATAGTGATAGTCTCACTATCAATCACTGATAGTGATAGTCTCACTATCAGGAGAACACCAAGGGTAAAATCTGCCCCCATGATCCAATCATCTCCCACCAGGCCCCTCCTCCAATTTCACATGAGATTTAGGCTGGCACACAAATCCAAACCTTATCAATACTTATCTACTTTTGAGGTAAGAGATGGTACTTCACTCCAGAGGCAGGACTTGGACACCAGACCAAACTGAGGACTAGCTAAAACAGGTCCAAAGCAAAGTAGCTTTCCATAAGACACGCCCACCAGCATGCCATGTCAGTTTACCATTACCATGGCAACACCTGGAAGTTACCACCCCTTTTCATGGCAACAACCTGTGAGTTGCCACGCTTTTCCTAAAAATTTCTGCATAATCTGCCCCTTAATTTGTATATGATTAAAATTGGTATAAATATAAGTTCAAAACTACCTCTGGGCACATTGCCTATGGAATAGCCCTTCTCCACAAGAGCAGTATCTCTGCTGCTGCTGTCCAATTCTACTTCATTACAAGTTTCTAGTGAACACCTCCAGCTCACCCTTGAATTCTTTCCTGGGTGAAACCAAGAACCCTCCTGGGCTAAACCCCAGTTTGGGGGCTCACCTGTCCTACATTACTTTTACAACATTCATTCATTCAAAAAATATTTCTTTTTTTTTTTTTGACATGGAGTCTTGCTCTGTTGCCCAGGATGGAGTGCAGTGGCACAGTCTCGGCTCACTGCAAACTCAGCTTCCTGGGTTCAAGCTATTCTCCTTCCTCAGCCTCCCAGGTAGCTGGGATTACAGGCCCCCACCATCATGCCCAGCTAATTTTTGTATTTTTAGTAGAGATGGGGTTTCACCATGTTGGCCAGGCTGGTCTCCAACTCCTGCCCTCTGGTGATCCACCCACCTTGGCCACCCAAAGTGCTGGGATTACAGTCATGAGCCACTGTGCCCAGACTCAGAAAATATTTCTTGAGTGTGTAATATGTTCCAATAATTATTCTAGCACTGAGGATAAAGGGGTAAACAAAACAGACAAAAGTTTGGTCCCCATGGAGTTTTCATTCTAGTCTGAGAAGAGAGACAGAAAGTAAAATACAATATTAGATGGTGATAAGCACTTGGAGAAAATTAAGTGGGAAAGGTAGACAGCAAGTTTAATATGCTCGGAGAAGATCACTCTGAAATACAATATTTGAGCAAAGATCTAATAGAAGCGAGGAAGCAGGCCATGGAGTTAATTTGGACAAGAGCATTTCAGACAGACAGGAGATGGCGAAGAGTAAGAAAAAGAGTTCAAGGATCAGTATGGAGGCCGGTGTGGGAAGAGCAAGAGGAGAACAGTAGCAGATGAATAAAAGGAAATGGGGGTCAGAGACGTAACTGCAGTGAAGAGTAGTGGACAGTTGTGTAGGGAAGCTCTTTTGATGGTTGAGATGGGAAGCTGTTGAAGGGTATTAAGCCAAGAAGTGAAAACAATTTTATTCTACAGATTCTGGCAAAAGTAACTAGAAAGGTTGGGTAAAGTGGCCATTAACTGAGATGGGTAAAACTTTAAAAGGAATATATTTTGTAGAGGAATGGGGAAGGAAATGAATAATTTGTTTTGGAACATGTTAAATTTGAAATACGGGGAGGGGCCAAGATGGCCAAATAAAAACAGCTCTGGTCTGCAGCTCCTAGCAAGACCAATGCAGAAGGCGGGTGATTTCTGCATTTGCAACTGAGGTACCCAGTTCATCTCATTGGGACTGGTTATGCAGTGGGTGCGACCCATGGAGAGAGAGCAGAAGCAGGGTGGGGCGTCGCTTCAACTGGGAAGTGCATGGAGCAGAGGGACGTCCCTCCTCCAGCCAAGTGAAGCGGTAAGGGACTGTGCTACCTACCCGGGGTACTACACTTTTCCCACGGATTTTTTGCAATCCACAGATCAGGAGATTCCCTCCTGAGCCTACACTATCAGGGCCCTGGGTTTCAGGCACAAAACTTGGCGGCTGTTTGAGCAGGAACTGAGCTGCAGGAGTTTGTTCATACTCCAGCAGTGTGTGGAATGCCAGTGAGACAGGAGAACCATCCACTGCCCTGGAAAGGGGGCTGAAGCCAGGGAGCCAAGTGGTCTCGCTCAGCAGGTCCCACTTCCATGGAGCCCAGCAAGCTAAAAACCACTGGCTTTAAATTCTCACTGCCATTACAACAGTCTGGAGTCTGCTTTGGGATGATCAGTTTGGTTCATGGAGGGGCAGCTGCCATTACTGTGGCTTTAGAAAGCGGTTTTCCCCTAACAGCCCTAAGGAGACTGGGAGGTTTGGACTAGACGGAATTCACCAAGGTGCAGCAAAGCGACTGTGGCCAGGGTGCTTCTCTAGATTCCTCCTCACTGGGCAAGGCATCTTTGCAGGAAATACAGCAGCTCCAGTCAGGGGCTTGTAGACAGAACACTCATCTTCTCCCTGGGACAGAACACCTGGAGGGAGGGGACAGCTGCAGTCACAGTTTCAGCAGACTTAATCTTTCCTGTCTGCTGGCTCTGAAGAGAGTGGCGGATCCTGACAAAAGGAATTCTCCCAGCACAGAGCACCAGCTTTGCTGAGGGACAGACTGCCTCCTCAAGTGAATCCCTGACCCCTGTGCCTCCTGACTTGGAGAGACCTCCCAACGGGGGTCGACAGACACCTCATACAGGAGAGCTCTGGCTGGCATCAGGCTGGTGCCCCTCTGGGACAAAGCTTCCAGAGGAAGGAACAGGGAGCAATCTTTGCTGTTCTGCAGTCTCCACTGGTGATACCCAGGAGAATAGAGTCTGGAGTGGACCTCCAGCAAACTGCAGCAGACCTGCAGAAGAGGGACCTGACTGTTAGAAGAAAAACTACAAACAGAAAACAACAACAACAATATCAACAAAAAAGATGCCCCCACAAAAACCCTATCCAAAGGTCATCAGCTTCAAAGATGAAAGGTAGATAAATCCATGAAGATGAGGAAAAACCTGTGCAAAAACACTGACTCTTCCAAAAGCCAGAATGCCTCTTATCTTCCAAATGATCACAACGCCTTTTCAGTAAGGGCGCAGAACTGAACAGAGCATGAGATGGACGAATTGACAGAAGTAGGCTTTAGAAGGTGGATAATAACAAACTGCCAAGATAAAGGAGCATGTTCTAACCCAATGCAAAGAAGCTAAGAACCTTGATAAAAGTTTACAGGAGCTGCTAACTAGGATAACCAGTTTAGAGAGGAACATAAATGATGTGATGGAGCTGAAAAACACAGCATGAGAACTTAATGAAGCATACACAAGTATCGATAGCTGAATCAATCAAGTGGAAGAAAGGATATCGGAGTTTGAAGACCACCTTGCTGAAATAAGACACACAGACAAGATTAGAGAAAAAAGAATGAAAAGGAATGAACAAAGCCTCCAAAAAATATGGGACTATGTAAGAAGACCGAACCTATGATTGACTGGAGTACCTGAAAGAGACAGGGAGAATGGAACCAAGTTGGAAAACATATTTCAGGATGTTATCCAGGAGAACTTCCCCAACCTAGCAAGACAGGCCAACATTCACATTCAGGAAATACAGAGAGCACCACTAAGATACTCCATGAGAAGATCAATCCCCAAACACATAATCATCAGATTCTCCAAGGTCAAAATGAAGGAAAAACTGTTAAGGGCAGCCAGAGAGAAAGGCCAGGTCACCTACAAAGGGAAGCCCATCAGACTAACAGCAGATCTCTCAGCAGAAACTCTACAAGCCAGAAGAGAGTGGGGGCCAGTATTCAACATTCTTATAGAAAAGAATTTTCAACCCAGAATTTCATATCCAGCCAAACTAAGCTTCATAAGTAAAGGGGAAATAAAATCATTTCCAGACAAGCAAATGCTAAGGAATTTCGTTAACACCAGGCCTGTCTTACAAGAGCTCCTGAAGGAAGCACTGAATATGGAAAGAAAAAAACCAGTACCAGCCACTACAAAAACATGCCAAAATATAAAGACCAATGACACTATAAAGAAACTGCATCAACTAACTTGCAAAATAACCAGCTATCATCATGATGACAGGATCAAATTCACACATAACAATATTAACTTTAAATGTAAATGGGCTAAATGCCCCAATTAAAAGACACAGACTGGCAAATTGGATAAAGAGTCAAGACCCATTGGTGTGCTGTATTCAGGAGACCCATCTCACATGCAAAGACACATTGGCTCAAAATAAAGGGATGGAGGATTATTTACCAAGCAAACGGAAAGCAAAAAAATAAAAAATAAATAATAAAATAAAATTTAAAAAGACAGGGCTTGCAATCCTAGTTTCTAATAAAACAGACTTTAAACCAACAAAAATTAAAAAAAGACAGAGAAGGGCATTACATAATGGTAAAGGGATCAATACAACAAGAAGAGCTAACTATCCTAAATATATATGCACCCAATATAGGAGCATCCAGATTCATAAAGCAAGTTCTTAGAGACTTACAGAGAGACTTAGACTCCCACACAATAATACTGGGAGACTTTAACACCCCACTGTCACTATTAGACAGATCAACGAGACAGAGAATTAACAAGGATATTCAGGACTTGAACTCAGCTCCAGATCAAGTGCACCTAATAGACATCTAAAGAACTCTCCATCCCTAATCAACAGAATATACATTCTTCTCAGTGCCACATGACACTTATTCTAAAATAGACCACATAATTGGAAGTAAAACACTCCTCAGCAAGGCAAAAGAACTTAAATCATAACAAACAGTCTCTCAGACCACAGTGCAATCAAATTAGAACTCAGGATTAAGAAACTTACTCAAGGCCGGGCGCAGTGGCTCACGCCTGTAATCCCAGCACTTTGGGAGAACGAAGCGGGCAGATCACGAGGTCAGGAGATCGAGACCATTCTGACTAACATGGTGAAACCCTGTCTCCACTAAAACATACAAAAAAAATTAGCTGGGCTTGGTGGCAGGCGCCTGTAGTCCCAGCTACTCGGGAGACTGAGGCAGGAGAATGGAGTGAACCTGGGAGGCGGAGCTTGCAGTGAGCCGAAATTGCGCCACTGCACTCCAGCCTGGGTGACAGAGCGAGACTCCATCTCAAAAAAAAAAGAAAAGAAACTCACTCAAAACCACACACTACATGGAAACTGAACAACCTGCTCCTGAATGACTCTTCGGTAAATAACAAAATTGAGGTAGAAATTAAGAAGTTCTTTGAACGCAATGAGAACAGAGAGACAATGTACCAGAATCTCTGGGACACAGCTAAACCAGTGTTTAGAGGGAAATTTACAGGACTAAATGCCAACATCACAAAGCTGGAAAGATCTCAAATCATCACCTTAACATCACAATTAAAAGAACCAGAGAAGCAAGAGCAAACAAATTCAAAAGCTAGCAGAAGACGAGAAATAACTAAGATCAGAGCAGAACTGAAGGAGATAGAGACACAAAAAACCCTTCAAAAAATCGATGAATCCAGGAGCTGATTTTCTGAAAAATTAACAAAATAGACCGCTAGCTAGCCAGAGTAATAAAGAAGAAAAGAGAGAAGAGTCAAATAGACACAATAAAAAATGATAAAGGGGATATCACCACTGACCCCACAGAAATACAAACTACCATCAGGGAATACTATAAACACCTCTATGCAAATAAACTAGAAAATCTAGAAGAAATGGATACATTTCTTGACACATACACCTCCCAAAACTAAACTAGGAAGAAGTCAAATCCCTGGATAGACCAACAAGAAGTTCTGAAATTGAGGCAGTAACTAATAGGCTACCAACCAAAAAAAGCCCAGGACCAGATGGATTCACAGCCAAATTCTATCAGCAGTACAAAGAGGAGCTGCTACCATTCCTTCTGAAACTGCTCCAGACAATTGAAAAGGAGGAACTCCTCTGCAACTTATTTTATGAGGCCAGCATCATCCTGATACCAAAACCTGGCAGAGACACAACAAAAAAAGAAAACCTCAGGCCAATATCCCTAATGAACATCAATGCGAAAATCCTCAATTAAATACTGGCAAACCGAATCCAGGAGCACATCAAAAAGCTTATCCACCACGACCAAGTTGGCTTCATCCCTGGGATGCTAGGCTGGTTCAATATACACAAATCAATAAATGTAACGCATCACATAAACAGAACCAATGAAAAGAACCACATGATTATCTCAATAGACGCAGAAAAGGCCTTTGATAAAATTCAACATCCCTTCATGTTAAAAACTCTCAATAAACTAGGCATTGATGGAATATCTCAAAATAATAAGAGCTATTTATGACAACCCATAGCCAATACCATACTGAATGAGTAAAAGCTGGAATCATTCCCTTGGAAACTGGCACAAGACAAGGATGCCCTCTCACCACTCCAATTCAACATAGTATTGGAAGTTCTGGCCAGGGAAATCAGGCAAGAGAAAGATATAAAAGTATTCAAATAGGAAGAGAGGAAGTCAAATTGTCTGTTTGCAGATGACATGTTTGTATATTTAGAAAACCCCATCGTCTCTGCCCAAAAACTCCTTAAGCTGATAATCAACTTCAGCAGTCTCAGGATACAAAATCAATCAAAATCACAAGCATTCCTACACACCAACAATAGACAAGCAAAGAGCCAAATCATAAATGAAGTCCCATTCACAAATGCTGCAAAGGTAATAAAATACCTAGGAATACAGCTTACAAGGGACATGAAGGACCTCTTCAAGGAGAACTGCAAACCACTGCTCAAGGAAATCAGAGAGAACACAAACAAATGGAAAAACATTCCATCCTCATGGATAGGAAGAATCAATATTGTGAAAATAACCATAGTGCCCAAAGTAATTTATAGATTCAAGCCTATTCCCATCCAACTACCATTTACATTCTTCGCAGAATTAGAAAAATCTACTTTAAATTTCATATGGAACCAAAAAAGAGCCCGTATAGCCAAGACAATCCTAAGCAAAAAGAAGAAAGCTGGAGGCATCACACTACCTGACTTCAAACTACACTACAAGGCTGCAGTAACCAAAACAGCATGCTACTGCTACAAAAACAGTAGACATATAGACATACAGACCAATGCAACAGAACAGAGACCTCAGAAACAACACCACATATCTACAACCATCTGATCTTCGACAAACGTGACAAAAATAAGCAATGGGGAAAGGATTCCCTATTTAATAAATGATGCTGGAAAAGCTGGCTAGCCATATACAGAAAATTGAAACTGGACCCTTTCCTTACACCTTATATGAAAATTAACTCAAGATGGATTAAAGACTTAAAATATAAAACCTGAAACCATAAAAACCCTAGAAGAAAACCTAGGCAATACCATTCAGGACATAGGCATGGGCAAAGACTTCATGATGAAAACACCCAAAGCAATTGCAACAAAAGCCAAAATTGACAAATGGGATCTAATTAAACTAAAGATCTTCTGCACAGCAAAAGAAACTAGCATCAGAGTGAACAGGCAACCTACAGAATGGGAGAAAATTTTTGCAATCTACCCATCTGACAAAGGTCTAATATCCAGAATCTACAAGGAACTTAAACAAATTTACAAGAAAAAACCAACCCCCTCAAAAAGTGGTCAAAGCATATGAACAGACATTTCTCAAAAGAAGACATTTATGCAGCCAACAAACATGAAAAAAAGCACATCACCACTGATCTGCAGAGAAATGCAAATCAAAACCACAATGAGTTACCATTACACACCAGTCAGAATGGTGATCATTAAAAAGTCAAGAAACAATAGATGCTGGTGAGGCTGCGGAGAAATAGGAATGCTTTCACACTGTTGGTGAGAATGTCAATTAGTTCAACCATCGCGGAAGACAGTGTGGCGATTCCTCAAGGATCTAGAGCCAGAAATACCATTTGACCCAGCATCTCATTACTAGGTAGATACTCAAAAGAATATAAATAATTCTACTACAAAGATACGTGCACATACATATGTTTATTGCAGCACTATTTATAACAGCAAAACATGGAACCAACCCAAATACCCATCAATGATAGACTGGATAAAGAAAATGTGGTACATATACACCATGGAATACTTTGTGGCTTTAAATTCCATCTATATGGAGATGACACTCAAATTTCTATATCCAGCTTGATCTCTTCTCTGAATTCCAGGTTCATATGACCCAACTGATTCAACATCTCTATCTGGATAACAGGCATTTCAAACCTTTTTTTTTTTTTTTTTTTACTTTAAGTTCCAGGATACATGTGCAGAACGTGCAGCCATAAAAGAAAATAAGATCATGTCCTTTGCAGGGACATGGATGGAGCTGGAAGCCATCATTTTCAGCTAACTAACACAAGAACAGAAAACCAAACATCACATGTTCTCACTCATAAGTGGGAGTTGAGCGATGAGAACACATGGACACAGGGAGGGGAACAACACACACCGGGACCTGTCAGAAGGTGGGGAGCAAGGGGAGGGAGAGCATTAGGACAAATACCTAATGCATGCAGGGCTTAAAATCTAGATGACGGGTTGATAGTTGCAGCAAACCACCATGGCAAATGTATACCTATGTAATGAACCTGCACATCCTGCACATTTATCCTGGAACTTAAAGTAAAAAAAAAAAAAAAAAAAAAAAGTTCGAAATGCCTGTTATCTAGATAAGATGTTGAATTGGTTGGGTCATATGAACCTGGAATTCAGAGGAGAGACCAAGCTGGATATATAAATTTGAGTATCACCTGCATATAGATGGAATTTAAAGCCACAAGCATGAATGGGATTACCAAGAAATTAGATATAGACTATAGATAGAAAAGGAAAGAAGTTCTAGGATTGAGCCCAGAAAATTCCTATGTAAAGATATCAGGAAAAATAAACCTAGGCATTTCTTTTTCTTTTCAGCTGAGCAACTCAGAGCCAAAGCAATTTTTCGACTAACTCTCCTTAAGAGGGTTACCAGAAAATTTTTGTATTTATGATTGGAAAAGTAGTTAACTGTATATACCATGAAACTATGGAATCTTGAGACTAAAATAGACCTTAACCTAAAGGATAATAAATTCAACTTGTTGGTTTTTCAACAGCAAATACTCTGAACTTTAAAAAACTAGCTTACTGGGTCATTCATCCAATTTCAACTTACGGATTTAATTTTAGTCAAATTATGGGAAATGATTGAAAAATGAACCTCCAGTATAAAGTAGGTAGCTTAGAGTACATATGGACATGTTCAGACAAAGGAGGAGGATCTAGTTCTCACTCAGGGATTTGGGCAGGGGGACCACTTTAATTCCACAAGTATTTATTGAGTGTCTATAACATGTAAGACACTTGATAGAGTACTTCGGGAAATACAAACGTGAATGAGACCCTGTCCTGTTCTTCAGAAAGATTACAACAGAAAAAAATGGGGAATAAGAGAAGCAAAATGCGATTAAGAGCCAAGGAGAAGCGGAGACAGGTCACGGAGGTTCAAGCTGAAGTGTGGAATAACTGCAGCTAGGAACTCTAAAAAGCCCCTAGGTGTCACTCTCCGCCTCCTGACTTCTTTCTCACTGCAAATCTGCTTTCCCCACGGGGTGGCCAACGAGGCTAACAACTCCCAGGTCTCACACTTCAGACTTTCTGCCACAAGAAAGAGTGCTCAATGCTCCCCCTCCAAGTACAAAATGCTGAGAAGAGCTCCCAGGGGCCCATTCAGCCTCTGGACTAACTGATGACAGGAAAGAGGATCTGATAGTGTAAGAAGAACCTGGTAAATTGTGTGGGAACCCTATGATTGGGAGTGAGTGGGCTGGGGTGGGAGGTATATCAGTTAGGTTATTATCACTACAATGTTCTATAACAAAGTGCCCCAACTAGTGGTTTAACACCACTATCATTCATTTTCACGGATCTGACGGTTGGCTAGGGCAGCCCTGCCAGGCAGTGATGACTAGAGTGGCTGTACTCCATTCTAGTGGAATAGTGGGTCTTAGGAACCCAGATCTCACTCCTCCTGGGCCCCTAAGCTAGACAGGGAACACAAGAGCCTCTGAAGTTTAGGTTCAGAGCCGTTCTAACACTGCTGCTACTGCCTGACCAAGCCATTGGTCAAAGAAAGTCACATGACTGGACACTAAGTCAAGGGGAAAGAAATACCTTCTGCCCACAGTGAAGCTATTGTTTAAAGTGGGGGACAGGGAAGCAGGAAGGGTAGCGCCAATCTTTTAATCTACCACAAAAGGTTAATGTGAGAAATAATTCTCAGAAGATAGTGAGAGACAGGACTAGCTGGATTCCCTAGGCCGACTAAGAATTCCTAAGCCTAGCTGTGGAAGGTGACCACACCCACCTTCAAACACGAGGCTTGTAACTCAGCTCACACCTGACCCATCAGGTAGTAAAGAGGGCTCACTAAAATACCAATTAGGCTAAAAGCAGGAGGTAAAGAAATAGTCAAATCATCTATCGCCTGAGCGCATAGCGGGAGGGACAATGATTGGGATATAAACCCAGGAATTCGAGCGGGCAGGGGAAACCCCCTTTGGGTCCCCTCCCCTTCTATGGGAGCTCTGTTTTCACTCTATTAAATCTTGCAACTGCACACTCTTCTGGTCCACGTTTGTTCTGGCTGGAGCTGAGCTTTCGCTCGCCGTCCACTACTGCTGATTGCCGTTGTCGCAGACCCACCACTGACTTCCACCCCTCTGGATCCGGCAGGGTGTACACTGCGTTTCTGACCCAGCGAGGCGCCCATCGCCGCTGCGGATCGGGCTAGAGGCTCGCCATTGTTCCTTCACGGCTAAGTGCCCAGGTTCATCCCAATCGAGCTGAACACTAGTGGCTGGGTTCCACGGTTCTCTTCCGTGACCCACGGCTTCTAATAGAGCTATAACACTCACCACATGGCTCAAGGTTCCATTCCTTAGAATCCATGAGGCCAAGAACCCCAGGTCAGAGAACAAAAGGCTTGCCACCATCTTGGAAGCGGCTTACCCCATCTTGGGAGCTCTAAGAACAAAGACCCGCCAGTAACAAAGGGATGTCGGGTAAACAAAGTAATAGGTATCCAATGTAGTATTATTACATTGGATACAAACACAGTAAAATGAAGTAGCTAGTAGATTTTATCAGTTCCAAAATGCTAGAGAGAGCAGTACGAGAGAACTAGTTAGCCCCTACAATCTTTTTATTTTTTTTTTGACAGAGTCTGCTCTGTCGCCCAGGCTGGAGTGCAGTGGCATGCATGATCTCGGCTCACTGCAACCTCTGCTTCCCAAGTTTAAGCTATTATCCTGCCTCAGCCTCCTGAGTAGCTGGGATTACAGGTGCCTGCCAACACGCCTGGCTAATTTTTGTAGTTTTTGATAGAGACAGGCTTTCACCATGTTGGCCAGGCTGGTCTCGAACTCCCGACCTCAGGTGATACACCTGCCTCGGCCTCCCAAAGTGCTGGGATTACAGGTGTGAGCCACCACATCCAGCCAGAAAAAGTATTTCTATCCTTCTATTGTGCTTATATTTGCAATAGTCCAAAGTTTTTTTAATTGTAACTGACAGAAATTCAACTCAAACTCACTATGTGAAAAAATGGGAATTAATGGAAGAAGAATGGGGCCTGTTATGGAACTGACAGAATTTCTGTGGGGAGCAGGTAACTTCAGGTATGTCAGGGAGAGAAACTTCAGACTTGACAGAACCAGCACTCACTCTTGCTTGCAACATCCACCTCTCATCTGCTTAAGTCTTTTGGGCCTCATTGTCTCCTCTAGGTGTTTGCCCCATGGAAGCCCAGGATTACAACCTTCTCACTCAAGAAAGAGTCCCTTCCTAGAAAAAAAAAATCTCAGAGAAGGACTCTGAATGTTCTGTCTTGGGGCCTGTACTCACCCGTTAGAACAATTCCTTTCCCTAGAGAACTGAAGTTCTATGATTGACCAGAACAAGATCATGTGCCCATCCCTATGGACCGGGGTGGAGTGATGTTCTATAACCAGCAGTCCAACCACAACTACTTGGAAAGGGGGAAGAGCAATTTCTCCAAGAAGAAGGGTATAGCTGTTAGCAGATAATCGTGAAGATAGGGGAGGTATCCTGCACTGATAAATGTCTCTAGTCTTAGATTTACTTGTCTGGACATGTTGAACATCTTGGTTTCGGTCTTCTCTGGGCATGTCTAAAGATCTGGTAGGGTTCATATTCTTGGATCTGATTACATGAAATACCTTGGAGTTTTCTTGCAAAGACTTGAATCCAAGGGAAGAGAATGCCATGGCACAGAAGCATGCCTAAAAGATAATGGGCCAGGATAAAAGGAGTAAGGATTATGGGTGTAGCACTATTTCTGTCTGTCTGTCTATCACTTTTATATTATTTATTGGACCAGTCCCCATCAATTCAGGCCTGAGTCCTAGAGTGAAGGGGGTTCAATAAAAATATGGGTAAATATTAAAGGCTGTTTCACAGTGATCTCTGTGAGACTCTAAAGGGCAACAGATCAGCAGTATTCATGACAACAGTTCTGTGGTAACCTGAGACCACACCCGTGTAGAGATCTGCACCCTCAACATCAGGTACCAGCGGCATTAGCATAGACATCGACAGGCACTGTGGCAGTGGCAAAGACTTTACAAGTCCACAAAATTATCACTTTTGATATTGCATGCACATAAGACATGATCACATGAACCCACAGTAGGAGAGGAATTGACTGGGCTCAGCTGAGAAGCTCTTTTGGCCTACATGATGTTGACTGAGGCTGCAGTCATCTGTTACTCAAATGGTCTGGAATATTAAAGATGGCTCATTCAAAGGCCTGGGAGTTCATGCTGACTGGCACCTGGGAAATCAGCTGGGGCTGTTGACCCTCAGTTTTTCTCCACATGGCTTCTCTGTGCCTTGGGCTACTCACAGCATATTGGTTGGTTTCCAAAAACAAATATCCCAAAAGGAGAGAAGTTGGAAGCTGTAGACACCTGAAGCCCAACCTTAGAAACTACAAAATATCACTTCTGCCACATTCTATTGATTGAAACCAACCACAGAGCTACCCCAGATTCAATGTGGGAATGGTTTCTACAAGAATATGTGATACTGGGAGGCATGGTTCATTAGGGGCCATTTTGTAAACAAGCCACCACAGCCAGAGAATGCAGTTTTGTGACTATTTTAATGATCCTGTTTTCCCCGTAGACTATCCAGGAAACATATTATTATTAAAATGTTATTCACTCAGTTATATATTCATTAATTCGGTCAACAAATATTTAGTTATCTAATGTATGCCAAACACCGCACAATAGTGAAGATGTTAAAGTGAATATGACATGGTCACTGAAATGAACATAGACATGGGAACAAACAGCAACAATGCAATGGTATGAGGACCAGAAAAGAGGTGGGAAGAGGGCACAGGAGCACAGAAAACAGGCTTCTTTTGATAATTAAATTAGCTAATTTACACAAAATACTTAGTGTTAAGTTCATACTTAGTGTTAAGTATTCATCCTACCATATTAGGGTATGGTAGACATTCAATATTTTATGTACGTATTTGAGACAGGGTTTTGCTCTTGTTGCCCAGGCTGGAGGGCAGTGGCACAATTTGGGCTCACTGCAGCCTCCGTCTCCTGGGTTCAAGTGATCCTCCTGCCTCAGCCTCCTGAGTAGCTGGAATTACAGGTGCCCGCCACCAAGCCTGGCTAATTTTTTGTATTTTAAGTAGAAATGGGGTTTCAGCATGTTGGCCAGGCTGTTCTTGAACTCCCTGACCTCAGGTGATCCACCTGCCTTGGCCTCCCAAAGTGTTGGGATTATAGGTGTGAGCCACCAGCCGCCTATTATTCATATTTAAACAATTCAGTATTTCATTCTCAGCGACTAGGTGAAGAGTGAAAAAGGGGGCTGAGATGGAGCAAGTTTGGGAAGGAATATAAATTAACATGTAGACATGTTGAATTTGCAGTGCCTGTGGGACCCCCAGTGGAGATGTTTGGTAGCAATCACAAAATGAAACTGGAGTTTCAGAGATAGATCAGAGTGAGAAATATTAATCCAGGAATTATCAGTAAGTAGGTGATAACTTAAATTTTGGATATGGGTGAGATTATGTAGGGAAAGAGAATAGGTTGTGGGAAGATAGAAATCTGAAGGGAGAACCCTGGAGAATACCAGCATTTAAGAAGCTAGAAGAAAAAAAGAGCCCACATAGTTACAACCAAATCAGTCAGGAGAAATCAAAGGAATTATAGGAGGACTTTGACAGAGTATCAATCGTTCTAGAATTAATGAAAATTTATCAGTATTTAATTTCACATTTAGTTCAAAGATAATAATGGTATTTGACATTAACTTTCAATTAAATTTTGTTCATGGGGTTTTAAAATAAGTCATTTTAAGTAGCTTAAGAAGACATGTGACTATAATACAAGACGTGAATACAGAAGAATGATTATAGTTATCAGCATTAATAATCCTTTTTGTCAACATTTGAATTAGGAAAACAACTCTTCTCTTACAAAATTTGTTTTTTAAAAAGGATCTTCCTGTTTCTAGAAGGAATGCCAATATAAAAGAGACAAATCAGACCCCAGTAGCAGTGAAAAGTAAAGAGATATACAAAGTAAGAAAGTGGTTTAGGCATTAATTCAAGAGCTTCGCTGCTCTGTAGTAATGATTTCGTGAATCTAGAATAGGTGTCAAGATGGGCAGGATTTGAAGGAGAAGCCAAGCGTTGAAAGAAAGAATCATTCTGAAAACCCACAATATAGTAACAGTAGCTTCACCATCAACTGGAAAAGGGCACATTTGGGGAAAGTTGTTTTGCAGCTATTATCAATATTTGTCATCATTTCAAGTCATTATTATTTTTTATTTTATTTATTTGTTTTTTAGTTTCAAGCACCTAAACTTTGGTATGGGCCATCAAGTGGTAGAAGGGTCTATAAAAGTAAGAGAACATAGTTTTCTCTGCATTTTGCTCTTTTTGAAACTACTTATGAAATTGCATTTTATTCTATTCAAGCTGCACACACATACACACACAAACACACATTTACTTATTATTGATCCCTGTGGCATATTCTGCTGATGTCCTGCCTAGATTCCCTCAGTCCATTCTCAAGGTCACCTACAGCTTCATAGAAAAATTTTTTACATGCAAAGGCATCTTACTTCAAGCACCTGTGTCTCTCTGCCTAAGAATGGTTTCTGGTCTCAGGAGTGTGCTCAGTCTACTTGTAGGGAAGGCTGGAAGTGCCAGAGACATAATGTCCCAGAAACAACCATCAATTCATGATAGATGGGATTTGCTGAATAAAAGCACTCCAGCCTCCTCACCCATTGAAGGGGCAATTCTGCACTGTGTTCTACATCAGTTCCATCAACTCTTAGATGCTACTCTGAGAAATTGAGCCCCAGTTTCCCACAGCAGTGACCCACTAATTAATGCATTGACATTTCATCTTTCCTTGCTTCACTTCACCACACTTTCTGGGATCACCTCCCAGATAAACTCCTTATACTCAAAATCCTTGTTTTTGCTTGGTCTGCTTTTGAGAGAGCCAAAAATAAGACAATAGTACCCTTTGTCATGATATTTATATATTCGTTATCAATTCACCTTTAATTTTACTTTCAAAGCAAAAATCCTCCCCAGCACTATGTTAAAAGCCATGCTACTCATTTTCGAACAGTCTAAAGATTTTTTTCTTAGCCACTTGTAAAATGTGTCTTGAGTCACAGACAGGATATTTACCCTAAGTTTTCTTTGGGGAGCACATGCATAGCCTTTGATTTTGTTATGCTGTGAGAGGAAGTGGAAAGATCTTGGGCTTCGAAATGAAAAAAAAATTAATCTCTCACTATCTAAGAAAGTTGTCAAGTTATTTAATCTCTCTGAGAATCAGTGGTCTCATTTATGAAATAGGCATAGTTATACCTACCTCTTAAACCTATAGGGAAGATTAAGTAAGGTTATACTCTGAACACAAGGTCCAATTAAAGTGGTTTATTCTGTAATGAAATTTTGTAGACCAGGCCGGACACAGTGGCTCATGCCTATAATCCTAGCGCTTTGGGAGGCCAAGGTGGGTGGATCACCTGAGGTCAGGAGTTCGAGACCAGCCTGGCCAACATGGCGAAACCCCATCTCTATTAAAAATACAAAAAAATTGGCCGGGCTTGGTGGCACACACCTGTGGTCCCAGCTACTTGTAAGGCTGAGACAGGAGAATCGCTTGAACCCAGGAGGTGAAGGTTGCAGTGAGCCGAGATCATACCATTGCACTCCAGCCTGGGCAACAAGAGTGAAACTCTGCCTCAAAAAATAAAAAATAAATAAATTTAAAAATATATTTCTGTGTTGCTGTATTTATAAAATACCTGTGAGAGCAGGCCAATGGGAGAGGCTTCAGCTCTGCATAACACAAAAGTGTTTCTGCCATTCCTTTAGGTAAAAGTGCCACAAAACTGGAATAAAGAGTAGAGAAGCATTTAAAATGGGATGGCTACAGAATTTTCTTTTATCCACTCTGAGTTTTTCCATTTTTCATTGGTTTATCTTTTACTTTTAAACTCACCAAATTATTGTTTTAGTCTTTAGCTTTATATAATTTATAAAAATATTCTTTTTAATTTAATTTTTTATCTTTTACTTTTTTGAGAAAGGATCTCACTTGGAACAGGAATTAAAAGAAATTTTAAAATGTGTAAGTGAAAACTCAGTTGTATGTAAGAAAAACCAATTCCCCCTGAGGAAGAGAAAGAGCTGAAGTCCTTTAAAAATTGACTGCCTGTTTTTCTGTGGCTAGTGAGCCTTATCTCTCCCTTTCCCAGCCATCGTGAAGACTGTTTCTCTAGCTGTGCAGCTGCAAGGTCACTAAACAGATAATCTCAAGTCATAAAACATGTTGTTCCTTAAAAAGTAAGAAATAATGTAATGCATGTCTTAATTGAATAACTGTCTTTGTTTCTCCCTTCTGTAATACGCTTCCCCCTGCACAAATCTCCCCCTGCCCCACGAAATGCTTAAAAGGTAGCTTAACTCTGTTTGGGTCTCAGCCCTTTGGATGTTAATCGACTGGGTCCGTGCACCTAAATAATTAAATAATTCCTCCTCAATCCCACGGTCTCTCTGATTCCTTAATTATCCCACTGCACACTCTGTCACCCAGGCTGGTGTGCAGTGGCGTGATCTCAGCTCACTGCAGCCTCAACCTCCAGGGCTCAAGGGATCCTTCTACCTCAGCCTCCTGAATAGCTGGACTGCAGATATGCATCACTACACCCAGGTAATTTTTTTTAATTTTAGTAGAGATGGGGTCTTGCTGTGTTGCCTACGCTGGTCTTGATCTCCTGGCCTCAAATGATCCTCCCACCTCAGCTTACCAAAGTGCTGGGATTATAGACATGAGTCCCTGGACCGGACTTGTAAAAACTTTTTTGAGTGCCCCGTGGAAAGAAATTTCAAACTTTTTTTTTTTTAAGAGGCTTTTGACTTTTCCAGTCTCACAAGAAGAAAAAAGTCTTTTGGCCATGTTGAAGTGTTTTAATAACTTGTTGGCTGCAAAAATAATACATTAATAGTTTCTACTATGAATTAGTCTGTGCATTTAGAAAATACAAAAGTATACAAAGTAGAAAAATATTTCCAAGATATACTTTACCACCCTAAGATAACTATCTTTTGAGGATGTTTTATTACAGATCTTTTTCTTTGAACAGAGACTTATACTTTGTCTTAAAAGAATCATTCTGTGTATAAAGCTTTCTAATCTTATAATTTCTTCAATTAACACAATATCATACACATTTTCCTATGTTATTACGTATTTCTTCATACCTCTTGTAACAGCTGCATCATATTTATCATCCTATGGCTAGACAAAAATTTTGACAAGAAAATCTAAAAATAGTAATTCAGATCATAGGCTTTGGAAAAAAATATAACTGGGTTTAAATTCTGAATCTGCCATTTACTAGATTTGTGATCTTGATCAGAATATTTAATATCTCTAAATTCATTTTTTAATCTATAAAATGAAGAATAAATGAGACAATGTATGTGAAAATGCAATTGTTGACACATAATAAATCTAATAAGTGAGAATTCAATAAATAGATGATAGATGTTATTATCAACTTTTAAATTTTTTACCATTATAAAAAATATTAAATAAAAATCATCGTTACAAGTTTTGTTCATTTCTATGATTAATTTCTAAATATTAATTTTTGGAAGTGAAACTGCTGAGTCAAAGATTAATACATTTTTTAAGGTTTTTACATAAACTGTAAATTCCCATCCTAACAATGTACAGTTCAACCAGTAGAGCATAGATGTGCATCTTTCTCTGTTCCTTTCCCCAGCTTGCCAAGATGATAAGAAAAAGATTATATTTTATTGGCTTAATGTACATGACTTCGACTATGTCATTGAACATCAAATATATAATTAATGATCATTTGTAGGTATTCTTTTATAAAGTGACTATATTCAGCATACATTCTTTTTCATTATGGTGTTTGTCCTTAGTGATTTGCAAAATTTTAAGATACTCTTTGTTTATACACATTTCCAAGTTTAACCTATCTTACATTTTTAATGACTTTTTTTGACATACAGAAATTTTAAATATTTATGAAATCAGATCTAACAATTTTTTACTTTAAATATTTTGCTTTTGCATGCATAGTAAGTGAAGCCTTGCAAGATGCTATCTTAGTCCATTTTCTGTTGCTTGTAACAGAATATCTGAAAATGGGGAATTTATAAAGAAAAGGAATTATTTCTCACAGTTATGGAGACTGAGAAGTGCAAGGTTGAGGGGCCACATCTGGTGAGGGACTTCTTGCTGCTGGGAGGTCTCTGCAGAGTCCCACGGTGGCACAGGGCATCACATGGTGAGGGGGTTATGCTTGCTCGCTTAGGTTTCTCTTCCTTTTCTTATAAAACCACCAATCCCACTCCCATGATAATCCATTAATCTGTTAACCCATAATTCATTAATCCATTCATAAGGGCTCTGCCCTTATGACCCAAGAACCTTTTAAAGGCCCCACCAAGCTGGGTGCAGTGGGTCTTTCCTGTAGGACAGCTACTGGAGAGGCTGAGGTAGAGGATGCCTTGGGTCCAGGAGTTTGAAACTAGCCTAGGCAACATAGCAAGACTTTATCTTTATTTTAAAAAATATAAATTAAGGCCTCACCTCTCAATACTGCCACACTGGAGATTAAAGTTCAACATGACTTTCGGAGGGGACAAATATTCAAACTGTAGCAGATGCTATACAAATGAATATGTTTACTGTTGTGATCTTTAAAAACATAAGTAAATATTAAGTTGTGGTCTTTAATAGAAGAAAAAGACTTATGGGGAAAAAGCCTAGGACTGAAGAAGTCAAATTTTTGTGAATATGAGTTTTCTTAGAACTTATAATCAAGTTCAGGTAGCAGTTTTTGAGCTATGTTGTGTGGACTGTGTGGTGACAGGGAGAGTGCTGGAGGCATAGAAACATAATGAACGTTTCATGTACCTGCTTTTTGCTAGGCACTGTGCTTGGCCTAGCAAAAGTAAATGACTGGTAAATCATTTACTTCTCAGACCAGCCCTCTGAGATAGTTAATCTATCCATTTTATGGTTTCCTTTCATTTGACAAATATTTGTTGAGCATATTATCAGTCTCTAGGCTTACTTCTATAGAAAAATAAATCAGACTGGTTTATACACAAAGAGAACTTACTGGATCATGTTAGCTGAAGAGGTCTAGAGTAGCTCTAAGTTCAGTGATCGCTTGACCCTGGGCTCAAATGATACTGCCCAGGTCCAGCTCTCAGTTTTCTTCCCCTGGATTGACTCCACTCTTAGGATCTTCATAGTGGCTCCCATAGCATAAGGCTCAAATTGTCATAACAGGCAGACTAGAAGAGGAAGTCTTCTTCCCTGAAGGCTCAAAGTCCCGGAATAAAATTGTCTGGGCCCTGACTGGCCTCCCATTAGTCACCTGCTTCTCCCTGAGCCAGTCACTGTGGTCAGGGTGTTGTGATCTCATTGGCCTAACATAGATAACTTTCTCCATCCTTAGAACCAGGGGGCTGCAGAAGTTCTGAAGTCCCTGTGCTGAGGGAACAGCATGAAAAGACACAGATATAAAAAGCCCAAAACTTTGTGAAAATTCCCATTAAGTTACAAGGTAGTCACTTTCTGTACCATGGGTTTGCTGAGATAAAGCTAGAAAGACAATCAGAACTCAGTTCAACATAGAATGGGCTCAGATGGTAGAAGTTCTATATTCTATGCTGCATGGTTTTGACTGAATTTGGAAGGGAATGTCAAGCCTAGGAAGGAAACAAAGGGAGAAAAAAAACACACACACAAACAAGAAAGAATCCCAGGGTACAATGATATTTACAGCAGGCAGAGGAAGAAAAGTAGGAGAGAGTTGTGTAATTGAAGCCAAGGGAAGGGAATGTTTCAAAGAGCCAGAAGTAAAACGTGTCCAATTCAGAAGAATTGTCAAGTAACATAGGACCTGAAAGACGTCCATTGGATTCACAAATAAAAGAGACAGAAGGTCATTAAGTGACCAACTAGCACATTATCTAGAATAAGAGAAGTAATGGGCAGAAGGGATAACAGGTAGTGATCAGAGAGGACCTGTTAGAGCTTAATATTTCAGAGTTAGGGGATAATGAAGTAAAGATAGCTTTAATCTGGAAAGATAATGAGTTTTGAGGCAAAACTATTGGCTTAATGGATTTATTATGGAAAGGAACATTGGGAAAGTCCCCAAATCTGTAAAAGTGAGAAATGCCTGGGAATTTGTTAGTAAATATGTATGGGGAGATAGTTGTCATTAACCTCAGAAGAGGCAGCTTTTCCTAAGGAAGAAGAAACTTAAAGATGTGAAAGGAACATTAGGAATGGTGAAGAATACTGACACTTCTCCCAGGCTTCATGGTTTGTGTAGGGCAAGGGAAAAAAAATGCTCTTTTCTCAAGAGAGGACAGAAGGCAGGGGTGGAGAATCACAGGCTTTTCACCATTTGGGGATGATTAAGTACAAATTTTGATACTTTCTAAACCTAGTAGGTATATAGTAAAGAATTTATAGGAAAGACTCTCTTGCCCAAAGAAAAGAAAGTCCGGCCTTTGCCCTTGCCTTCTGAGATATAATCTCTGGGCCCTAGGAATGTTATGCCTGATAGAAAGAGCTTTATTTGCCTGGAGACCTTGAGTCATATGAGATAGTCTAACAATGTGATTTAGGATGGGGAGGTGGCCACACCTGCATAGTCTTAGAGTAGGGACTGGCCACTCCAGAAAGATCAACAATGTGACTTAAGGCAAGGGCTTTGGGTCACGTGGTATCCATCAACTTGGAGATAGAGATTAACCATGTGGTTAATCAACCGATTATGCCTGTGTGATGAAGCCCCACTACAAACTCTGAACACAATGATTGGGTGAGCTTCCCCGGGTGGCAGATCTCCATGTGTGCATTGTCATTCAACAATGCTAGGGAGTAACCTGTCCTGACTCCACAGGAAGAGGACAATAAAAGCTCCACATTTGTTATTTCGGGACTGACTCTGCCCTGTGAACTTCTTTCCTTGGCTAGTTGTAATCTGTAACCTTTCCCTGTAATAAACTATAACCCTAAATACAATAGCTTTCAGTAAGGTCTGTGAGTCTTTCTAGCAAATTATCGAACCTGAGGGTTCTATTCAGGGTTTTGACGGCCCCCTGAACTTGGTGTCAGAAGTAAGGGCAGTTTTGGGGAATGTGCTTTCTAACTTTGTAGTTGGCCTACTTCAAAGGAAGCAGGAAAAAGTCTGCAGATTTTATTTTCTTTGTTTTCTTATAGTATACAGTTTATATTTTAAGAAATCTGTATACTTTTAAAATAAAACATTCATTAGGCTCCTTTACCCAGTATTTATCTATAATAGGTTCATGAACTCATTCAGTAAATACTGAATTTAACTGAGAGCAATTAAAGTAGTTAGGAAAAAATCCACTTGAATTCTTTTTTGTGTACATTTACCAAACATTTGTTATTAAAGAGAAAATACTTTGTACTTTGTGTTATATTAATAATTGTATTACTAATTATAAGATGCTGGGCAAATCACATAGTTTCTTTGAATTTCAGTCAGGTCTTTTCTAAAATCAAAGATAATACCCTTTCCATAGATACGAATTAAGGTTTAAGAATGAAAAGTAAAGGATGAAATTAGAACTATTTTAAAGTTGTAGCCTAGTACCTGACATGCAGAACGTGTTCCATAAATATTAACTGAGATAATGATAATATTCTAAGAATTTCATAAGATTCATGCTTTACAAATTTTATTGACTGAAGATTAATGAGTAGCTAACGTTTCTGAACTGAATTCTTAAGAAGCTAATTTTCACCTCTGTACAAATTTTTGAGCTGAAGGTATTACAACAATCTTAGACAAATCACCACTATCAACTAGATTCCAGTTATCAATTCCATACAAACCATTGTTCCTGAATGTATATGGCTTAAAAAATATAATAGAATCAAGCTACCTTGGCCAGTCGCAGTGGCTACTCACATCTGTAATCCCAGCACTTTGGGAGAACAAGGCAAGAGGATCACTTGAGACCAGAAGTTCAAGACTAGCCTGGGCAACATAGTGAGACCCCTGTCCTTACAAAAAAATAAAAATAAAAAAATTAGCCTGGCATAGTGGCATGCACCTGTAGTCCTAGCTACTAGGGAGGCTGAGGTGGGAGAACCACTTGAGCACAGGCGATTGAGGCTGCAGTGGGCTATGATCACACCACTGTGCTCCAGTCTGGGCAACAGAAAAGAATCAAACTACCTTCTACTTTTAATGATTGTATTTTTGTTTTTTAAATATTTGAAATAAATTGATTCCAGTGTTTTCATGCATTGACTATTAATATCAATTTCTAGCCAAATTTGGATTGCTACATAACTATACTTTTTTTTTTTTTTTTTTTTTGCAGTTTTGCCATTGCCACTAGCACAGACTTGTGATGATTAATTCTGGTGCTTTTTTTCCTTTTCTTCTCACAGATGTTGAAGTGCTGTTTTTTAAAGCTTTTCCCCCTATTTTGATGCATCAGATAAGGTACATTCTTGGAATGATGAACAACCCCTGACTTAAAATGTAACCAATATTGTGAAATTCCCCATCATTTTAAATTAAATACAAGCTGTTTTCAAGTCAGTCATTTTTAGATTATGGCTCTAAAAATAAATGATTCCCATGGCCTTAGTGCATTTTCTGCTCACACAAGTGAGCAATAAGGACAAATGGTTCCTTAGGATACAGTAAATACAGCAGAATGTATGTCAGTGTATCTCCATTATGTCTCATAAAAATGCTAAGTGGTATGTGTGTGTGCAGCCAAGTCTGCTACACAACTTGCGTAATACAGTGGTGATTTTACTAACCACACGGGAGGTTTCTTGGCCTTGGAAATAAGAATGGTTTTTTGTTGTTGCTGTTTTTAATATCATAAGCCATGAAAGCAATCTTCCATCAAATATTCAAATATAAACTGTTGACTTCCATTCAGACCTGCAAGCTGTATGGTGGACTTTGTAAGCTTCTTTTTGAAATTCGATGTTTCCAGGAAAGCACAAAAGGAGAAAGGAGGTACAATAAGGGGAAACAAAGTCACTGTTCCCCAGTTCTTTTTACTTGATCTTCTTCTTTTACTTGACTCTCCTTCCACTCCTTCAGCATAATCGGTTTTAATATCCGTAAGCATCTGGGGAGTCACCTGGGCTTTTAGTGACAAAAGTCTGTGGGCGAAGCCCCTCTGAGAAGAGAACTCTGCTCTCTAGGCCTTTCAGAGGTAGGCAGAGCTCGGCAACCGGTTTCTACGGACCGAGGACGCGTTGCTAAGGGACTGAAGGGTGGGGGCGGGGCGAGTAACCCGCGGAGCCAGAAGAGGGAGGAAAGGAGATGAGGTTTGTTTCAGGGTGCGGAAGGGTTGGAAGAGTTGAAAATCAAAATTTGCATGAGGGTGGGAGGCGAAATAGGAAAAACGTCGTTTTACATAAACGGCCTTTCTGTCCCCGGAGTCGGTGGGACGTTCTCCAGCGGGGCCTGGACCGGGAGAGTGTGGTTGAGGTCAGGCAAGTGTGGGACCGCGGCGAGAGGCGAGCCCGGGGGGCTCTTCCAGGTTCGCGGAAGAACCCTTTGCATCTTCTAAACTAAATATTAATGAGCTTCCTCAATGTTGCCCTTAATTTTGCTTTCCCATGAAACGACCATAGGCATAGAGCGTTTGAGTCGGGCTTCCTATGTTTCCAGCGAGATGGAGGCACCTGGGGGAAGGTGACTCGGGGCCGGGCAAGAGATGCGAGAGGCTCTGGGGGCCGCTTAATTGATACATTTCCAAATTGACGACTCCCAACATCCTGGAATGGATGGTGGAAGCTGATCGCCCCTGCGGTAATTGTGCTGCGATTTCGAGCTGGCTAATCAATTCTTGCAATCATTATCTGATTAGTCGCCCACAATAATACTCCACAATCCACGTACATCATAGTTTTAAAATTCCTTAGTAGTTTTTCTTAGAAACTTCCCTTCCAGGCCGGCGCGTTGGCTTACGCCTGTAATCCCAGCACTTTGGGAGGCCAAGGCGGGCGGATCACTTGAGGTCAGGAGTTAGAGACCAGCCTGGCCACAGTGGCGAAACCCCGTCTCTACTAAAAATACAAAAATTAGCCGGGCATGGTGGTGGGCGCCTGTAGTCCCACCTACTGGGGAGGCTGAGGCAGGAGAATCGCTTGAACCTGGGAGGCGGAGGTTGTAGTGAGCTGAGATCGCAGCCACTGCACTCCAGCCTGGGTGACAGAATCAGTGAGACCGTCTCAAAAATAAAAATAAATAAATAAGGGACAAGAAAATGCATAATGCGGAACTAAGCACATAGGTCGGGTTTTTAAATTAGTTCTCAGTGCCTGGGCTGTACTAGCTTGCTGGGACTGTCATGACAAAACATCATAGACAGAGTGGCTAAACAACAGAAATTTGTTTTCTTACAGTTCTAGACACTAAAAGTTGGAAATGGAGAGGTGGGCAGGGTTGTTTTCTTCAGAGGCCTCGCTCCTTGGCTTGGGGTGGTGGCTGCCTTCTCACTGAATCTTCACAACGACTTTCCTCTGTGTATCCTCGGTGTCCCAATCTCCTCTTCTTATATGACACCAGTCATACTGGCCAGAGGCCTACCCTAACAACCCCATTTTAACTTTACTCTTTAAATGCTGTATGTCCAAATACAATCACAGTCTGAGATCCTGGGGCCTAGGACTTCAACATACGAATTTAGGGGCAACATAATTCAGCCTATAATATGGGCCATTTATCAACATTTTAGATTTAAAGAAAAAAGATTCCCCTAAGTCTATCCTTGGAATGTGAGATGGAGATAACTCAGCCAGTTATCTAATTATTGAGTAAACATTAATCATTTAACAGATGAAGTGAGTCCCTACTGTGGTCTCAGTAGTGGACTGTGTCAGATAAGAGTGTAAGAAGTGGCCTCGTCCTCAAGGAGTAAGCATTTGAACTGATAAAGCCACATAATGGAAGTGAATTTTAATTTAAGCCTGCATTTTCTAGATAATTTCTCAGGCCTTTAGTTTGTAACTTTAGAGATTCTTAGTTTTCCTGAGTTGTTTAGAACTTGCTGAAGAACTCTTCTCAGCTGAGCCTATTATATTGACGACACTGGGTTTTGTTATTTTTTGTTTGTTTGTTTTTAGTCCCAAAGGTGCTGTTAAAATAAAATTGTTCTCTTAAAATATTTAAGACATTTTTATTTTAGATATGACTTAGTCTCTGATATGCTAATAATATTGACCTACAATTTTTGTTGAGAGCAAGTTTTTGCAGTGAGGCCTGTAGATGATTCACTGTGAGAGTAATTGGGAATTCATTCTGCCCCAATTGGCATGGCCTCTATTTCATTGTGTTCTTTAAAAACAAACGAACAAACAACAACAAAAAACTGTCACTACTGTGCTAGAAATTAAGAACATAAATCCAAGTTTCCTTTCAAAACAATTTTACCAAGTTTAGATTGGCAATAACCCCATTTTATAATAATACACTCAACTTTTTATTTCATCTTCCAGTAAATCATTATGAAGTAACATCATTTATTACAGATAAACTAGGATTACTCTTCCTAAAAATTTATATTCAGAGACATCTCCAAATTAAATTGTAATTTTCAAATCCCCGTTAGATGTAAAACGCTTTGCCTGAGGCTGAGAGTCGGAGGTGGATAAGTCAATTCTTGCTTCAAATGAGCTTTCAACCCAGTAAGGAAGAGATCTGTCAAAGAGTAAACCTCTTTTTTTTTTTTGAAATGGAGACTCGCTCGTCACCCAGGCTGGAGTGCAGTGGCACGATCACACCTCACTGCAACCTCCGCCACCTGGGTTCAGGTTATTCTCCTGCCTCAACCTCCAAAGTAGCTGGGATTACAGGCGTGCGCCACCATGACCAGCTAATTTTTTTTTGTATTTTTAGTAGACACAGGGTTTCACCATGTTGGCCAGGCAGGTCTCGACTCCTGACTTGAAGTGATCCACCTGCCTCAGCTTCCTGAAGTGCTGGGATTACAGATGTGAGCCACCACGCCCAGCGAGTAAACCTCTTAAAACCTGGTGTAGTGGCTCTTGCCTGTAATCCCAGCTACTCAGGAGGCTGAGAGGCTGGAGGATTGCTTGAGGCCAGGAGCACACAATAAATAGACTGTCACCGAGACAAGGAATGAGACAATGCCAAGGAAAGTTTCATAGAAGAGGTAGTCATGACTGGGCACTGTAATCCCAGAACTTTGGGAGGCCGAGGTGGGCGGATCACAAGGTCAGGAGTTTGAGACCAGCCTGGCCAATATGGTGAAACCCCATCTCTACCAAAAATACAAAAATTAGCTGCGTGTGGTGGCGGGCACCTGTAATCCCAGCTACTCAGGAGGCTGAGGCAGGAGAATCACTTGAACCCGGGAGGTGGAAGTTGCAGTGAGCCAAGATTGTGCCACCGCACTCCAGCCTAGACTGCGAGACTCCATCTCAAAAAAAAAAAAAAAAAAAAAGAAGAGGTAGTCTTCATACCATATTTCATAAAGAGTAGGCTTTTGACTGGAAGACATGTGGGAGAACATTCTGAGTAGAAGGAAATGCAGGAGTGAATGGTGTGCTTGAGAAAAGGGCAGGACGTGTCCAGGAAGTAAGAGTGGTAGAAAATGGTGGAACAGAAAGGGGAAGGAGGAATAAACTAGAAAGGTGGGCTGAGCCAGATCCTGGACTATCTTTTCTTGGATGGTCTCATATGTCATCTGAAGAGTTTGGGTATTCTTCAGGTTATGAGAGCAAGCCAAGGTTTGTGGGCTGGAACTGGTCCTGATCAGTGTCCTGTTTAAGAAAGACAGCTCTGATGGCATTGCGTTTGTTTGTTTTTGGTTTTTGAGAAGGAGTCTCACTCTGTCACCTAGGCTGGAGTGCAGTAGTGTGATCTTGGCTCACTGCAACCTCCATCTCCCGGGTTCATGGGATTCTCCTGCCTAAGCCTCCAGAGTAGCTAGGATTACAAACATGCACCACCATGCCCAGCTAATTTTCTTTTCTTTTTTTGTATTTTTCTTTTTTTAATAGATTTCATCATGTTGGCCAGCCTGGTCTCAAACTCCTGACCTCAAGTGACCCGCCTGCCTCAGCCTCCCAAAGTGCTGGGATTACAGGTATGAGCCACTGCGCCCAGCCCATTTAATATCGTCTTGATTCATTTTGCATTAAAAGATTAGTAGTTAGTTTATGCAAAGTAGTTGGGGAACACCATCATATTAGTACTGATGTTCCTTTGCTCTCAGCATTTATTTGAGGAGACACAAAATAGGCCCTTGATGAACTTATGAAATATAATGATGAAAGCAAGCAAGTTAATCTATAGTGTTTCCTCACCTCCACTTTTTCCCAGGGCCATTTATCCATTAGGCACCATTGGCACATTGCCAAAGACCGATGGGAGAAAAGAATTTGCAAACTGAAAAAATTGTATTAGTTTCAAAATATGAAATTAATACTACAAAACTAACATTCAGTCAATTTCATTAACCGGCAAATTTAGTATTCATAAAACTGTTGTTGACCCTTGAAAATAATTGGTTAGTTTTTCTCACTTCAAAAAAATTCATGATCTGCACAGTGATTTTCCAGAAATCATTCATAGCCAAATAATTTACTCTTAGCAAACTATTTTTAAAGCAAAAACATAAAAATTATTTCATGCTATGGTTAACTGTATATAGAAAAATACAGCTGTGTGTGCATGTGCGTGCATGTGCGTATGTGTGTGTGTATAATGGGATGACATTTTGCCTCTTAAAATGTCCTATGTGGTGTTGAAGATGGGGTGACTAAAAGTGAGAGGTGTAGGACACCTTACTGTAAAAAGATCTGCTTTCTGTTCTTTCTCACAAATGAGCAGCATTGTTTCAGCTGGCCCTCATGTAGTTTATACGTTCCCCAAACTGGGAAACTCATTCACTTCAATACATTGATTCTTCCAGTTATTTACCTGTGTCTTGCTGAAAAATAGAAATCTTTGTCTCCAGTAAAATAAACTTAGGTGGGGAATATGAAAGCCTTCTCCCCCTCTTGAACTCATATTATGTTTAAGGGAAACACAAAAGCTAAAACTCCTCGGAGAGTTTTAGTTTAGTTTAGTTTTACAAGAGGGATGTTTCTTGGGTCTGAAAAGAAAATATGTCCACATAATCATAATGTATGTTCTCTTTCAAAATCTGTCCCCTATTGTCCTGTAAGAAATCCAGAAAGTCATCAGCATTCACATTATGCTAATGCCTTTACCCTGTCAATGTCAAATAAAATATAGAGACTAATCTCTAAAATCAAAATATTTATTTGGGAGGAAATAATTGCAATTAGGGCATACACACAGAGCAGTAGTCTTCAGTATATTCTGAAGAACAAAGAATAGGTTAGAGGTTTTATAAAACCAGGAAATGTTACAAATTGGCACTAGTGAGGTTTTGAGGCACTGACAAGATTGGTAAGTGAAGGCTGTGGGCAAAATTGGTTTAGAGTTGCCACAGGTCTTTTCAGTAGCTATTAGATACAACTGGTTTAGGTCACAGCAGTCAATTTCAGCTGCCAGACTTGCAGAGGGACTGCATTTTTGGAGCGATGTTCTGTGCCCTGAGTGTTTTCTCTTACCCTGGCTTCTCACTGTGTTTTAGTTAGGTACCACAAGAGTGACCCATTTCATAT